>NT_187571.1:0-305841 GCF_000001405.40 Homo sapiens
CCAGCCCCGACTGCACACAGGACTGGACTCTGCATTCTAGAACACTTCTGCCCAGGAGGGGCAGCTTGGGGCAGGCAGGGCCTGGCGGGCGGCGGCACCATGATCACACTCCTGCGCAGTGCTGGCAGTGGTCAGGTCAGGCTTCTTTGCCTTACTGCGTGTTACTTCTTAGTGCCCAAGTGTCACTCCTGAAAACCACACGGTAATAACGCAGCGCCAGCCTCTTGTCACAGCCCACTCAGGCTGGGCAGGTATATTCTGCACGTCACCTAGATAGACCCCTCTCCTACAGTCCCTACCAGACTGGGGGCACTTCAAGGGGCTCACAGTGACAAGGTGGCAGCTAGTGTGGGCCCAAGCTGGGCTCCAGCCTGCAACCCACCCCCACAGCAGGGTCGTGTCCCCCACGGCCTGGCCCTGCAGACCATGGGCAGTCCCTGTCATTCCCAGATGGGCAGCTCGGACAAGCTCATGACAACCCAGGATGAGCAGGGCACAGCCGGACAGATGGGTAGTAGCAGATGAATTCTGAGCTGGGCACCCAGCGACTGGCAGGAGCAAGGGCTCCTAAGACCATGCATGGCACACGGACCCAGAAAGTCAGGCTGCAGGAAGGAAGGGTCCCTCCCTGGCCCTGTTCCCCAGGGTGTGCAGCGATGGCGTGGGCAGGTGGCAAGGCTTGGGAGGCTGCAGGACGCTGCTCTGTAGCCAAGAAGGACCCAGGCAGAAACAGGCCTCTGCCCTCCTCCCTGAGGACACAGGCCCAGGCGCCCATCCCTCCTGGCTGGCTGGGGTTTGTGTAGATAATCGTGTTATTTAGATAGGATGTTGGTTTAATTCCCCTCATTACAGACTCCCAGGGCTGTAATTTTTTTTCTCCACGTGATGCATTCCCGTGGCACACTCCGCGCACATCAAACCCCTTGCGCCTTTATTGCCGGCGATGCCCCGGCCCGCGTTATCAGCCCCACACACGCAGCCCTCTCTGCCCGCCATCAAGAGGTCACTTCTAATGACTAATCGATCTCATTAGCTTTCCTAATTAAAAACTTTACTACCGCAATGGAAGACAAACTACAAAGAAACTGCTGGCATCATATGTGAATGAGATATGAGCCCATCCATCAGCAGGGTTTGAGCTCTTGCACACGGCACCATGCCCTCAGGCCGGGGACCAGGTGGGACAGCCCTCAGGCACCTCGAGAGCCCTGCTGTGTACCAAGCACCACATGCCCAATGACGCATCATCAGGAGGGCGGCCGCTGAGGCTGGGCCCGGCCATCAGGGGTCCAGGAGTCCTGCAGAGCCTGGCCCTGCCCACCCGGCTCACTCTCCTCGGACAATTCCAACACAGATGGCTGGTCTGATCAGATGGGGGTCGCAGCCTTGCTCTGTTTTATGTGGAGCAGGAGTGAGGGAGAGTTCAGATTTTTATGGAACTTCAAAGGGAAATAACTAGGAAGAAAATAAGTTGCTAATTTCACAATTGGTTAATGAATAAGAAGATGAAACTAGAATTACTACTCTGTGCAAAGAACTGTCTGAGGCTGCCAAGCAGGAGAGAAGGCTGCTCCACCACTTCACTGTCCAGCCCACCAGGGCCAAGGTGAGTATCCTGGGGAGCTGTCCAGCTATCTGTCCAGCTCCCAGCCTGCTGATGGGAGGGTCCATCAGGGAGGGTCTCGCCCATCAACTGAGGTGGAGACCCAGAAGGCCTCTGACCGTGCCCCAGGCCAGCATCCACCAGCCCCTGGGCCTTATGCACAGTGGGCTACAGAGATGGGAGCACCAGGGCCTCCAGAAATAGCAGGCACGAGAGTGGGCCCTGGTGCAGACGGGCCCAGCGCAAAGACAGCAAAACTGTCACTGCTGGGCTGCCAGCCCGAGAAAATACCCTGGTTCTAGAAGCCCCTTCCCCAAGCCTCCGCAGGCTTCATCCCAGCTGGGGAGCGGGGAGAGCTGAGCAGGAGGCCAAGACTGGCACGGAATTTGCTGGAATCAGCCACAGCCACCCCCACAGCAGCAGACAGGACGGCGTGGGGCCCACGAAGGGATGATGTTGACTTGCCTGACAGACACCTTGCACCACACCATGTTCCCGGGAGAAGTGACAGCAGCGAGCGGCCAGGATGGGCCAGACCCACAGAACAGGCCTGGGGCAGCCCAGACCCTGCATGCAAGGAGAGCGAGCAGGGAAGGGGCTAGTCCAGGTGCAGCCCCCGGGGCCACTGCAGCGCTGCCCAGGGTGACGGATGGCTGTGGGCTGTGGGCTGAGGGCATTCCGGCCAGTCAGGCCCCCCATCCCTAATTCCTGAAGATTCCACCTTCTTTGTACACTGCCTGATCTGCTTTTTATCAACAGCTGCCCTGGCACCTCACCATCTCCACACTGCCTATGTCCTTCTCTGACTAACGGCAGCTTGCACGCCTGCAAACCTACTTTTCCTGGTGTCTGTGACCCGTTTCTGTGTCTTTCCAGTCCTCTTGCAGTTTCTGAGGCGGTGCCAACTCTGTGCCAGCCCAGGTCTCTGGCCCCGGTGCCCTGAGCACGAGGCAGGAGGGGCCGGGCAGCAGCACCGACTGGGGATGGCACCTTCCAGTACGGCCGTGAATGCCCCACAGGCAAGCAGGACACGGCCTAAAGAGAGGGCAGGAGGCCCTGTGCCATCCCCAGAAACCTGAGTTCACCCGGCCCCCGGACACAGCTCCAGTCACACTCCCCGCCCCACTCACTGGCTGGGCCTCTTCCTCCGGCACTGCCTGACCACCCCAGAGCTCAGGGGGTTGCACCTTCAGCCCCACAGCCGCAAGAGGGCGCCAGGGACGAGGCAACGTCTCCTCCCACAGAGCAGAGTTCCCACGATTAATCGCCTAATTAGAGCTGTGATTACAACTGAGAGTGCTCAGTGGCGCGGGGAGGTACACGCAGCGGGCAGGACCCCGGGAAGTGCCCCTCCAGGAGAGCCGAGCCTGCCTGGAAGGAGCAGAGCCTGGGGTTCCTGAGAGAGGAGAGAGCAGGGCATAGGCCCAGCGCCAGAGGAGTCGGGGCTGCAAGAGGCGGGGACAGCCTGGGCAGGGGGTGCCCAGGCGCTGTGGGGAAGTCGGGGCGGGGGGCGTGGGAGGAGAGCTGGGGGCACTGGGAGTCAGGGCCAGACCCGCCCTGTGCTGCTGCATGGCTGGCACCATGCTCACACCCACGGCCTCAGCTGGCTCCACAGCCTCTGGGACCATGCCGCCCTCAGGAAGCACCTGCCAAGCGCAGGCCCCACCTTCCCTGCAGGTCCAGCTCAAAGGCCCCTCACACCCCCACCCCTCCCAGCTTGGCTAGGAGACTGCTGAGGGGCAAAGGCAGGGGAGCAGGGGGAGCCCCAGGGAACGAGGCAGGCAAGTTCCAGACCAGCCGACAAGGCAGGTGAGCCCAGAGTCCCCATCTCCTCTCCTGCAGCTCGCAGGTGATCCTGCCCCCACCAAGGCTGCTGCACACCCAACACCAGGCCCCACGCTGGAGACTCTCAGGCACAAGGAGTCCCGTCAGGCAGCGTCCCTGACAGTGGCTGATGGCGCTCTTGGAGAAACAGCCATGAAAACTCCAACAGAGCATGTGGCCCATGTTCCCGAGAGCCCTGGGCTCTTGCATTTCAGACCGTGACATATGTCTGAGCGGGGCGCAGACCCCCGGGCCTGCTTGGGGTACAGCGCCTGCTACTGCAGCCAGTCAGAGGCAGCGTCCGCAGAACTGTCTCTCGTTGAAGGCAGCTCAGGCAACAGCTCTCGCTGTTCCTGGGACAGGAGGCTCTGCCCATTGTGAGCACAGATGCCCTTCCCTGCATAGCCAGGCCTAGTCCGAGGCACCTCCTGGAAGGCACCTGGGCCTGGCAGCTCCTCACAGCCTTTGCTGAGGCTGGTGGGGGTGGACAGGGTGGCCCAGCCAAGGTGAAGGGCTATGGAGCAGCTGAAATCCAGCTTGGCCCCCGACCAGTGTAGCTCGCCAGGGCTGCACAACAAGGGCCCCTCCACCAGCCCCTTTCTGAAGTCGGCCCAGTCTGAGTTGTCCCCTGGGGCCACACAGAGTCGCCACCTTGGTAGCCTGGTGCTCACCCCTGGCACTTCCACACGCTAGGTCCTGAAGGTGGCGAGGCCAAGGCTACACTGGGGGTGACATGGGCTCTGGCCTCCAAGAAGGGGTAGGCAGACCCCAGGGGCCATCAGGAGCGGCTTCCCCGAGGTCCACCATGTGCAGGGGGCAGTGAGGTCAAACAGGAGGTCTCTGGCCCTCAAGTGCCACCGTGAGGTCCACAGGAGACTGCCCTCTCTCCCAGGAGCCTCAGGCCGTGTGTCCCCACCACTCCCACCCGGGCTGCCACCGCAGGCCCCATCCTGGCTCGGGCCCTGGTCTCCCCAGTGTCTGCAGCATCCACAGTGGAGCTGGCCTGGAGCCATTGGCCCACCCAGGGCCTGCCTCCCAGCGTCCACTCGGTGTTACCACACAGCAAACATGATCCTGCCAGGACACACAAGTGCACTCAGGAGCACACGCAGAGACTGACATGCACACGGTGGGCGGTGGGCATGCACACAGGCGTGAGCACACGTGCATGGTCATTCCCGATCCTGTGGCTCTCGCCCCTAGCAGCCAGGACGGGGCCGGGTTGCTCACCCCACAAACCTGTACCCTGCTCTCGCGCCCCCTCAGGCCCTCGAGTTTCACGCAGAGCCAGGCCATGCAGTTCAAATGCAGCCCAGCCCAGGAGCTGGGCTCACCGCCTGGACGTTCACCTGCGGGCACCCATCTGCAGGACCAACAGCCTCGTTTCTACTGACACCTGGTGCAGTGAGGGGCTGCATGGCCACGCTCCAAGGCCACTCTCCGAGGCAGGACAGGAAAGCCTCCTTGGTTCTTTGTCTGTTTCTTCTCTCTGCCCTCCTCAGTCCCCTCCCTGTCAGGCCCATGTGCGGCTAGGCCCGGCCGCCGCATCTGCTGTGGTCCTGGGTGTCTGCTCCTGCAGGACAAGGCCTGTGCCCGGCCAGTGCCCCCACCATCCTGCAGACACACACCCCTCCCGTGAATGCTGGGAGCTCAGGGAGCGTGCCATGCCTTGCACCCACCGTCTGGATTCACCAGTCCTTACTGCTGGGTTCCGAGAAACATGAGGGTCAGTCCCTGGGGCCCAGGCCTGCCATGGGGCTCCCGCCTCGCTCCCCGATCCGGAAGCCCAGCCTCTGCTTTTCTCTTCCCCGACCACACATGGGCAGTTCCCAGCTGCTTTTCTCATCTAGACACCGAGCAGGGCAGGATGGAGCCAGCCTGTGGCGCATACGCACTCCCCCCGCTGCAACGCCTCGGCCCTCCATCATGCCAGCCAGGCAGGTCATCGGCAGGGCCCCTGGGGCGCAGCGAGGGGCTGCAGTGATTAGTACTGATGAGCACACAAACCGGGCCAGTCATGCGTGACATCAGCTTCCGGCAGACGGCACTGGCAGGCTGTGGGGACCCTGCAGTTGTGCGGAAAAGTGGAATCATAGTGGGCACCACGGGAGGCTCAGGCTCTCCCCACGAACGGGCCTCCCAGGCCCCTCCACTGTTTGGAGGGAAAGATTCGGGTAGGGCTCCTGCCTGATTCTGGCCAGCTCAGGCAGAACGTCCCCATCACGAGAAGGAAGGCACCTCTGCCCCTCCTGGCCACCACACAGAACCCACAATGCCAGCCACATCAGCTGAGGGCACCTCGGCCCCTCAGCCCACAGGTGGGAATGTGGCCAAGGCCTAGAGGAAGACACCAGCCCACGATGCCCACAGATGGCACAGCTGGGCCAGGCAGGGGCTGGGCCAAGGAGCCTTCGCAGGTGCCTTTGGAAGGGATGGAGACTGGACACACCGGCCGCCTCTACCTGTGCACCCGGACCACCATCTATGTGGGCAGACCCCTGGCTGTGCTGGCACAGGCTCACTGCCCACCTGGAGCCAGCCCCAGGGGTTACCCACACTCAGCACCCTAGCATCTAGCCAGCCCTGCCGCTTCCAGCCCAGGCCCTGCAGGTGCAGGGAGTGTGCTGCTGACGTGGCTGGGCCCTCCGCCCCTGCTGGCCCTCCCCTTGAGTGGCTGGGTGTGCTTCAGGCCCGTCCATTTCTCTAAATGAGCCGCAATGGCAACCGAGGCAGGGGGCGGCTGGTGAGTGCCCCGCCCCTACGCTGGCGCGGCAGGAGCTGCCAGGACCGCACTCTAACAAGCCTCAGATGTGGGATGACTGGAACCACAAAGTATGAATTTTTATGAGTCTAATAAATCACTCCACTTTTCTTGTATGTGATGGCTCCCAGGACCTCAAACGCTGCAGACAGAGGGAAGGAGCCCCTGTATGTGGTGGTGGCCAGGAGCAGGGCCACGGGGCCGCTGGGGCCCTCCTGGGCACCCTCGAACCCTCTGGCCCCACGCCCTGAGGCTGCTCCGCAGGGTGGAGAGCAGAGACCTGCTCGCTGCCCCCATTAGGCCCTCCCTGCCAGAATCCCACATTGGCAGAAAAACTTGCCTCAAAGCCTCGTCAGCGCGAAAGGAAACTTTGCAATCACACACACACACACACACACACACACACACACACACACACATACACACACACACTCACTCTCATGCACATGCTCACCCCACAACAGAGACTGCAGAGGACCCCAGCCCCGAGACAGGAGGAGCAGGTGCATCCGGCCCCTCCTGGGAGCCCTGCCAGGACTGCCTGGGAGGCTGGGCCCCAGCACCTCCCCAGGTGGGTGCAGCACGTGGCCAGCCACATGAGAGGATGGCCCCTCAGCTTTCATGTCCTGGCCTCGCGTCCCTGGGACGCAGCCCCGTGGGATCCGGGGATTCATCTTTGACAAACATTTACGGATTATCAAATCACAACGGCAGCCCGACAGGGCCATAAGTCACCCTAAGCAGCCATCCGCAGTGCAGTCTGAGGAGTTTGGGCAGCTCAGTGATGACAAATGACCGCTGTCAGCCGCCCTGTCCCCCCCGTGTGGGATCCGTGCTCTCTGTTGTTCCACACTACCTGGTGTTTAATGACAACACTGTCAGCTGGAGACGCAGCACCACCGAAGCCGCTGCCGCGGACTGTCAGAGCCCTATTAAAGGGAAGATTGAGACCCTACTCTTCTTAAAGTCACTCAAGCAACACAAGCTGCTAGTTCCCGTTAATTATTGTGCGCGAGCCATCGATCGCACGCCGACACCTGACCCGTCTGTATGAAATGGGAATAGTTTGCTCCGTGACAGTTGCTATAGATTATGGAGAGTGGGGCTTCCTCCCCTCTTCCCCACGGCTCTACCCAGCCTCAGGTGCAGGGGAAGGGAGGGGGCCTCCCTGCCCTCCACGGCTGGAGAAGACAGTGCAGCAGGCAGCTAAGGGGGTTCCCAAAAAGGGTGAACACAGGCCTTGGGCAGGGGTGCAGAGGAGCAGGAGGAAACCGGACCAAGTTGGGCCTGTACCCCAGGCCGCGCTCCAAGCAGGTGGGGTAGGCTCGGGGCATGCAGGCTGCAGCGAAGGACAGCTGGGCTTGGGCCTGGCCAGGTGTGTGTGTGGCCAAGCGTGCACCCAGCCTCGGTCCCCACTTCACAAAGAAGGGCACTGGGGCCCAGGGCACGTGCTCTGTGAACGACGTCTCCCAAGCTCTCCCCACTGGCCTGCAGCCCCAGCCAGCCTGTGTGTTCAGAACCCCAGGCCTGCGGCTCACCTGCTCCCAGTCTGGCCATAAGAGGCACCTGGGACGGGCCCTTCCCAGGGCTGGGAGCTCTGCCGGATTGAGAACGCCTCTTCACCTTGTCTCTGCTTTGACCCCCCGCTCCTGCCTGCCCCGCACCTGAGCTCCCTCCCCGAATCTCCAGGCCCACCTGTGCTCCCTGCCCCACCTGCACACACAGTTACTGGGAGCACTCAGATACTCGAGGGCGGAAGAGCAGCCCCCAGAGGACAGACCTGCTCGGGGCCAGGACAGCAGCTCCAGGCTCTGAGTGAGGCACGGCCAAGCCCCGAGGCCCTGGCCACCACGTCTCAGGGTACAGGACCTAGAGGCGGCCACTCAGCACAGCCTCAGGTCTCCTGGTCCACAGGGCCCCCAGCCCTTCTGCATGAGCGCCATGGCCCTGGTGCTGCAGGAGGGGCTGGCGCTGTGGGCCAGCAGGCAGCTCCAGGGCCAGGATGGCCTAGCGCAGAGTCAGGCTCCTGTCTGGGGGGACCCAGGTGATTCCACTGGGCAGTCCAGGCTGGAAACGGCCTCAGCCTAACCCAGGGAGCCCGAGGCCCTTCCCTCCCAGCCCACCCCTGACCTTCACATGGCTGGGCCTGGCTGGATCCCAAGGTCAGTGGAACAGATCTGGGGCCAACTGGCTGCCGGGCGGCACGGAGACCCAGCTCCGCCATGTGGCACGGCCTTCTCTCAGGAATCCTCTTCTGCTTCCTCTGAGCATAGCCCAAGAAAGACTCTTTGGAGAGAGTCCTGGCAACACCCTCCACAGAAAGCAGCGGCCCCTGAGAGAAACGACGTGTCCCGCTCAGACAGAAACCGCAGGCTGCCAGGACTCCCCGGCCACATGCCGCTCTCCTCTGGGCCACTCCTGGCCTTTCCTGTGACTGCGGGACAGTGGGCAGGCCGCAGAGGGGAGGTCGTGGATGCCAGGCACCAGGTGTGCCCTGAGGGCCTCCTCCAGGGCTGGTCTTGGCAGCCACAGCACCGGGGCCAGGCCCACCAAAGCTGGAGATGGCACGTGGGAGCCACAATCGCAGTCTCAGGGACACTGGCCCGACCGCTTGTGCTCCCTCTGGCACATACAAACGTGCAACTGGGGACCCTGAGAAGGCAGCAAAGGAATCCCTGCCCTCAGCCCACCCAACGGGAGCCACAGGGGCAAGGGACAGAGGCTCCCCTGGCCTTGACCGGGGTGGCACCAGCCCGGCAGGCAGCCCATTGCCTTTGAGGGAAGCCCATCCCCTCTCCTCTGGATCCTCCATCCCCAAGCACGGGGTGCAGCCCCAGCAGCAATGCCTGCCTCCCGGTGATGCATCCCCAGTGCACAGTGAGCGAGGGACCCTATGGGGGCTAAGGCCAGGCCAGGGTGCAGCGAGCACTACGCCGGCCTCCCCAGGAAGGTGACTCACCGGCCTCTGAAGGAGGGGAGGAGAGGGGTAGCAGCGAGTGTGCTGACGGCTGACTGGGGGCAGTGGGGCACAGGGCCAGGCAGGCAGTGGCCCAGCATTCGGGTCAGGGTAGGAGCTGGGGAGGCAGGCTGCAGACAGGCCCCCTACCAGCTCCATTCCCCCTAACTAGACTCCTGGCCAATGCCCTGGGGCTCCAGCCTTCGGGGCCAACACAGGGAAGGGTGGGTGAGAACCACCGGGGCCAGTGCCAGCCCTGGCCTTCAGGGCCCCAGACCATAGTGCAATGGGAGGGACCTGGGGTTGGGAGCTCATCTTTCGGTAAGATGAGCTCATGTGTCTTGAAAGCGCAAAGGTTAAAAATGAGTAAGCCTTGCATTCCTCGTTACCCCAGGCCTGAGCACCCCACATCACAGCCGCAGAAACGGAGGCTCAGGCTGCCCGGAGGCAAGCCCCAAGCGGCAGGCAGGATCTGACCAGTGTTCACGTGTGCTCACACTGGCACCCGTGGGAAGGACAGGCGAGCGTGCCGTGCTGTGTGCGTGCACATGCGCCACAGCGGCCCACACAGCAGCACGGGGCAAGCGGCCCGCCTCACCTTTCACAGCCGCAGGCCCCACGTTCAGGCCACCTGGGGACAACAGCCTGACCAGACCCCAGGGCAGCCAAGGCCACCACTCCATCCATGCACAGGACTCATCACGGGCCCAAAGGCTGCACTGCAGGGGACGCAGGACACCCCCGCAGTCCCAGAGGTGCCCTGCCCTGTGGGAAGCCACGGCCCAGCACCTCTGAGCCCGACGGTGCCACAGGGGAGCTGCGCCAGCCCCATGCCATCCCAACAGACGCAAACCACCCCCCAGCCTGCCTAGGGCCGCCCCCCAGGCCTGGCAGGACTGGAACAGCACTGCTCGCCCCACCCACCTCCTTCCCACACGAAGGCACAATGGAACTGGGTGGGCTTCTTCGGGGCTCAAGGAGGGGCCCTGGCAGAAGGCAGGAGCGGTGGGGGTGCCCAGAGCTCTGCAGGGCAGCCCCAGCCCTGGATGCATGGCCAGCATCATGAAAATGCTGCCTAGGGGCCACCATGAGAAAGAGGCAGGTGGGGTCTCCCCCTCAACAGAACAAAGAAGAGGCTGAGAGCTCTTCAGCAGGGGACTGATGTCTCCCGGGAGAGGGCAGGTTGGGGGCAGGCTCCCCTGCTGGACCCCGACTTGGGAGGAAGTAAGAGCACCCTTCCGGGGCCACTCCAGCCCTGCATGCGGTGAGGGGGCAGCTGGAGGCCACCAGGAAAGCCTGGGGGTGGTGGAGCCGATGGCCAGCTGCCCACCCTGCGCCCCCACACAGCCCTGGTGCTGCTTCGTCCTCCCAGGCCCACGCAGTGGGAACCGGCTGGGAAGCACCGGGGTGCAGGTCAGAGATGTACCGCAGGGTGCTGGTTTCAGCCGGGCCCACCCAGACACCCCGAGATCACCCAGCCTTGTAAGCTTCTGGCTGGAGCCAAGTTTTGCGTCCTCCAATCCTCAGGCAGAGCCCAGGCTGAGCCGTTTCCATTTGCCACAAGGTTCTAGGCCTTTCCACGTTTTGTGAGCGTCCACCTCGAGACACCCCAGATCCCAGCTGGCCAGCACTGCCCCGCTAACAGGGCTGTGGGGCTGAATCTCACAGTGTCCTTCTGCCCCATGGGACAGAACATCTGATTTCCCACTGACAGGCAGCTCACGGTGCCCACTAGGGCCCACCCCTGCCCAGGAGCTAGGCCAGGAGCTGCCCCCTCCCTGCCTCGTTGGCTGGTGCTCTGCCCAGCAGCACCCTCCATGGCTGGGTTTCTGGCCCGTATACCCAGAGAGGGGATCAGGCTTCATAGCAGCAAGTTTCCCACACACACTCACAGCCACACAGGTAGACGGCCCGCCCGGCCCACAGGGCTCTCAGCTGCAAACAGCTGGCCTGGGGCAGTGAAACAGACCCTGGGAGGGGCAGGCCCGGCCCCGCCACAGCCCCTGCCCAGCCCAGAGGGTTCTCAACAAGAAAACCACGGCCACCCCAGGGGCAGCCTGGCTCCTCCCAAGAGGCCTTGCCAACGAGACGAGGCAAGGAGGCTGGAGACACAGGGCAGAGGCGCGGGTGGGGGCACTGGCCCGAGGTCACAGGGCTACCGAGCACACCAAGATCCAGGCCGTGAAGGTGGTGATATGTGGGTGGAGCCTCGAAAGTCTGAAGGGACTGACCCCACACTCCACCCACTGGTACCCCCTCCCAGGTCTTGAGGGCTCCTCAAGTCCTGGTGCCCCATGGGCAGCCCCTGCCCCCAGCACTATGTCTGCCTCTGGGGAGCTCCCAGCAGGCCGGGAGGACTGGGTGTGGGCAGGAAGCCCAGGCTGGAGCAGCTCCGGGCCTCCTGCACATGGGGCATCTGCTACTTGTGTTTTCAAAGGGCCCAGAAACAAGCCACGCCTGCAACCCTCCAGAGGCACCCACCGGGGCAGGCAGGAGGTGGGACAGGCATGGAGGACTTCCTGGGAGGCCAGCCCTATCCAAGCAGCCTCCCCGCACCGCCTTACTTCATTCTCACCACCCCACAGCCGTGAGGCCAGGACTCAGCCCCTCCCCCACCAGTGCACCTGCCTGGGGCTCTCAGAGTCTGGGGCCCCCAGAAGGGGTCCCCAGGAAGAACGTAAATTGAGCACACATGCATCTTTCAGGGGTGCTGGAACAGGAGGGAGGGTTTTTCTGTTCTCCACCCCACCATCCCAACAATGCAGCCCCAGCCTCTGGCCACAGAGGCGGCTCCCATATTGAAAGGAGAGCCAGCATCAGTGGGCACGGCTGCCATGGGAGTCCTCCCTGCTGGGGGCTCAGGGGATACCCGCAAAGTGCCCTCTATGGAAGGGTCAGACTAGAAGGGGTGTGTCCACCCAGGTGTGTCTCTGGGGTCCCTCTGCTGCTGGTCACCCTGTAAGCGTGTGGCCCAGTGCTGAGCCCCCTGACGCCTGGTCCTCTGTCGGCCTTCCCTAGGGATCCAAGTTCACCCCGAAACAGAACTGATGACCTGTGGCCTCATCAGAGCCTGGCTCACTGCAAACGTCATGCTGCTCCTCACAGGCCTTTACATGGGCCACACACAACCCTGTGGGCCACAGCACCTCACAGCACAGAAGACTCCCTGACCTCACTACAGGCCTATTTCCTTTGCCTCATTAAAAATGTATTGGAAGCCAGGCACAGTGGCTCACGCCTGTAATCCCAGCACTTTGCGAGGCCAAGGCCGGAGGATTACCTGAGGTCAGGAGTTCGAGACGAGCTTGGCCAACATGGTGAAACCCCATCTCTACCAAAAACATAAAAATTAGCCGGATGTGATGGCGTGAGCCTGTAATCCCAGCTACTGGGGAGGCTGAGGTGGGAGAATCTCTTGAACCCAGGAGGTCGAGGTTGCAGTGAGCCAAGACTGTGCCGCTGCACACTCCAGCCTAGGGAAGAGAGCAAGACTCTCTGTCTTAAAAAAAAACACACACACACAAATATATTGGGCTGGGTGCAGTGGCTCACGCCTGGAATCCCAGCACTTTGGAAGGCCAAGTTAAGCAGATCGCCTGAGCCCAGGAATCGGAGACCAGCTTGGGCAACATGGTGAGACCCTGTCTCTACAAAAAAAAGAAATACAAAAATTAGCCAGGTGTGGTGGCGCACACCTGTAGTCCCAGATACTTGGGAGGCTAAGCTGGGAGGATCACTTGAGCCTGGGAGGCAGAGATTACAGTGAGATGGCGCCCCTGCACTCCAGCCTTGGTGACAGAGCAAGACCCTGTCTCAAAAAAATATATATATATATTGCCCTTTGATTTCAGCAAGAGTCCTGTCCTGGGTGACTTGGAGCCATCCAGCCTAGCCCTTCACATACACAGAACCTGAGCCCCCTCATCCTGATAGTCCAGGGCCCCTCAGGGTCAGGGGCTAGTGACGGGGCAATCTGCCACAAGCCCTGCCCAGAGGTGCCCCAGACTGGGCCTCTTCTCCCTGGAAGAGGTGCTTTACCTCCTCCTGCTTTCAGCAGTGCTGGCCACTACTCCCTCGTCAACCAGCACTCTGGTGGGCAGACCCTGGCTGGACCACCTGGCCCCCACACCTCCCACTGCACACAACCCTCCAGGCTTGCTCCACGTCCCCAGGGGCTATAGCAAAGACAGACGCACGATGAAACCAAGCTCACCTGCAGCGCCAGCGGCTCAGAGCCAGATGGGGGTCCCACAAGAGCAGGCAGCTTCAGAATGCTGCCGCGACGCCCCTGCAGTTCATGTTTTCCCGGTGCCCTGTCTGGAAGGTGATCTCAGGGAGGGTGGTGTTTGCAGCCATCTTGGAAGACACTCCCCGCTGCAAGCTCCATGTGGCCCTACAGACGGAAGCCACCTCAGGACAACTGCCACCATCCCTCAGGCACCAGCTTGGTGAGCTCCCAGAGGCAGTAGGAGACCACAGCTCAGAATTCCAGGACATCCGTTTGAGGACCCCTGTCCTCATCCAGCTTGGGCAGGCAGACCCTCTGCTGCATTCTAGGGAAGTGGCCACCGCCAGGCTTCACGCCACCAGGAGTGCATTCTCCGCAGGCTCCCCACCCCTGAATCACCCCGAGATAACGGAGAGGGCAATCAGCAAGAGAAGAGCTGCTGCCTCCCACCGCTGACCTGCTAGAGCCAGAGCACACTGAGACGCAGCACAACGCTCCAGGGCCAACTGAGTCAGAGCGGGGCCGCAGGATGATGGAGAGCAAGCTGGCATGGGCTGGGGGCGGGTGAAGGACGGGGCCTCACTACAGGCCCCACAGGGCCATGTCTGAGCACCCAAGGCCAGCCAAGCCCCCGGGGCAGCCTGGATGCCAGGAGTCTCCCAGACACAGCTAGCCAGCGGGGGAGGGCGCAAGCCTGGAACAGAAGTCCGTGTTCCCAGGTGGCCCCGTCTCTCCCGGGCAGCCTCCCCAGCCCCTAATGGGCAGGAGGGGCAAGTGTGCCTGGGAGAGACACCGGGCACAGTGCCCCTGCAGTGCCCACAGCCTGTTTCAGGATGGGCCCTGGAGCAACATGGCCGGCACAGAGCAGATCGTGGTGGGCTCTGAGCCCCACTCCCTCAGTCCTCCCCACAACTCCAGCAGGTGGGGACACAGTCCCAGAGTCCACAGTTACTGAAGCCAAACAGTCTATGACACCAGGCCCTAGGGGAGAGCTCCCTGGGAGTCTGGGCTAAGGTTCCCAGGGCCCTGACATGTGCCATGCTCTGCTAGGAGCCAAGCCACTGGAAGCGCAGGACAGCCTCAGTACTTCATGCCTGACTGTGCTGGTCAGACACACCCGGCCGAGGGGCCAAGAGCTCACCGCCAGCTGGTCGGCCTCAAAGAAACCCCAGCTGGGCCAAGAGGCCGCAGCCTCAGAGCCAGGCCCCCAGCCCATCACGCTAGCAGCAGGCAAGTCGCACAGAGGTGGGTCAAGGAAGCGGCCAACAGCAGCTGGCCCCTGGCCCTTGGGGAGGAGACTGGCCCCTGTGAGCTTCAGGCACACACCTGACACCTGCACTGGGCAGCACCTTCGAGGCAAAGGGGAGTGAGCTGCGCTGCGCTGCACTGGTGGCCGTGTGGCCCTGGCCTTCAGCTCCCCGGGGGAACAAGAGGAATAGGGAGGGCAGCTGATGCTTCTGCCCACAAGACCCCACAGCAGGGCACCTGCCAGCCACGCTCTGCCCCAAGCCCATGCTCTGTGTCCACGCTGTGCAGACCAACCAGTGGCAGAAGCTGGCACATGTACCAGCCCCTGGATCAAAGGCACCAGAAGGGAGCTTGGGGCCCCAGGGCTGATCTCCGAGACCAGGGCTCTGTAATACACACTCGAGCAAACCAACAGCTAACTTGACACTTGATGTCTGCAAGCTGCTAAACTTACGGTCATCGTATCTAGCCACACACCTCCCTTGAAATGCCATCTACTCTCTCCGTGAGCCCCAAGGCCCAGGCCAGGCAGAGTCGCACCTCGCCATCTCCAGCCAAGCCCAGACACAGCCATGGCACTTGCTTGGCTTCTCCTGGCCTGGGTGGCACCTCCCAGCAGCGCTCGGCCTGCCCTGAGGCTCCCCCAGGAGCTGGTGACAGTACCAGCCTCCTGCTGAGTGAAAGCTCCTGACAGCAGGGTCAGCACAGCCTCGGAGAGCCACAGGCGAGGGGACCAGAAAGGAGGGCCCTGAGGGGTGGCAGGTGGTGCAGGCACGGGCGTGGGCGCGGTCTCCTCTTCAGGATTCCTGTGGCCATCTAGAAGCCCTGAAGAGGGACACATGGCCCAGCCCTTTCCAGAACAGCTGAGCCCAGAGACTCTGTGTCCCTTTCCAGGCAGAGCCACCCAAGGGACCCCACAGCACGAAAGGGAGAGGTCTCAGCTGGGAGCCGAGAGAGGAGCGTCCCTGGGGCCCATCCTGAGGGGGCTCCTTGCATGTCGCCCTGCTCCCATGAGGACACGGACCAGAGGCTGCGGTCACCGGACTCAGCCCTGGAAAGAGGGGGCTCCAGTCAAGGGTGCCACAGACAGCCCTGGTCTTCCTGCTATGCCTTCCCATGCACCTCTCTACAGGAAGCACAGTTTGACCAGCTGGGATGCCGCCACTCAGCACCCACGCAGTGACCAGAGCTGGCCATTCACTGAAGCAGTTCTGTACCGAGGGACAGGATGGGACAGGAGGACAGGGAATGGGCCAGGCCATGGAGGCGGGCAGTGCCTCTGCACCACTCTCCCAGGAGGCCTCCCCACCCAGCTGGATGCCACGCCTGCCACACAACCCCAAGCCTGCCGTCCGCCTGGGCCTGGCACTGGCCCCGCTTCAGCGGCATCGGCCTGCGGCTGGCCCAGAGCCCAGGGTGCTGGCACTGGTGCTGACGATGTGGGGGGCCTGGAGAACCCCCACAGCCACCATAGTTCAAGTCCACCCAGGGCTACACCAAAACCCACGCTAGGATGCAGGCTGCTGCCCCAGTGGGGCCACAGAGGGCACTGACTTCAGTGGGGGTCCAGTGGGAGAACCCTGGAGAGACCCTGGCTGGACATTCTCTGTCTGCCATCAGGCAAGAGCCCAGCACCTCCCACCAAGAGTCACACCCATGACATCAGGGCCTCGCCAGGCTGGCCCACCAGTCACAGTCCCAACATAGCCCCAGAGCTCAGCGGATGCCCAGTGAGCAAGGGCAGGGCCAGTTCTGGAGAATGAGTGGCAGGAAGACCAGGTGCCTGCGGGCAGGAGACACTGGCCTGGGGCTGCTTCCTCTCCCAGTCCTGCTGCTGGTGCCGAGCAGGAGACCCCTCAGGGAACCAGGACTTCCTTCCCATCAGGACCCCGCCCAGCACGCGATTGGACTTGGTGCAGGGGGAAACAACCAGTGGGGATCACGGGGTTCCCAGACGATGCCCAAGTCCACATGGACTCTGACCACACCCAGCTTTGCCACGACCCACCTGTGGGACCACAGCAGGGGCCCTCAGGCAAGGGTCAAGGTGGAGAGACAGAGGAGGCTGGCAGGGGCCACTTACGGGCAGCAGATGGGGCACAGAAGGCTACAGCCCCAGCAGGGGACTAAACAGGGGCCCAGCAACATCCTGACCCCATGCAGAGAAGGGGCCAAATCCCAGAAGGTGCAGGCCACATTCGTCCCCAGCTGGAAAGCCGCCTCAGTGCCCAGAGCCACACCCACTCCCCAGTCCCTCAACAGGAGGCCAGCTGAGGCTGGCAGAGCCATGCCCCCATTACTTTGGTGGGAGAACCGAGAGCTGGTGAAAAGACACCGCCAGGAGGCAAGCAGGAGGCAAGCAGCACAAGCCCTGCTGGCCATGCCTGAAGATAGACCCCTGAGAGGCCGGCACAGGAAGAGGACAGGCGGGCAGAGTGGGAGGAGGACCAGGCCAGCAGGGGTGGCCATCGGGACGGCCCTGTGCCGTGCCCACCCGCCACCCGAGCACTTGGCAACGTGCCCCTGGCTGCCTGGTGGGGGTTAGCAGGTGGTGACAGAGCCTGTGTCCTGCACCCCAACACCCACTGCCTGGTGGACTCCTGAGAGAGGCCACCAGGGTGAGGGACCTACCCAGGCTCTCGGACAGGTGTCCTGCACTTGATTCAAAGTCTGCCAAGACACGTGACTGGGGGGATGTGCCAGCCCTGGGCTGGGAAGAGAGGGACAAGAGGACTACCTCAATCCATTCAACAAAAGGAGCAGCCCAAGCTGTCCCCAGTGTGGGGACCCAGGGTCCTACGGTGGTATGAGTTCTGGCTCTCCTGAGAACGCCACCCTGCCTGCGCAGCCCAGGTCTTCAGCTTGGCACCCACAGCACAGTGCAGCACCACCACGGCACACACGCGATCCCACGCCAGTTCTGTGAAGTAATTAATTAGCACAGCCACAACCCACGCAAAACTGGAGGCCGCCGGCATGCCTGATAATTTATGCAAGATTCAAAGATCGCTGTGGCTGCCTTTCCTGAAGCCTAATTCAGCATTTTCTTTTTCCCTTATGAAAGCAGGACTCCAGATCTAACTGCTCTCATGCCCTTTCACGGGGTTCACCGCAGTAAAATTGAACAGCCCAGCTGCACACAGCAAGCAATGGTGGATCACATACCCCAGAGGCACCAGGCAGAGCCTCCCAGGTGGGCAATGCTGGCCAGCAGCACAGCCCAGCAGGAACATCACACCGGGCCAAAGCACCCAAAGGCACCGCTCAGCCCCACAGCAAACATTCCTGACCCCATTCACAGATAGGGCACCGAGCACCAGCAAGGAGAACGGGCAGACAGGGCCAAAGTCTCCCGCCAGGCCACGCCCACACCACGCCTGGGGGCTCATAACCCTGCCTCCTGCATCCGGCAAAGGTCCAGGCCTCCAGCACCGGACATGGGGCTGCTCCCCAGTACCTAGCAGCATGGGACAGGGTGCCTGCTCCTCACTCTCGCTGGGGCCAGGGGAGAGTCTCCGGCCCCTCTGGCCCTGGCACCCTCCCCCACTGCCAAGACACAGCAAGCCCACCCTGGCAACCACCCTGCGGTGCACCTCGGGCCCTGCGTGCTCCTGCCTCCTCGGGGGCCGCCACTCATCTCTGCGCAGGGCAGGGGAGCCATATTGTTTCTGACCACAGCGCTCCAGCTCCCCACAAGGCTGGGACCCAGACCCAGCCAACTCACAACAGAAGCCAGGCGGCACTGCCGAGGCGCTGTGGGGCCAGCGGCCACGCCTCGGCCAGGCAGCGACAGACACCCTCCACGGTCAAGCTTCCATCCTCAGGCTCTGTGCAGCAGGTCAGGGCTCCACCCATGCCTCACATTCCATCCACGGCCAGCCTCCCGGGGAGATCGCCAGGCTCAGAAAGGCCTCCCAGCAGCCTGGCACAGGAGGTTACGGCGAGGATGGCACAGAAACCAGCCCCTCTGCTGGAGGCCGGGGATCGAGGCTGGTGGCACTCTGCCCACTTGCTCACTGAGCCTCTGAGTGCTGCTGCCGACCTCCACCGGCCTGCACATCTCAAAGGGGCAGGACAGCGTCAGGGCAGGGAGCCCTGTGTGGCTTTTCCTCCTGGTGGGCAGCCCTCTGCCAGGCCCTCACCCCTCGGTTGCCCGCTAAGCATGGTGACTGCCCCACCTTCCCGCCCATGGCCTGCCCATGGGGCCTCCTGAGGGAGCGAGGCCCTCCCTTCTGCCCAGGTCCAGTCCTCTGGGAGGGGGGGCGCCTCACCCTCACCAGGAGCTGCCGCAGCCTGAGGCTCACGTGCACGCAGGGCGGCCAGGGTGCTCCCCACAGCACCTTCTTAACAGGCAGGACGGACAATAAGCCGGCAATTCCTGCAATACAAAACATGAGGCAGGAGGAAGGAATGCCCATGGTGGCGGGGTGGCTGGCACGCGATCTTAGAGGAGCTGGCCTGGCAGAATGGACCACGGCCCACCTCACAGACTCCCGAATGAGGGGAGCAAACTGTGCACACCTAAGGGTGGGGGACGGGCCTGGCCAGAGGTTGGGCCTGGTTGGAGCAAGCCGGGCCTTCGAGGTGGGGCAGGGCCAGTCGAGAGAAAGCGGTTGGGTTTTTCCCATGCACTGGAATCCACAGGCTGCGCTGGTCACCGGGAGAAGCCGCTGGGGACAGAGGGACAGAGGGGTAGGGGGCCATCACACTCCCAAGCTGGTGCCTGCTCAGTGACACCCCCATAAGCATCTGTGGCCAAACAGTGCAAAGCCACAGCACGGGCTGGGTGCAGAATCCACCCAGGCCTCTGATGCCAGGGCTGCGTGGCAAACCACCCCCTCTCCAAGGCACCGGGAGGCAACACAGAAAGGATCGTGTGCACAGGGAGGACCCAAGGACACAGGAGGGCCCCAGGGACCTCTGAGGACTCAGAGAGGTCACATGAACAGCCGTCAAGGCAGGCCCTTCTGAGACCGAGAAGTCAGGAGGCAGCGTTCCAGGAAATGTCGCACCACAGTCGGGGGGAGACCCCACACAGGACTGGGCGGGCGGCCAGGGCTCTGGGGAGGCTGCCTTTGGCTTCACCAGGGCTAGAGGGTGAGACCCAGTATCCAGAGAGCGCCGTGTGCCTGAGGGACCCCAGCCTCTCAGGTCCCACCTGGGTCCTGCTCTGGGGCTGGGGGAAGCCACGACCACCTGGTGGCAGGGAGGGGCTGAGGGCCAACAGCTCACACAGGCTCTCCCTAAGCACTTCCTCAGAGAAACTCGGACTCGGGGAATGGGCATCCAGGCCCCAAAAGAGTCACCCAGGCAGGACAGCCCTGGCACCTAGTGACACCAGCCAGAGGTGGGTCCAAGACCCACGCCTGCCCTTTCTGCCAGTGAGCTGGGGTGAGTGGAGACTCCACTTCTCATCTGCAAATGCTGACAGCAGTTCCTCCACACCCAGGGGCGGGCACGGCAGACTGAGGGACGGGTAGGAATCGCCCTCCGTGTGTACAGCAAGCTCTGGGCCAGAGGCAGATGCCCGGCCTGGCTCCTGTCAAAGCCTGGGCAGCCGGCAGGCCTCGACCCAGCCTGGTTGTCCACACGAGACCACCACGCAAGCCAGGCCCTTTCTGTCCACCACAGGTGTGCCCAGGACCTGCCAGGCCCGCACCCTCCACCAGCACACTGGCGACAAGTCTGGGAAGGCGGCTGCTTCCCAGGCAGGGCCCTGGGCTTATTCCAGGCCACGGGGGAAGGGGGCAGGCCACCGGCATGCATCCACCATCCTGGGTGGGTGAAGCAGAGAGGGCCCTCCCACTCCAGCAGATGACGACACCACTGCCTACCCACCTACCATGACTTTTCCCTGGCGTAAAATAGCAGACGTTTCCATGTGGCTGGTAGGAATCCCATCACCTCCCGCCACCAAGAAGCTCCCCAGCCTGGGCACAGGGTGGTGGGTGGGAGAGCTGGCCCTCACTCCTGGCCTGGCCTGGAGTGTACAGCCTGGACAGCATCCCTCTGCACAGGCCGGCCAGGCTTAGGGAGTCATGCCTGTCATCTCAGGGTGGCCGAGCACAGCGACGGGCCCCAGGAGGATGTACCACGAAGCTGGCCCCACTTCCCCCGCACCACAGTGAGAGCCTGGCCACAGTGCTCAGCCGTGTGTACTGTAAACACTGTACTCGAGAACACTGATTGCCACAGTTATGTGAGTGGCAAACAGGACACCATTTTTCAGACTCCAAAAAGGTTTTCTTCTCTTCTGCCCAAATGCCCCCTCTAGCATCGGTCCACCAGAGACAGATCAACCCAGGCAGGTCTCTACTGCAGCCTCCAGCAAACATTACTCGCCCAGGCCACCCTTCTGGGGCTGTCTTCTATCTCCTTTTTTTTTTTTTTTTTTTTTGAGACAGGGTCTCATTCTGTCACCCAGGTTGCAGTGCAGTGGTGCGATCATGGCTCACTAGAGCCTCAACCTCCCAGACCTAAGCAATCCTCTCACCCCAGCCTCCCGAGTAGCTGGGACTACAGGCGTGTGCCACCATGCCCGGCTAATTCTCGCATTTTTTGTAGAGATGGGGTTTTGCCACGTTGCCCAGGCTGGTCTTGACCTCCTGGGTTCAAGTAATCACCCGCCTCAGCCTCCCAAAGTGTTGGGATTCCAGGCATGAGCCTCGGCACCCGGCCAGTGTCTCACATCCTCATCCCCCAGCTGCCAACAGACCCATCCCCAGGAGAAAAGGGAAGGAAGAAACGGAAGGCAAGGGGCACACTGACAGCAGAGGAAGAGACCCCCAGGAATCCCCTGCCCCGCCCCCAGCCGAGGTCTGACTCCAGGCCCAGAGGACTTCGGAGGGCCGGGAGAGGCAGGGAGGGGAGGAGAGGCACCGAAGAGTCAGGCTGAAACCTTCCAAACAGTCTCAGTCCCCAGGCGTGAGCGGCCACAGTGCTGCTGAACAATGCACTTTTGAATTCAATTAAAGCGATTATCTGTTGTGCCAAATAAATTGTGTACAGCATATATCCTGTGGCACTTTACACCTCCAGGCTCATTATTCCCTAACTGTTTCCTCCTGTTTATGCCTCTCAAATTAAATTGCTGATAATATGCGCCAAAATAAAAAATGAACGCACCTTGTCCCAAGAAAATTGATTCTCCCTTTTCCTGAACTGGCGATGGCCAGGTTTTATATACTCTGTTCTTGGTGATCATTAGTAATTCAATTTTCTTTTTATTAGCCCCCTTATCTGCTGAGCAATATAGTGGCAGGGCTGACCTCTTTCGCACGGGTAAATGTTTAAAATCTTTTCCCTGATTAATTTTGCCAGTTAAGAAAAAGAGGAGAAATGGCCCGGCTCTTAGCCATCACAATGAATAAAGCTTAATGTTGATTGTGACGGAATTTCTAATGCCAGGGAAATTGATTGAACGCGGCAATTACGCTGCAATAGTAACTCAGGGGAGATGGGATCGCTTTCTCCTGGCCGTAGCCTTTTGGTTATTTAAAATAATCCAATTTGCAAGGATAATTATGTATTAGCGTTTTATCTGCCACTTGAAATGAACAGGGGAGTTTCGATACTGGCCCAGCATTAGCAGGTTATTGCTGCAAATTACTTGGTATCTGCTTTCTTTCACATAAAAAGGAAATTACGCGATTACCAAAAAAGGGTGGACGGAGGCGATAGGAGGGGCAAGCATGCCCTCTGCTGGCCACTGGGCCGCACGGCAAGGCTGAAGTGCGGCGGGGGAGGGAGGCGGCAGCAGGGCTGCCTGGCAGCTTTCAGAAGCCCCTGTCCCTGGTGCATAAGTCCACAGGGCAGTCGTCCCCAGCTGGACACTGGGACACTGCCGTCTCCTTGAAGAGGAGAGGTGGAGCTGGAACTAAGCTTTTGCTGGGCAGAAAATGGGGAAAGAAAACTCCCAACAGCCAAATGAAGGAGCAGTCCCACCTGGCTGCCCCATCCACAGCCCACACGACCCCAGCATCCAGGAACGAACACCCCAGCCGATGGAGGCCTTGGCCACCCGGGAGGGCTGAAGGAGGGCCTGGGAAGGGCTCACTGGCTCACCAGAGCACTGCAGCGTTCAACGAAACAAAGCTGGGCCCTGCCCAGAAGCCCACTGGCCAAGGCAGAGGACAGGCAGGCCTCAGTTCCTAGGCAGGCAGGCAGGCATGGAGACGGTGGGCCTTGCAGGAGGGCACCTGGGGGAGCCACTCAACAGCTTCCTGGGCCCCAGCCTCCCATCTCCTCAGCAGACGCCCTGGCCACGCCCACCTCCCCTGCGGCCAGCTTGGAGTCTCACGGTGGCTGTCTCTGGGGTCAGCCGCCTGAGTGACCAGGCCAGGACGCAGGCTCGGCCTCTCACCTCCGCGCACATCTCCACGGGCTCCCTGCCTGCTTGAGAGCCTGCGGACTCCGCTCCTTGGCCTGGCGTCAGTGGCCTCACGCACAGGTCCTCCCGACTCTGCCCACTCGGGCCTGCCAGACACCCCGGGGCCCTGGACACGCCCCTCCCAGGGTCCTCCCCTGTCCCTCCCTGGCTTCCCAACGTAACCAGAACCAACCCCCCGTTCCCTCCTGTGGCCTACAAGACCCTTTCCCAGGACCTGGTCCCTCTGCCCCGTTGGCTGCATCCCCTCCAAGCCACACTCCCAGATGGTGAACTGGCCCCACAGCCTCCTTGTGCTCCAGAACACAGTAAGCTCGTTCCCACCTCCACCTCGGCCTCAGAGCTGAGCCCTATTCGCTCCTCTCTGCTCAGGTCACCTCCTCAGAGAAGCCCTCCCACTCGCCAACCACCTCTCTGCAGCTGGCCCTGTGCTCTCCCCCTGCCTGTTCCTCAGAAGGCATTTTCCACCCAGGAGCACCTTCCTGGCTGATGTACAAGCACTCCAGTGGCTGCCTGTCTCCACCACTGGAAGGCGGCTCCAGCCTCATCATCTCTTCACCTTCACTGCAGTATCCCCAGGAGCCGGCAGGCTGCCAGGCACAGTGACTCAACCACGCTTGCCAGTTGGGCCAGTGGTGGGCAAGTGAGTGGGACGCCTTCCCCACCCCTTCCTCAGACAGGACCCTCTCCTCTCACTCCATGCAGCCGCCACGCTGGTCTTTTTTTTTTTTTTTTTTTGAGACAAAATGTCACTCTGTCGCCCAGGCTGGAGTACAATGGCACGATCTAACCTCTGCCTCCTGGGTTCAAGTGATTCTCCTGCCTCAGCCTCCCGAGTAGATGGGATTACAGACGCTCGCCACCACACCCAGCTAATTTTTGTATTTTTAGTAGAGACGGGGTTTTGCCATGTTGCCAAGGCTGGTCTTGAACTCCTGACCTCAGGTGATCCACCCGCCTCGGCCTCCCAGTGTGCTGGGATTACAGGCATGAGCCACCACGCCCAGCCTCACGTTGGTCTTTAACTATGAGTTTGGCTGGGCACAGTGGCTCACACCTGTAATCCCAGCACTTTAAGAGACTAAGGCAGGAGGATCACTTGAGCCCAGAAGTTCAAGACCAGCCTAGGCAACAAAGCAAGACCCTGTCCCTACAAAAAAATTAAAAATTAGCCAGGCACAGTGACATGCACCTGTAGTCCCAGCTATTCAGCAGGGTCACTTGAGCCCAGGAGGTTGAGGCTGCAATGAGCTGTGACTGCACCACTGTACTCTGGCCTGGGAGGGAAGCAGGGCCCTGTTTCTAAAAACATTAAAAAAAAAAAAAAAAACGACGAGATCAATTACGCCCTTCCCTCTAGTGAGGCAGGACCGCAGCAGCCCCTCAGCTGTGCACTCCGAAATGGTCAGCCGGTGAAGCTGGTGGCCTCCCAAACCCACTCTTCCTGGCAGGAGTCCGGGGGGCGCCGAGCAAGGCCCCACCAGCAGGAAGCAACCTCCCCCATCCCCTGCCTATGCCCCACTCTACTAGAGGCCTGAAGAGGGAGCAGGCCAGGTGAGCAGGGCTGAACCTGCACCCAGTGGGGAGCCTCTCACCCCAACCACCACGCCATCTGCAAGCCTTGGCCTCCTAGGGCTCAGCAGACCCTGCTGGCCTCCCAGAGCTGGACACCTCCCCAACCCCTCCTCCCCAAGTGACCAGGGGATACCGCCAACTGTCCAAGCCACCCCTACCATCCACTCCCAGATAAGCCCACGACCTAACCACCATCCGGCCACCTCACTGTGGCCACCAGGGACCGCATGGGTCTCTGCTTGCTCCCTGTCACCAGGATGAAATCCACATGTCCTGGCGTGCAGCAGGTGTCGGCTAACGGGGTACAGCCGACCAGCGCCCCCAGCCCCACTTCCTCCCACCCCACTGTGCTGCAACACCCGGCTGCATCGCCCCATTCAGCCCTCCACCTGGGACCCAACGCCCTGCCCTCCCGCGGCAGCCCCCACACGGCTCTTGGGTCTGCCCAGGCCCAGCTCCTTCCAGAGCCGTCTGAAGCCTCCCTAGATGACGGTACGCTTGGCTGGGTTTCTTTTTTTTTTGAGACAGAGTCTCGTTCTGTCGCCCAGACTGGAATGCAATGGAACGATCTCGGCTCACTGCAACCTCCCAGGCTCAAGCAATTCTCCTCCCTCAGCCTCCCGAGTAGCTGGGATTACAGGCATGTGCCACCATGCCCAGCTAATTTTTGTATTTTTGGTAAAGATGGGGTTTTGCCATGTTGCCCAGGCTGGTCTTGAACTCCTGGCCTCAAGTGATCTTCCCACCTTGGCCTCCCAAAGAGCTGGGATTACAGCCATGAGCAACCGCGCCCAGCCTTGGCTAGATTTCTGAGCACCGGTTCCCAGTCGGAGTGCCCAGGTCCAAGCCTGCTCAATCCCCAACGCCCCACCTTCTCCAGATGTCACAGACACGAGCTCGGGAAGTCACTGCCCTAACGCGCCCAGCAGAGCCCCAGAGTCGCACAGGACCAGGTGCACACAGACGAACGTGGCTCCACACTGACCCCCACGGTGTCTGGGGGGTGCCACACCCAAGGGCTCTAGACCCTCACCACATACCCCCAACCACGTGCCCGCCTGGAGGCCGCTCCCCCAGTGTGTCCTGGCAAACATCACCGCAGTGGGGGTCAACCTCAAAGGGGCTACGCCCCACAATCTGCAGGCCGGGGCCTTCCCAGGCCACCACAGGGGCTCTCAGGGGCTCAGACCAGTTCTCTCCAGGCGTGACTGGGCACACTTAGAGTGGTACAGCAGGAGACCAGACCAATTCTTTCAGGCCACTCAAAAAACTCACACAGTACCATGTGACACTCAGAAAGGGCAGGGCAGGTAGACCTGCAGCCCCAGCCAGCTGAGCACAGAAGGGCCCTGGAGGAGGCAGAGGCCTGGGGGTGCCCAGCGCAGCACAAGCGAGGGCTTCACCCCTGCTTAAGGGCTCAGCAGCCGCCGCCCTCTCCTCCCTCAGGAGGGACACAGCTGGGTCCATACCAAGGGACACACAGAAGAGGCCACAGCACCTGCCCAGCAGCACATCCCACAGCCAGACTGCAGGGCGCAGCATCCGGGCCCTATCCTCTATCTGCCAGCCCACCACCACCGTCTGCCAGGCAGTGCCCTCCCAGCCAGGGCCTCTACCAGCATGAGGCAGGGAAGGTGCCCATGGCTCCTAACACGCCAGCATATCCCATCAGGCAGGCCCAGCCCCAGTGCCCAGCGCCCCTGCTCCCAGCATACCTTCCTTGGTGGGGAGGTGGGCCCGGCTCGGTGGCAGGCGACATAGTCGGTGCGTGGTGACCTGTACCAGGCCCTTGTTGGGGGTCTTCTTCAGGACAGGGCTGCTCTTCCCCCTGAGGGCCTGTCTCCGCCGGAGGCTGAGGTGGCTCTTGGCGGTGGCGGCAGGTGAGGTGCCGCTTTTCTTGTCTCCAGGAAGGCTGTGGAGACAAAATACAGGCAGCTCTCAACAAGCCCTGGGGGTTCTGCCCACCCACCCTTCCTCACCAGGACCCGAGGAGCGTGGGAGCAGCTCCTGAAGGCCAGGACCAGGCCACAGCGGGTCCTTTCTGGACCCTGCCTCCCTCAGCCCATGGCGGCCCTGCCCACCCTCCACAGCCAGGCTGAGGCGGCAGGCTTGGATCCACAATCCCAGATGACCCCAGAACTAGGGCAGGCTGCCATGCTCCCAGGGAGAGCAGAGGGGCCTCAGTGCTCCGTCCCCACCCGCATGTCCACCCCCTCCCCATCTGCCCAGGAAAAAGGAGCCTCTACGTGGGGCAAAGAGAAGGGCCGACATCCCTGAGGAGAGCGGCCACCGGCCCCAAGTGGCCTGCCAAGCCCCTCAGTAAGGGGGCAGCTTCTCCACGCTCCCTCTCCACACTTCCTGGACAGAGGGAGCTGCCAGCATGGTTTAGAGCAGAGTTGCCACCGAGAAACAGCCAGGAGTGGGAGCCGGGTGCCCATGCGCCTCAACACGGCACCTATCTGGGGGACGAGGGCCAGAGAGAATGAGCTACACGAGCCAGCAACCTAGACCAGACGGCAGGGCACCACTGTGTCTGATGACAGAGGCAGGACCCCCGCCCTCTGCCCAGCAGGTGCAGCCACCACCTTAGCTGCCAACCTCATGGAGTCCCTGAGCCCAGACCAAGCACTGTGCCATGACACCATCTCTGAGTCTCATCACAAGTCCGCAAGGGTGGAGGCCGGGAGAGATGTGCGCCAAGCAAGTGAGTGACTCTGCCTGGCTGCCTGGCCAAGGGGGCTGGGACCTAACACCAATCTGCTCGCCCTGGGACCAAAGGCCAACTGCAGCCTCAACACTCCGCAAGGGAGGCCACAGAGCCCAAAGCCAGGAATGCCTAAGGAGGCTCCCGCCTACCAGCAGCCCCCGGCCCCTGCCCACTCAGACCAGCTGGAGCAGCCCTCAGCCTGAGGGCCAGCAAAGGCCAGGCCTCCTGGAGCCCAAGCCCTAGACACGGGGCATGCAGGAAAGACCAGGCACCCCTGGCAGGGCCCAGAGCTCTGGTCCACCTCCCAGCACAGACCCGTGGCCGGCAGGTCCAGGCCAGGGGCAGACACACTGCTCTCTGTCTCACCATCCCCCTGGGGACACATGGACCCTGGACTGGTCCCTGGGAGCTACTCCCCCTGCGCCTGGCCTGGCACAAAGCCTTCCCTCTGTGAACCCTGTGCAACTGGAACGGAAGCTGCCCCCAGCGAGCTGCTTGTCTCTCACCGGCAGGAGAAAGGATGGGCTTGCCAGCAGTGTGAGGGACGGGAAACCTGTCCCCTAAGTTTATGCCGGCCAGGGCCCCGGCCCCAGGCAAGCCCAAACCACCACAGCAGCACTTCCTGCCTCATTTCTTGCTGGAAATGTGAACGCAACTGCAGGCAAAGCTCCGAGCTCAGCAGATCCATTAGGGGTGCCAAACAAACCCTCCTCACAGCCCCTCACACTCTACCGCAGCCGGCCGGGATGCCCACCTTGTGCTGCTGCGTCTCCGGATGATCTTGGTGCGGCTCTTCACTTTGTAAGCCGAGAGCGGGGTCTCCCCAGAGAGGGGCTTCAAGCCACTGTGTCCTACTGCTGGTCTGTCCCCCGACGGGGACCTAGACAGGACTGGGGAGAGCTGGGAGGCATGGTCCTTGCTGCTGGCCTCCGACTGCCAACGGAAGGAGGAAGAGGAGGAGGCAGAGGGGCTGGAGGCCTTCCACTTGTACTTGCTGGGGGCAGACCCTGGCTTGGAGGACGTGGCTGGCTTCCTGGGCTTGGGCTCTGGGTCAGCTATGAGCTGCGGCTTCTCCACCTTGTTTGCCATGCCAGCAGAGGCCTTGCACACATTCTCTGCAGCCACTCTGGGACTGAGGGCCCTCCGAGCAACCCGGGGACTCTTCGAGGAGGCAGCCACCCATTTGTAGTTGTTTTTCCGGAACTTGTTAGTTCGACAGGTCACAACCAGCGAGGCCTCCCGGGCCTGCCTGGGTCCTGAGGCCGGTCTGGCGGGGCCCCCCACTGAGCCAGACGGAACTGGCTGATCTGTGTGGCCAGCATCTACTCTCCTGTCCCCAAGGAGCTGTGGAGCACAGCTGGCCACGGAATGAGAACCCAGCTTCCGGCCCAGGGCCACGCCAGTGCGTGGGGGCAGAGCGGAGGATGGGAAGCTCGCCTTGACGGCAATCACACTCTCACTGACTGTCCGGCGGGGCTCCCGGGGGCTGTCGCCCACACTGCCCACTGACTTCACCATCCTGGGCTTACCAGGCTCCTTCTGGCAGACCAGAAGAGGATCTTCCACACTGCAGGTCCCCCTGGCTCTTGTTGGCCTCGAGGGCTGCAGCTGTCCCCGAGGGGGCTCACCTTCACCTTCCCGGGGCCTTTGGTCACTCCAGGGGGTTTCCTCAAATTCTTCCAAAGAGCCCCGCTGGGCCCCTGAGGCACTGGCAGAGCCAGACTTTGATGGCGGTTTAACTTTGATGACCACGTTCTGACCCTGACTGAGCTGGACCTGTCTCTCAAGGACATGCTGCTGCGGGACAGGAGGCTGGCCCCCCCGGGCCCCGTGCAACGGCCGCACAGCATGGTCGGCAGGAGGGTCTGAGGGTCCCGGGGGCCGATTCACGAGGGAGTATTTCTTGCGCCACGAAGGCCCATGGTGGGAAGAGTAGCCCCTCCGGCTTGGACGAGGGTAGCGGGCACTAAAGGCTCTGCCACTGTGGTAAGTGGGTGGCTGCCACCCAGAAGCTGCTGGGGTACCAGGGGCCGGGGCATTGCCGTGGAGGGTTTTGTAGTCATCAATCAGACCTGAGAAGACAGAACCACAGGCCCAGTTAGCCAGAGGGTAACCGCGATAATCATGACTACCCTGGAAGGGCATCAGCTGGCAAGATACCCCCAGATCCCATCTCACTTCTGAGCCCCTGCCAGTTTCAGGAGGGGCAGCCCCCAGAGCCTGGGACTCACTGACAACTCAGCCCGCGTCACCTGGGCCTGTCGCTTCTATGAGCCTTTTCTCCATCAGCTCCACTTCAGTCCTACTTCTGCCTGCTTCACACAGAAATGAACCGTGTGGTGTAACAAGCCTTATTTGCTGGTCTACTGAGTCCACAGTCATTTGCTGAGACGTGTCACTCAGTCTGAAGAGAATCGCAATGATCCCCTCTGCACTGTTTGAATCAGAGGGGACAAGTGGCCGCACAGGCCCTCTGGCTTGCCTACAGATGGAAAGGAGTCACTCCACTGAGTGTAACAGAACTGACACTCTCGAGGACCCCATGCCTGACAACAGGAAAAAAGAATACTAGGAGCAGAGGCCATTGCTCTGCCAGATTCATAGTCTTCCCTGCAGAAGAGGAAACATCAATGGGCTAGAGTCCTACTGCAGTGAACTGACACAACCACAGGACTTTCCAAATAAGTCCCTGGATAGCTACCCCGGTGCAGGAGGGCCAGGAACACAGGCAAGGGCGGCAGCAGCCAGCCTCCCAGTTATCAGCATTCCCCCACCACAGGCCCTGCCCCCGGGGGCACAGAAAGCCACGTCCAGACGTGTTGACGCCCCAGAGCAGGTGTGATGGGAGCTCAAGAAGTGTCCCCAAGTGGGAGGCAGCCCACCTGGCCTCTTATCCATACACACTTTCCCAATCCTTAAGTCTTCCCTTTGTGAGAGTAAAAGCAAAAAGGATTTTTAATTTTTAAAGCTTTTTTTTGTTTGGTTGGTTTTGGCTTTTTATTTGAGATGTGGTTTTTCTCTGTTGCCCAGGCTGGAGTGCAGTGGCCCAATCACGGCTCACTGCAGCCGGGACCTCCAGGGCACAAGCAAACCTTCCACCTCTGAGTAGCTGGGACTACAGGCGCAAGCCACCACGCCCATCTCACTTTTTAAAATTTTTCTGTAGAGACGGGCTCTCGTCATGTTGCCCAGGATGGTCTCAAACTCCCGGGCTCAAGCCATCCTCCTGCCATAGCCTCCCAAAGTGCTGGGATTACAGGTGTGGGCCACTGCGTCCGAACATGGATTTTCTTTTTAAGTTTAGAAAGACCAATTTGGGTTTTTTAATGTTTAAGTGTGGAAGCTGAAGCCTGTTCAGTCTGCGCCTGGAATGGCAAGGGGAGTGTGACTGTTCGGAGAAAAGGGGCATCAAAACCGGGCGTCGAGGCTGGGAGCGGTGGCTCATGCCTGTAATCCCAGCACTTTGGGAGGCCGAGGCGGGTGAATCACCTGAGGTCGGGAGTTAGAGACCATCCTGGCCAACATGGTGAAACCCCGTCTCTACTCAAAATACAAAAATTAGCCAGGCGTTCTGGCGCCTACCTGTAATCCCACGTACTCCGGAGGCTGAGGCAGGAGAATCACTCGAACCCAGGATGAGGAGATTGCAGTGAGCCGTGATCGCGTCACCGCACCCCAGCCTGGGTGACAGAGCAAGACTCTGTCTCAAAAAAAACCGGGCGTCAAGGAAGGAACCCGCGTGCGCCCTTAGCCTGCTCTGCCGAAATGAGCCATGAACTAGTCCCAGCCCCGCAGTGGGGCGCGGGGAGAGAGTGGGCGCCGGGGGACGCGACAGCCCGCGGTGGTGGGGAGGGCCGCCGCCCCCCGCGGGTTACTAAGCGACGGCCCTGCCTCCACCCTCTGCAGCCCCAGCAGGGCCGGCACCACTCCCTCGACAAAGCTGGAGCCGGGGACTGACCCGGGCCCTGAGCCGGCCCACAAGTCCTGGCGGACCCTACCGTCCCCCACCCCAGCCGCCACCCAGAACACGCGGGCGGTGAGCGACCCCTTCGACAAGGGGGCAGGGGACCCGCCGCGAGGTGAGGGGGAAAGAAGGGGACTCGCGTCCCGGCCCCGGCCGGACCTACCCTGCAGTAGGCGGATCTGCCGCCGTAATATCTCCTTTTCCTCCATCTCCCGAGTCCGCGACGGCCGGCCAGGCCCCCACGACGTCATCGCTACGCGACCTTTTTCCCGCGGGCGGGGCGGAGCGGGCCAGGGCGGAGCTGCCAGGAGCAGGCCCGGATGTCTGCCGACCGCCGAGGACCCGCCGTCGCGCTGACAACGGCAGCGGAGAGGCAGAGCCGCGCACGCGCAGAACGAGGCGGGGACGTCACTAGTGAGCGCCGGGAAGTGGCCTGGTAACGGCTGGGAAGGGACTGCTTGGGCTCTGGGAGGCCGCGCGGGCCCAGCTTGTGCAGTCCGGGATCGCGTCCCCTTGGGAGACTTGGCGAGGGGCGAGACCTGGGGCCCACCCAGCCCATACCGCAGTTCCTTCCCACAGTCCCTGCGTTTCATTTCGCCCCAGTTGAGTGTTGGGGGGGGGGGGGTCTACGCGGGGACCCATGGGAGAAGGGCCAGTTAACAATTACTCTTGACCCAGGAGGGTCTGTGAAACCTCTTACTGTGGCCAGAGGAGAAGACATCGGAGAGCAAGGTTCCCTGGATAGACATGTTGAACCTCTGAAAACATGAAAGTTTTTAGTTCGTCATTGGAAACATGTACAAGTGTAAACCTCTGTGCGCTGTTGGTGGGAATGTAAATGGCGCAGCACCGCAGAAAACTATGGAGATTCCACAAAAGGTTAAAAGTAGAACTACCGGATATGAGGGCGATCTGGCTGCGACACCTGTCATCCCATTGATCGCCAGGGTTGATTCGGCTGATCTGGCTGGCTAGGCGGGTGTCCCCTTCCTTCCTCACTGCTTCATGTGCGTCCCTCCCGAAGCTGCAGCTCAGTCGAAGAGAACGACCATACCCAATAGAAGAGCTGGGCTTCCCTGGTAGAACCTCCAAACAAGCTCTCAAGGTCCATTTGTAGGAGAAGGTAGGGTAGTCAAGATTCCAGACACATCCAAATGAGGCGCTGCATGTGGCAATCTGCCTTTCTAGGAGAAAACAAAAATGGAACTACGGTATGATCCAGCAACCCTACTTCTGGCTATATTCCCAAAAGAATGGAAACCAGAGACTCAAACATATTTGTGCCCCCATGTTCACTGCAGCATTTTTCCCAATAGCCAAAAGACGGAAACAACCCAAGTGTCCACGGGTGGATGGAAGGATAAACAAAATGTGATCCATACAAACAATGAAATATTTTTCAGCCTTAAAATGGAAGGAAATTCGGCCGGGCGCAGTGGCTCACGCCTGTAATCCTAGCACTTTGGGAGGCTGAGGCGGGCGGATCACGAGGTCAGGAGTTTTGAGACAAGCGTGGTCAACATGGTGAAACCCCGTCTCTGCTAAAAATATAAAAAATTAGCCAGGCGTGGTGGCGCACACCTGTGGTCCCAGCTACTCAGGAGGCTGAGGCAGAAGAATCGCTTGAACCCAGGAGGCGGAGGTTGCAATGAGCCAAGATCAAGCCACTGCACTCCAGCCTGGGCGACAGAGCTAGACTTTGCCTCAAAAAAAAAATAAAAGGAAAAAAAGAAGGAAATTCTAACACAGGATACACCATGGATAAACCTTGAAAACACTGTGCTTTGTAAAATAAGCCAGTCACTAAAAGACAAATCTTGTGTGATTCCACTTCCATGAAGTATCTAGAATACAGATTCCTAGAGACAGAAGGTAGATTAGAGTTTCAGTGGCTGGGATAAGGAGGAATGGAGAAATGTTGCTTAATGGGTGTAGGCTTTCTGTTTGGAGTGATGAAAAAGTTTTGGAAGTAGTGGTGATGGTTACACAAAATTATGACGGTAATAATGCCACTGAATTGTACACGTTAAAATGGCTAGGCTGGGCTGGGCGCAGTGGCTTATGCCTGTAATCCCAGCACTTTGGGAGGACGAGGCGGGCGGATCACAAGGTCGGGAGATCGAGACCATCCTGGCTAACACGGTGAAACCCCGCCGCTACTAAAAATACAAAAATTAGCTGGGCATTGTGGTGGGTGCCTGTAGTCCCAGTTACTCGGGAGGCTGAGACAGGAGACTGGCGGAGCGAGACCCTTTTTTTTTTTTTTTGAGACTGCAAAGCCCTTCTTAAGGTTCTGTACCAGCACTTTGGGAGGCTGAGGTGGGTGGATCACCTGAGGTCAGGAGTTAGAGACCAGCCTGACCAACATGGTGAAACCCTGTCTCTATTAAAAATACAAAAATTAGCTGGACGTGGTGGGGGGGCGCCTGTAATCCCAGCTACTCAGGAGGCTGAGGCAGGAGAATCACTTGAACCCGGGAAGCCAAGGTTGCACTGAGCCAAGATCGCACCATTGCACTCCAGCCTAGGCGACGAGTGAAACTGTATCTCAAAATAAATAAATAAATAAATAAATAAATTTCTTCAGGCTGAAGAGGATACAATATGGAGACTCAGATCTACAAGAAGAAAGAGTATAGGAAATGAGAAGTGTGTTAGGAAATGAAAATGTTTTCTCTTTTCTCTAAAACAAGTAGCTGCAGCAAAAATAAGATACCAAGGTTTCTAACATATGTAGACGTGAGACACATGGCAACAGTGACGCAGAGGACTCCCGTGCATGGTGCTTCTGAGGAGACACCTGTGCACGCAGGTAAGGACGCAGTCCACAGCCTCCACCCAGCCCGCCTCTGTCCTGCTCCCAAGGCCAGCACTAGCGAGGCTAGTGTCACTCCACCTCACATACAGTGATGGGCACTGTGAGGGCTTCTCTAGCGGCAGCAGCAAAGGCAGCTTGCTGGCTGGAGAGGGCTGGCTCCCCGAGCAGAAGAGTGAATGAATGGAGGCTGGGAAGTCCAGGCAGTAGAACAGGCTGACTCAGGCCATGGGAGCCCCAGCCAGGAGTCCCACCTAGCCCAGATGGATCTAGGAGAGGCGGAATCCATGTGAAACCATCTTTGCTTCCTGCTGCCTTGCAGACCCCATCCAAGCACCACCCAGTCCTGTCTATCCTCCCTCCTCATCCTCCTCCTCTCCCGTTGCAACTCTCCCAGCTGAACACTTGGCTAGAGCTTCTGCCTCTCTCCCTCCAGGCAGCCTGCGAGTGGCCTGGAGACAAGCCCATGGGTGACTCTGGAGTGACCTATGTGCCAGGACATGGGTGACCATGAGAGGACTCTGAGAATGAATGGGATGAAATTTCCCACCATGGGGCTTGATGAGCAGTTGTGCAGTGGACTAGCCCTGTCTCGTTTCCCTTGAGACTCTTGTGACCACTACCTTGTGACAGCCGGGACTGGCCTGCCGGACCATGAGCAGCACATGCAGAGCACTGAGAACAGAATGTTTGTGCCCCCACATGCTAAATTCATCTGTTGAAATCCAAACCGTCAATCTGATAGAATCAGGAAGTGGGGCCTCTGGAAGGTGGTTAGGTCATGAGAGTGGAGCCCTCGTGAATGGGACTAGTGCCCTATAAGAAGCAGACAGGACAGGCGCGATGGCTCACGCCTGTAATCCCAGCACTTTGGGAGGCCAAGGTGGGTGGATCACGAGGTCAGGAGTTCGAAACTAGCCTGGCCAACGTAGTGAAACACTATCTCTACTAAAAATACAAAAATTAGCCAGATATGGTGGCACGCACCTTTAGTCCCAGCTACTCAAGAGGCTGAGGCAGGAGAATCGCTTGAACCCAGGAGGCGGAGGTTGCAGTGAGCTGAGATGGTGCCACTGCACTCCAGCCTGGGTGACAGAGCAAGACTCTGTCTCAAAAAAAAAAAAAAAAAAAAAAAAAAAGCAGACATTGAGACATTGTGGCCGGGCGCAGTGGCTTACACCTGTATGTAATCCCAGCACTTTGGGAGGCCCAAGGCAGGTGGATCACCTGAGGTCAGGAGTTCAAGACCAGCCTGGCCAACATGGTGAAACCCCGTCTCTACTCAAAATATAAAAATTAGCCAGGCATGTTGGCACATGCCTGTAGTCCCAGCTATTTGGGAGACTGAGGCAGGAGAATCACTTGAACCCAGGAAGTGGAGCTTGCAGTGAGCCGAGATCACGCCATTGCACTCCAGCCTGGGCGACAGAGCAAGACTCTGTCTCAAAAAAAAAAAAAAAAAAAAATTGCCGGGCATGGTGGCGGGTGCCTGTAATCCCAGCTACTCGTGAGGCTGAGGCAGGAGAATCGCTTGAACCAGGGAGGCAGAGGTTGTAGTGAGCTGAGATCATGCCACTGCACTCCCGCCTGGGTGACAGGGCGGATTTCTATCTCAAAAAAAACAGCAGCAGCCAGAGACTACCTCTCTTTTTTCTCCACTGTTAGATGTGAGTTCTAAATTTCTTTTCAAAGAATCAATATGTCAATATGTTCAGTTCGTTACCTCCTACTTTTAAACTTCCTCATAAAGCAACATTTTCCGATTACCTGCTCCACCCTGACTCATTCCAGTTACCTGCTCTGTCATACCCATTTTTCCCGCCAAACCACTCACCCCATCACTCTCTTTAAATCAGCCAATCGGAATTATTTAGCCTGTGCGGTCTAACGCTAGCTAATAGGGGAACAACACAGCAACAGGGACCACTTGCGTCAGGGATAAGAACCACTTCCCCTCCCGTGTCCAGATGTGTGCTCACCATTGCTCCATCTGTAAGGGTGCACCCTTCTATAGAAGTATCTTGCCTTGATGAGAATTAAAAGGAAAATGTGATATTGGAGTGCTAGTTCTTTTGCGGCACTGAAACTTTATATATAACATCCACCACGTGATAACAGCAAGATAACAGCTGGGCCAGGAACGGTGGCTCATGCCTGGAATCCCAGCACTTTGGGAGATCCAGACAGGCAGATCACTTGAGCCCAGGAGTTCAAGACCAGCCTGGGTAACCTAGTGAAACCCTGTCTCTACAAAAAAATACCAAAAATCAGCTGGGCATGGTGGTGCGTGCCTGTAGTCCCAGCTACTAGTGAGGCAGAGATGGGAGGAGTGGTTGAGCTCAGGAGGTTGAGGCTGCAGTGAGCTACAATCACACCACTGCACTCCAGCCTGGGCAACTGAGCAAGATCCTGTCTCAGAAAAAGAAAGCGAGAGAGAAAGAGAAAGAAAGGAAAAAGAAAGGAAGACAGCTGACTGTGTGTCTGTGTGTCACAGGGAAAATCCCCAAATGGGGGCTCAGCCCGGGAGGCCACATGGGTTCTTGGCTTCACATAGGAAATAATTTTTTTTTTGAGACAGAATTTTGCCCTTGTTGCCCAGGCTGGAGTGCAGTGGTGCAATCCCGGCTTACTGCAACCTCTGCCTCCCGAGTTCAAGTGATTGTCCTGCCTCAGCCTCCAGAGTAGCTGGGACTACAGGCGCACGCTACCACGCCTGGCTAGTTTGTGTGTTTCTAGTAGAGACAGGGTTTCACCATGTTGGCCAAGATGTTCTTGATCTTCTGACCTTATGATCCGCCTGCCTTGGCCTCCCAAAGTGCTGGGGTTACAGGTGTGAGCCACCGCACCCGGCCACAGGAGAGAACTTAAGAGCATGCCGGTAGACGAAAATGAAAGCAAGTTTATTAAGAAAGTAAAGGAAGGCCAGGCTGGTGGTTCACGCCTGTAATCCCGGCACTTTGGGAGGCCAAGATGGGCGGATCACGAGGTCAAGAGATTGAGACCAGCCTGGCTAACATGGTGAAACCCCATCTCTACTAAGAATACAAAAATTAGCCGGGCGTGGTGGCAGGCACCTGCAGTCCCAGCTACTTGGGAGGCTGAGGCAGGAGGATGGCGTGAACCCAGGAGGCGGAGGTTGCAGTGAGCCGAGATTGGTGCCACTGCACTCCAGCCTGGGCGACAAAGCGAGACTCCGACTCAAAATAAATAAATAAATAAATAAAAACAGGAAAGGAATAAATGGGTGGCTATCGACAGCAGAGTAGCAGTGTGGGCTGCTTGACTGACTCTTGTTATGATCATTTCTTGATTATGTGCTGAACCAGCAGTGGATTACTCATGAGTTTTCCAGGAAAGGGGTGGGGAGTTCCTGGAACGGATTGTCCTCCCCCTTTCAGACCACATAGAGTAACTTGCGGAAGATACTGGCGTTTGTAAACCATCATGGTGCCGGCGGGAATTTCCCGTAGTATGCTAACGTGTTGCAATGAGGGCACAGTGAGCCGTAAGGATGAACAGAGGTCGCTTTCATCACCATCTCGGTGTTGGAATGAGACCACCACTTCTCCTGTTGTCCTTCCCAGCTTCTCCCCCACCTCCCCTTTTCCCTAGTTTATAAGACAGGAGAAAAGGGAGAAAGCAAAAAGTTGGAAAGAAACAGAAGTAAGATAAATAGCGAGACGACCTTGGCGCCACCACCTGGCCCTGGTAGTTAAAATAATAATAATAACATTAGGCCAGGCGCGGTGGCTCACGCCTGTAATCCCAGCACTTTGGGAGGCCGAGGCGGGCGGATCACGGGGTCAGGAGATCGAGACCATCCTGGCTAACACGGTGAAACCCTGTCTCTACTAAAAACACAAAAAATTAGCGGGGCGTGGTTGCAGGCACCTGTAGTCCCAGCTACTCAGGAGGCTGAGGCAGGAGAATGGTGTGAACCCAGGAGGCGGAGCTTGCAGTGAGCCGAGATCGCGCCACTGCACTCCAGCCTAGGTGACAGAGCAAGACTCCGTCTCAAAAAATAATAATAATAATAACCCCTGACCAAAACTACTGGTGTTACCTGTAAATTCCAGACATTGTATGAGAAAGCACTGTGAAACTTTTTGTTCTGTGAGCTGATGTATGTAGCCCCCAGTCACGTTCCTCACGCTTACTTGAGCTATCATGACCCTTTCACGGGGACCCCTTAGAGTTGTAAGCTCTTAAAAGGGCTAGGAATTTCTTTTTCAGGGAGCTCGCCTCTTAAGACATGAGTCTGCTGACGGTCCCAGCCTAATAAAAACCTCTTCCTTCTTTAATCCGGTGTCTGGGTTGTTTTGACTGCGGCTCGTCCTGCTACAGTATTGATGGGTTTTGACTGGCTTCTTTACCGCAGCCTGCTTTATCAGTGGGCTCTCTGTGACCTGTATCTTGTGAAACAAGTCGTGCTGAACTCCCATCTCATCGAAACCAGGAAGTGGACCCTCACCAACAACCCAGCCAAGCTGGCACTTTGCTCTCAGACTTTCAGCCTTCAGAATTATGAGAAATTTCACTATCTAAGCCACTGATTCTTTTTTTTTGAGATGGAGTTTTGCTCTCATCACCCAGACTGGAGTGCAATGGCGTGATCTCAGCTCACTCAACCTCTGCCTCCGGGTTCAAGCGATTTTTGTGCCTCAGCCTCTTGAGTAGCTGGGACTACAGGCACCTGCCACCACGCCTGGCTAATTTTTTTTTTTGAGACGGAGTCTCGCTCTGTCGCCCAGGCTGGAGTGCAGTGGTGCGATCTTGGCTCACTGCAAGCTCTGCCTCCCGGGTTCAAGCCATTCTCCTGCCTCAGCCTCCCGAATAGCTGGGACTACAGGCGCCCGCCACCACACCCGGCTAATTTTTGTATTTTTAGTAGAGACGGGGTTTCACCGTGTTAGCGAGGATGGTCTCAATCCCCTGACCTCGTGACCTGCCCACCTCAGCCTCCCAAAGTGCTGGGATTACAGGCATGAGCCACCGTGCCCGGCCCAACGCCTGGCTAATTTTTGTAGTTTTAGTAGAGATGGTTTCACCATGTTGGCCAGGCTGGTGTTGAACTCCTGACCTCAGGTGATTCACCTGCCTCAACCTCCCAAAGTGCTGGTAGTACAGGCATGAGCCACCGTGCCCGGCCATAAGCCACCGATTCTGTGGTGATTTTCATAGCAGCTCAAGCTGAGTGAGACTCCGGTTTCCTACCACTGACCCTCCTGCCAACAGTTATCTGCCCAACATGTTGGCCGACTGACTGTCTCTTGCCCACCAGTGAACCCAGATGGCACCACAGGGACCAGAGTTGAGCCATCTTAGGCGAACACAGCCTAAATTACCAACTCCCATAACTATCAGCAAATCAGTGGATGTGGTTTTAAGCCACCGCATTTTAGGGTGCTTTGTGACACAGCAAAAACTGATGTATTCTTGGGTAGTAGGGTGGTGGGAGAGGCCCAGCCACTTGCTGAGACAGGGCAAGGTGTGTGAGTTTGTTTTCTGGGGTTGTGAAACTGTAAATGGGATGTGAGCACTGTCAGAGTCAACTTGCTACAACTGGTCTCCGCAGTTACGCTGAAAGCTCTGGCACGTGTGAAACTGGCAAACGTGAAAACAACCCACCTTGGCGGGAAGCAGAGTCACCTAAACCGCCTGCTGTGCACACCGGTGTTCGGAAGGGCAGCGCACTGCACATCCTGGCCAGGCTGCTTCGTGGCCGTCTCTCCCACCGGGGTCTGCAGGTGCTGGCCGCCCACTCTTCCTCGGCGTCTCCTTCCTTCTCATGGAGCCCCTTCCCATAGCGCTGCCCAGTGTGGGTCTGAGTGGGGTGGGATTCCCATCAGACTTCAGTAAACAGATGAACCCCGAGAGTAAGCCATCACTGTTGTCTGTTGCAGTGGACTTCTCCCCTCCTTCCCCACGGGGGATTTTTCTCTGTCCCCATCCCACCTCCCTCTGCTCTCCTCCCCTCCCCAACACCCAGCTTCCAGCTCTTTTCTTATGCAGGGGCTTACTCTGCACCAGAGCCTAAGCAGCCTTCTTCCCTCTGGGTCCGCAAGCTGCCCTGCGCCTGCCCAACACCCCCCCAGGGGTGCTCTGGGCCTCAAAGCACCCCACTTCTCTCCAGCCCAACCTCAGAAGGCTGCCCCAAGCACTAGCCTCTGTTGGGGAAGGGAGGACTAATAAGACGCAGTGTAGCCATGCTAAACGCACTTTTATCAGGGGACATGCGCAGAATGTCAGGCCTTTTGTGGGCTTGTTATGTACCCCACGCCCCCCAACACCACTCCCCGGACCCCACCACCCCTCCACCCCACCCCTAACCCCATCTCATTGCCCTGCAAAAGTCCCTGCCTCTCCCCTCCAGTGACCCAGCCACACCCACCCCGGGGGTGTGGCCCTGGAGCCCTGACCCCTCCAGCCACCTTCCTTGCCAGGTGGGGGTTCTGCATGCAGCCAGGCCCCAGGCCCTCGTGATAGTGGCAGGAGACAGACAAATGCCTACGCAGATAGGAGTGGGTCCCTGGTGGAGCTCCACCTCCAAGCCAAAGACAGCCTGAAAGCCAAGCTACAAGTTAAATCCTCAGACCGGATTGAGAACCTGACTTCCTGTCTGGCGTGCTTTCCTCTAATTCGTCCCCACCCTTCACCTATTTTACATATACCTACCCTACCGAATTGGCTTTCTACATCATCATGCCCACCTTTCAGTGGTGCCTTTGCTTTAGTCTCTCTTTGAATGCCCACAAACCAATCAGCATGCCCTCCCCTGTTCTGAGCCCATAAAAGCCCAGGACTCAGCCACATTGGGAGAGAAACCACCCCAGCATCATCCCCTCCACTGACAGCTATTCCATTGCTCAATAAAATTATTCTCCACCCTCCTCACTCTTTATTGGGGTGTGTTGGGGTTGTTTGGAGACAGAGTCTCACTCTGTCACCCAGGCTGGAGTGCAGTGACACAATTTCGGCTCACTGTAACCACCTCCTGGGTTCAACCAATTCACCTGCCTCAGCCTCCCGAGTAGCTGAGACTACAGGTGCCCACCACCACACCTGGCTAATTTTTGTATTTTTATTTTTTGAGACAGAGTCTCACTCTGTCACCCAGGCTGGAGTGCAGTGGCGTGATCTCAGCTCACTGCAACCTCCACATCCCAGGTTCAAGCGATTCTCTTGCCTCAGCCTCCCAAGTAGCTGGAATTACAGGTGCCCACCACACCTGGCTTTTTTTTTTTTTTTTTTTTTTTTTTTTTAGTAGAGACAGGGTTTCACCAGTTGGCCAGGCTGGTCTCAGACTTTTGAACTCAAGTGATCCTCCCACCTCAGCCTCCCAGGCCTGAGCCACTGTGTCCAGCCCCTCCTCACTATCTGATTGTCAACATATCCTCATTCTTCTTGGATGCAGTACAAGAGCATGGGACCCATCGAACGTGGTACAGAGAAGGCTGTAACACTGTGGTCCTCTGCCCTCCATGACAGAAATGGCGGTGGGCCTGAGCCAGCCCTGAAGTTGAGGGCCGAAGCAGGGCAAGGGCCGGCTGGGTGTCTCCAGCTGGCAAAAGTGATTGAGGAAAGTCCTGCATCACTCAGGTGGGAACAGGTGTCTGGCCAGCCACACCCAGTGCCCCATGATGCCCCTTGTGCCCTCTATTATGGAGGGAGAAAGTGACAGTGGGAGAAAACTGCTCTAGAGGTCTGGTGGGTCCCCCTCATCCCACTCTCCCCACTGTCACGGATGCGCAGTGACACCTACCTCCCACTGCAAGGCCCTCACACCCTCTGGGCTGGGGACCTTGGGAGAAAGTATATTTTTATTTTAGAGATGGATTCTTGCTCTGTCACCCAGGCTGGAGTGCAGTGTTGTGATCTTGGCTCACTGCAACCTCTGCTTCCCAAGTTCAAGCGATTCTCCTGCCTCAGCCTCCTGAGTAGGCGCATACCACCATGTCTGGCTAATTTTTCTATTTTTAGTAGAGATGGGGTTTCACCACGTTGCTCAGGCTGGTCTCCAACTCCTGACCTCATGTGATCCACCCACCTTGGACTCCCAAAGTGTTGGGATTACAGGCATGAGCCACAGCACCAAGCCAAGAAAGTGTATTTTGTTGGTCTCCTGTTCCTGAGGTCAGGCATTGCCATCAGGCTCTCCGGGACCATGGTGGGTGAAGGGTGTGAATCTCTCTGTGCCAGGCTTCCACGGGCATTAAACACTGGCCAAAGTGCAGGAGTTCCCCACCTGCATGGAAAACATTCCCCACCCCCAAAGTAATGCCCGGATCCTGGCAGTGACGGCTTCTTCTAGCAAAGTGAAGAGAGGCGGAGGCCCAGAAAGCCAGAAGCCAGGTGGGGCATGCCTCTGTGTCACCCTCCCTCAAGCCCACCTCAGACCTGCCCAGGGAGCAACACTCCTTCCAGAGCTGGGGAGGAAAGGACAGGCCTCAGGGCAGGGACCCCAGAAGGGGACAGGATGGGGGGTGCGTGCCAGGGAAGAGCGCTGGGAGGCAAGGCCTGGGTTCCCTGCAGGCAGCGGCTGGCCCCTAACCCCATCGCCCTCTGCCCCAGGAGCGGGTGTAAGCCGTGGGGTGCCCAGGAGCTGCTGGGGGAGTTTTCCTGAGGCCCCCTGGCCTTAGCAGGGCTCTTCTGCCACCTGCCTCTCCTCACTCTTGGGGCGCCTCTGAGCCCGACACCCCTCCCACAGGGCCCCCATCACCACAATCCGCCCCATGTGGGCTCAGACGCCCAAAGCCCTGGAGGTGGGGGTGGGGGGATAGGGAGGTGGGGTGGGGGGTGGGTTGTGTGTAGAGCAGGGGGCAGGAGGACCAGCAAAAGTGAAGCTGTGAAGAGGCAGGGTGGGGCAGAGTGGGAAAGGCGGGGAGGGGTAGGGGGCAGGGGTAGGGGAGTGGGGGGAGGGGAGGGGAGGGTGGGGGTAGGGGAGGGGAGGGTGCGGGGAGGGGAGGGGAGGGTGCGGGGAGGGGACGGGCAAGGCAGAGAAGCCAGCGAGGAGTGAGGCTGCCAGGACATAGTGGGGACTTCCCCGGCACCCCAGACCCCCTCGGGAGCTGCTGCCAGGCCAGGACAGTGTCTGGCAGGCACCTGAAGTCCCGCCCTGCGCGGGGCTGGTTCCCGAGGCCGGGTTGTCCAGGTCGCGGTCTGGCGTGAGTCCTCGTGCCCTTCCCGGCTCGGGGATTACCTCTCTGGCTGGTCCCCTCCTCCGTGCTCTGCGCGCCTCCACCCTAGCGCTTGTCTTGGCTCCTAGAACCAGGGGCCTGGACGCTGCTCAGGGCAGAGGCGCCCCCTCTGAGGGGCTGGCCCCTCAGCCGCACTCCGAGACAGCCGCCCCCGGGACCGCCCTTCCTTGGAGCCCCGCCGCCCGCCGCTCACTCTGCACACGCAGCAGAAGGGACGTGGTGTTCCCCAGGCTCTGGCCCCCCAGGACCTGCGCGGATCTGGCCCAGGGCGCCTCGCCGACTTCCGTAAACTGGGCGGAGGGATGAACCCCGACCCAGGGGACGGAGGCGCTCGCCCTCTCGCTGCAGGGTTCTGCCCTCAACACTTCTGGCCCCGCCTGTGAATGGGGGCCGGAGCGATGGGGCGGGGCCGGCCTCCCTCCCTCCTCCCAGGCTGACCTCTGCCCTCCTTCGAGCACTTCCCGTTCGGGGTGATGATTGAAGAACTGAGTGTGGACAGAGCACCTGTCCTCGCCAGCGCCCAGCTGGAAGCTGAGGTAACTTCGTCACTGCCCGTTGACCTGCGGGCACGGTGGGCCACACCTTGCTCAGCCGTCCGGGCCCTCACCTGCCCCTCCTGCCCGCAGACGGCGCCTGCTTGGCCTCAGACCAAGTCCCACAGGGGCTGCCGTGCCTGCCGCCTCCACCCCATTCCCCCAACAAGGCAGCGAGGCCTTCCCGGAAAATAAGCCTGGGCTCTTCACACCCCTGCTGGAGGCAAGGCCCGCCCTGCACTCTGGAGGCCGCCACCTCCTGCCGGTGTCTGGGAGGGGCCTGACGCACCACAGACCTAGAGGCAGCGAGGCTGTACAGGGCTTTCCAGGAATTTTGCTGCAAAGGAAAGGAGAAAAGCGGGAGGAGGGGAGGAGGGAGGAGGCCCAGATGGGCTCCCCTTCCTGCAGCGGACAGCCACGGGCGTGGCACCGGCTGCGCACCGTGACCTGCACATGAACACACACAGCGACATGTGCACACACAGGAACACAGAGGCCCACTTACATATAAATGCAGATGCGTGCCTGCATCAACGAGCGGGAGCACATTGGGCAAATGCACGTGTACATGCCCTACGTGAACACAAACCCGTGGACACAACACGCACGTGCATGCACCCGCACACAGACACGCGCACAAACGCGCACACGTACGTGTATGCACACGCGCACAAACATGCACAAAACACGGACGTGCATGCACACGCGCACATGTACACAACACGCACGTGCATACACATACGCACAATACGCACGTGTGTGCTCACGTGCACAAACGCACACAACACGCACGTGCATACACGCGCGCAAACGCACACAACACGCACGTGCATACACGCGCACAACGCGCACACAACACTCAGGTGCATAAACGCGCGCAAACGCACAACACACACGTGCATACACACGTGCACAAACACGCTCAACACGCACGTGCAAGCACCCGCATACAAACAGGCACACAACACCCACGTGCATACACACACACCTGCATGCACACGCGCACAACAGCCACACAACATGCACGTGCATACACACGCGCACAAACGCGTTAGTCTCTTCTTAGGCTCCTGGAGCCTCCTGCTACCATAAGCAAGGATTCTGGGCCCACACCCAGCTAATGGGCTCCAGCTGGACCAGAGCTAGAAGCCCGCCAGGCCGAGTTGGGTACCCCCTGCCCTAGGTGCCCATCACCAGCCAAAGCTCTCAGGCCTGCCTGTGTCCAGCCTGGGGTACACAGCAGTTCTGGGTTTCTGATTACACAAGATAATGTTTCCTTCTGTTGGCATCTGAATTTCCAGTTATTTGTGGCTGCAGCATTCCAACGCACACACCACCAGAAATCCCCTTCAGCATACTGGCCTCAGACCTACCAGGGCAGAGACCTTGTCTTGTTTGCTGCTAGAACCCAGGATCGCTGGAAAATCACCTAGCAGCAGGTGCTAATACACATTTGTTGGATGAATGAGTGAGTGTGAGAGCCTTCAGGGTGAGGCTCAGGCCAGGTCAGCCAGGCAGGGTGGGGGGCTGGTGTGGCCCCAGAGCTCTTGGAGGTAAAGGCCAAGAGGCAGAATGTGGCGGTGAAGGGTGGAGGGTGCAGAGCCCCAGGCTGCCGCAACATCCCTGCCCTGGACACCTCCAGCTGGGCTCAGGGTTGGGCTGCAGGATCTGGGTGAGCAAATGAGCCTGCATCCTCCTTGCCCAACTCTGCCCCAGCCAGGACCTTGACCCCTCGGGAGTGGCTGCTAGGACAGGGCAGGGAGCAGCGACCCCCAACACCTGTGGCCTTGCAGGGATGCTGTGTGCCCGGCTCCTTCCATCTTCACCATGGAGGCTGCAGCACAACAGCTCAGCACGTGCTGGCCCTGTTACCCAGCAGGGACGGGCTGCCACACCCCAGGGCGCTGGCTTCCAGGGGCAGCAGTGTGTGGGCTCCTTGCCTGCCGGGGTCACGGAGGAAGGTCAGCTCTGCCCAGCAGTGTGTCCTGAGATGAAACCTTAGACCCACCTGGTCTGCAAAACAGTACCCAAGCCCAGTGTAGTGGCTCAGCCCTGGAATCCCAGCACTTTGGGAGGCTGAGGCGGGAGGATCACTTGAGCTCAGAAGTTCAAGACCAGCCTGGGCAACATAGTGAGACCTTTCTACTGAAAATTAAATAATTTTAAAAACTTACAGCCAGGTGCGGTGACTCACGCCTGTAATCCCAGCACTTTGGAAGGCCAAGGCGGGTGGATAGCAAGGTCAAGAGATCGAGACCAGCCTGGCCAACATGGTAAAACCCTGTCTCTACTAAAAATACAAAATTAGCTGGGCGTGGTGGCGGGCACCTGTAATCCAAGATACTCGGGAGGGTGAGACAGGAGAATTGCTTGAGCCCGGGAGGCAGAGATTGCAATGAGCTGAGGTTGTGCCATTGCACTCCAGTCTGGGCAAAAAAGAGCAACACTCCGTCTCTCACACACAGACACAAAATTAGCCGGGTGTGGTGGTACATGCCTGTAGTCCCAACTACTCGGGAGGCTGAGGCAGGAGAATCGCTTGAACCTGGGAGGCAGAGGTTGCAATGAGCTGAGATCACGCCACTGCACTCCATCCTGGTGACAGAGCAAGACTCAGTCTCAAAACAAAAACGAAAACTTTGCCAGGTGTGGTGCTGAGCACCTGTAGTCCCAGCTACTCAGGAGACTGACAGGAGGGGATCACTTGAGCCCAGGAGGTCGAGGCTGCAGTGAGTGGTGATTGTGCCACTGCACTCCAGCCTGGGCGACAGAGAGATCTTGCCTCACACAAAACAAAACAAACAACAAAAAATACACAAAACAGCCAGGAGACAGCACCAGCAGGGACCCGCAGGGCACCACTGTGTCCCCACTGTGGTCAGGCCTAGGAGTGGGGCCGAAGCCCAAGTAGCCCCATCCACAACCGCGGAGCGGCTGGGAGGGCCGGGTGGGAGGACTACCGTGTGCAGGGGTGGGCCCATGGCCCTGGGCCCACCATGACTTAGGTCAGTAGGGCACTGAGGGAGCCTGTGCCGAGACTAGGTGTTGCTACTGGGCACTAGATTTTTAAAATAACTGCTTTAATGAGACATAATTGTGTAATTCCCATACCATACAATTCATCCATTTAAAGTGTGCAATTCTGTGGGTCTTAGCATATTCAGAGGTATGCAAACATCACCAACGGCCAATATCAAAACACTTCCTCACCCCAGAAAGAAACCCCAAACCAGCAACCGTCGCTCCCAACCCCCGTCCCGGGCACCGGCAGCGCCATCTCCCTTCTTCCCTCTGGACGTGCCCATTCGGGACACATCACGTGAGCAGGATCACGCCGTCCGCTCCGTGTGCCTGGCTTTTCACTTAGCATGATGTCTCCAAGTCTGTGTCGCCCGTCTGTGTCGCCCAGTGCATCAGGGTCTCATTCCTTTTGACCGTGGGCGCCGTTCTACGGCCTGGATTCCAGTGCCTGGACTGGCCATGTTTAGTCTATGCACGCCTCAGTGGATGGACAGGGTTTCCACCTTGCCGCTATGGCGAAGGATGCTGCCGCTATGGCGAAGGATGCTGCCGCTATGGTGAAGGATGCTGCCGCTTTGGCGAAGGATGCTGCCGCTATGGCGAAGGATGATGCCGCTGTGACGACAGCTGCTGCCGCTGTGGCGAAGGATGCTGCCGCTGTGACGACGGATGCTGCCGCTATGATGAAGGATGATGCCGCTGTGACGACGGATGCTGCCACTATGGCGAAGGATGCTGCCGTGAACTTTGGTGCACAGGCATCTGTTTGCGTCTTTGCTTTCAATTCCTGTGGGTGGAGCTAGGAGTGGAATTGCTGGGTCACACGGTAACTCTTGGAGGAGCTGCCAGGCTTATTCCAGAGGGCCGCACGGGTTGACATTCCCACCAGCATTGCACAAATGTTCCAGTGACTCCACGTGCCCCCCGCGCTGGTTATTCACCTTTAGTAATACGACCATCTTTGTCAGTGTGCAGTATCTCTCTGTGGATTCCATTTGCATTTCCTTGATGACTAAGGGTGTTGAGCATCTTTGCATTTGCTTGAGGGCAATTTCTACATTTTGTACATCTTTGGAAGATCTGCCCAGACCCTTCGGCACAGGCCCAAAGTTGTTTGTTTGCTTGTTTGTTTTTGAGACGGAGTCTCACTCTGTCGCCCAGGCTGGAGTACAATGGCATGATCTCGGCTCACTGCAACCTACACCTCCCAGGTTCAAGCGATTCTCTTGCCTCAGCCTCCCAGGTAGCTGGGATCACAGGCATGCGCCACCACGCCGGGCTAATTTTGTATTTTTAGTAGAGACGGGGTTTCACCATGTTGGTCAGTCTGGTCTTGAACTCCCGACCTCAGGTGATCCGCCCGGGCACAGGCTCAGAGTTTTAAGAAAAACCACAAAGTGCTATGAAGTTTGAGGCTACCAGGATGGGGCGCCAAGCCAAGGTTCCTCCGGACGCGCGAGGCTGGTGCTCCAGGCGGGCTGGCGGGAAGAGGGGGCAGGAAGGGGGCCGGGGCGGGCTCTCCGGGACGGTTCCGGGAGGGCGTCCTGGGCGGGCCCTGCGTCAGGTTGCAGTTTCACTTTTAGCTCTGGGCACCTCCAGCTCCTGCTCGCCGGACGGCTCCCAGGGAGAGCAGACGCGCCAGACGCGCCACCCTCGGGGCGCCGACGGTCACGGTGAGCTGCGCCCCGCCCCCTCCCCCGGCCTGGCTGGAGCTCCCGAGTGGGGCCGGCCGCTGGCTCCCGGGTGGGGGATGCTGGCCCTGCTGCCCCAGCGTTCGCCCAGAAGGCCCCGCGCCGCACACGGGGGCGGAAGCTCCAGGCTTCGGGAAAGGCTGCCCCTGGCCAGCCCAGGGGCCCGGCCTTTGGACCTGGGCTTGGGCTTGACTCCCAGGTCCGCCATCCAGGTTCCCGGGCCGGTGCTGTTCCCGCCCCCAGCTGCCTTCTGGGCCCAGCCTCCACTTTCAGCAGACCCAGCACTCAGAGGCTTCCTGGGGCAGCTGCAGCCCCTCCACAGTGGCCCAGGTGCCCCCTATCCCAGCGGAGGCCCGCTATGGCCTCTGACCCCCAAAGCCTCAGCCTTGGACAGGTGGCTCATGGAGCTCCAGGCACAGAGAAGGCCCTGGAGGACGCAGCTGGGGTGGGGCGACACTCTGGCTGGGTTTTGCAGTGGGTCCCTGGTGACACTCTGGCTGGGTTTTGCAGTGGGTCCCTGCACCACGCTCAGGAGGTGACAGCTTGTTTCCTCCCAGCCAGAGGCAGCCATTCTAGTGGACAGAGCCCTCTGTGTTAGAGCAGGTCTGGGCGTCAGGCCTCACTGTCCCTGGCTGGAGGTGCTCATGGTACCGTAGACAACAGGGAGAACACTGTAATTCTGTGTTGGGGAGGGCCGGGGACAGAAGCTTTCTGCTAGTGGGAGCATCCCAGGATGAGCTGGGCAGGGCTGTTCTGGAGGGAAGGAGTCCCCCATCATGGGAGACATCCAAGTACTGACCCTTCTCCCACTCCCTCCCGCCCGCCCCGAGAGCACAATGCCTGACCCATTTCCCCTCCTCAGGAGCATGGGGTCGGCCTTTGAGCGGGTAGTCCGGAGAGTGGTCCAGGAGCTGGACCATGGTGGGGAGTTCATCCCTGTGACCAGCCTGCAGAGCTCCACTGGCTTCCAGCCCTACTGCCTGGTGGTTAGGAAGCCCTCAAGCTCATGGTTCTGGAAACCCCGTTATAAGTGTGTCAACCTGTCTATCAAGGACATCCTGGAGCCGGATGCCGCGGAACCAGGTGCCTGATGTGGTGCTGAGGCAGAGCCCCAGGGAGGCTGGATGGGAGAGGGGAGCGGGCTGGGGCCAACCATCCACTGGGCTCTGCAGCCTCTAGCTCTGGGCCTCTCTTCCAGAGGCCGGGGCCTTTCCAAAGGTCCCTCTGCCCTGGGGCTGGGACAGGGCTGGTGGGGGCGGGGGAGAGGCGGGGCGCTGGGCACAGCCTCAGGTCTGGCCTTGCTTTAGACGTGCAGCGTGGCAGGAGCTTCCACTTCTACGATGCCATGGATGGGCAGATACAGGGCAGCGTGGAGCTGGCAGCCCCAGGACAGGCAAAGATCGCAGGCGGGGCCGCGGTGTCTGACAGCTCCAGCACCTCAATGAATGTGTACTCGCTGAGTGTGGACCCTAACACCTGGCAGACTCTGCTCCATGAGAGGTGGGCCCGAAGAGGGCAGGGCAGGGCAGGGCCCCACCTACCCCAAGCAACCCTGCTTTTATTTATTTATTTATTTAAATTATTTTTTGAGGTGAGGTTTTGCTATCTCGGCCAGGGTGGTCTTGAACTCCTGGCCTCAAGCAGTCCTCCTGCCTCGGCCTCCCAAAGTGCTGGGATTACAGGGGTGAGCCACTGTGCCAGGTCCCAGCCTTGCTCTTGGGAAGGTCACAACCTTGGGGCATCAGGAAAGTCCCAGAGGCAAAAGAGCGCTGTGGCCGGAACCAGCTTGCAGGAAGGAAGCTGCAGGGGTCATCTGGGGCCTCCGCTGCCAGGACTGGATCCTAAGGACCGGACTGAGCCCCAGGCTGCTGTGAGGACAAGGGGTGGTGTGAACACGGGGGCCCAGGTGAGGGGGCCGCACCTCGAGTCTGGACTTGGAGTCCCCGAGTCCACCTTTCCTCATGGGGTCCCGTCCCCGTGGGGAGCACACGGAGAGGCTGCCGGTGCCCCGGCACCCACAGACCTCTGGAGGGCCCCTCTGCACCACCTCCCCCGGTGGCGTGGGGCTGTCAGGGGAGGGAAGACGCCTTCAGGGGCTGCGGCCCAGCGAGCTTTGCTGCTCCTCGGACACAGGCACCTGCGGCAGCCAGAACACAAAGTCCTGCAGCAGCTGCGCAGCCGCGGGGACAACGTGTACGTGGTGACTGAGGTGCTGCAGACACAGAAGGAGGTGGAAGTCACGCGCACCCACAAGCGGGAGGGCTCGGGCCGGTTTTCCCTGCCCGGAGCCACGTGCTTGCAGGTGTGTAGCCAGCCCCGGGCCACGCCTGGCCCCCCACGTGGGCATGCGGCGGCGGGTGACGGAGGCGGCGGGCTGGGCTCCGCCAAGGCCCCTCGGAGCAGCTCCCAGCCCTGCGCTTGGCTGCGGAGCCGAAGTCACCTGGCGGCGGGCCTGCCCCCGGCACCCGGCCCGCACCCGCACCCCACGGCCCGGTGCCAGGGCCCAGCCCCGAGCCCATCTCCATGCCTCAGGGTGAGGGCCAGGGCCATCTGAGCCAGAAGAAGACGGTCACCATCCCCTCAGGCAGCACCCTCGCATTCCGGGTGGCCCAGCTGGTTATTGACTCTGACTTGGGTGAGCTGGAGTTGGGGGTGTCTCGGGCCCAGGCCCTGGCAGAGAAACAGGGAGGCCTGGGGAGAGCTACCCGCCAGCTTGGGCTGCCGTGGGCCCCTGGCTGAACAACGTCCTGTGTCTGGCAGGTGGCTGAGGTCCTGTGCTCTGGTGTGTGGGTGATTGGGCAGGGCCTGAGCTGGACAGGGGAGCTCCTAGTAGGGGAGGGGAGGGGATGCTGGGATCTAGGTGACATGCCTGTCCCTGTCTGCTCCCGTCTGGCTGCCAGACGTCCTTCTCTTCCCGGATAAGAAGCAGAGGACCTTCCAGCCACCCGCGACAGGTGAGAGCCGAGAGCCCCCAGCATGGGGTGTCCGGTGGGAAAAGCACACTCCCTGGGCAGTTGAGGCCTTCTCCTCATGTTCTCAGGGCACAGGGAGGCCGGGCAGCCCCCTGAGGCGGTGGGCACCCCCCATACACACACAAGGGGCAACACAGGACAGCTGACCCTGGGCCTCCCCAGCCTCCCTTCCTGCCCTGGGCTGCCAGTGTTGGCAGTGGTGAGCGGGGCTGTGACGGCCTGGGGAAGGCCTCAGCCCTCTCTGGCTCAGACACCCTTCCCCGGCACTGACCAGCCCTGCCCTCCCATGCCCCTGCCCAGGCCACAAGCGTTCCACGAGCGAAGGCGCCTGGCCACAGCTGCCCTCTGGCCTCTCCATGATGAGGTGCCTCCACAACTTCCTGACAGGTCAGTGCCCTCCTGACCGCCCCGGGGACCTTTGGTGGGCTCTCCTGCCCCCTGGGGTCTGCCTGTCCTGACCGAGGCTTTCCAGGGCCCTGTAAGCACCTGGGCAGTGCCAGCCCTTCTGTCCCTACAGATGGGGTCCCTGCGGAGGGGGCGTTCACTGAAGACTTCCAGGGCCTACGGGCAGAGGTGGAGACCATCTCCAAGGAACTGGAGCTTTTGGACAGAGAGCTGTGCCAGCTGCTGCTGGAGGGCCTGGAGGGGGTGCTGCGGGACCAGCTGGCCCTGCGAGCCTTGGAGGAGGCGGTGAGCGGGGGAGGGTGCCCGGGGCACACAAGGCCTGCCCAGCCAGCCAGACTCACCTGCCCTTCCCGTGCCCACAGCTGGAGCAGGGCCAGAGCCTTGGGCCGGTGGAGCCCCTGGACGGTCCAGCAGGTGCTGTCCTGGAGTGCCTGGTGTTGTCCTCCGGAATGCTGGTGCCGGAACTCGCTATCCCTGTTGTCTACCTGCTGGGGGCACTGACCAGTGAGCGGCCGCTGGGGGCAGGTGGCGGGTGGGAGGGAGGGAGGTGGGCTTTCCCGGTGGGCGTTCAGAAACCCCCTTTTACCTGACTCTCTCCCAGTGCTGAGTGAAACGCAGCACAAGCTGCTGGCGGAGGCGCTGGAGTCGCAGACCCTGTTGGGGCCGCTCGAGCTGGTGAGAGGGTTGGGTTCGGGCTGCAGGAGGATGGGCTGAGCCAGTGGAAGGGGCCCTGTGGCACCTGGGAAGGGGTGGTATGGGCAGGCACAAGATGCCCAGATTTCCCCATCTGACTCACTCCTGCCCTGTCTTGGCAGGTGGGCAGCCTCTTGGAGCAGAGTGCCCCGTGGCAGGAGCGCAGCACCATGTCCCTGCCCCCCGGGCTCCTGGGGAACAGCTGGGGCGAAGGAGCACCGGCCTGGGTCTTGCTGGACGAGTGTGGCCTAGAGCTGGGGGAGGACACTCCCCACGTGTGCTGGGAGCCGCAGGCCCAGGGCCGCATGTGTGCACTCTACGCCTCCCTGGCACTGCTATCAGGACTGAGCCAGGAGCCCCACTAGCCTGTGCCCGGGCATGGCCTGGCAGCTCTCCAGCAGGGCAGAGTGTTTGCCCACCAGCTGCTAGCCCTAGGAAGGCCAGGAGCCCAGTAGCCATGTGGCCAGTCTACCATGGGGCCCAGGAGTTGGGGAAACACAATAAAGGTGGCATACGAAGGAAAGGCTGGTAGCAGAGTTTTTGAGGGGTCCTGGATCTGGGGTAGGGTGGGTAGGGGTGGGGACAGTACCCATGCATGATCAGGAGGGACATCAGGGCCAAGTGCAGGTGATGTCTGCATTGCCCGGCTTCTTTTGCACCCTGGAGCTAAGGGGAGCCCCATGCTGGGCTTGGCCGCTCTCTAGAGTAATGGGCCCATGGCCCTGCCCACCCCTGCCTGTGTGTTTCTCTACCTGTGAGGAAGGGCAGGGCGATTTAGGTGAGACAGTTCCACCAGGCGTGTCCGTGGCTGAGGCATGGCAGGAACCTCTGCTTCAGGGAGCTTGAGGCATGTGCTGAAGGGTGTAGCCATCCTCGGCCCACAGGGGCTTTAGGGGTGCAGGTGTGACTGATGACAGGCCCTGCCCTCCTGGGGCCACACAGGAGGTTCCTGGGGAAGCAGTACTAAAGAAACTGACCTTTGGTACATTTCACCCACATCTGCTTGCCTGAGCTAAGAGCCTGGAGAGAGGAGGTCTCCGGCCTGTGGGAATTAAGCAGGTCCAGGGTCACATCCAGTTGCTTACTTGCAGGAGCTCAGCAGCTGTGGCCTCCACGTCCAGGGAGGGACACGCAACACTTGACGTGGCCGGGGAGTGATTGTTCCTGGGAGAGTGGACAACCTTCCTTGGTGGGGACCAGTCTACCTGCACATGGTCGCCAGCCTTCCCCACTTCTGTCAGGGCACACAATGGCCACACAACTTGCAGAGCTTGCAAAAGAGAAGGAACAGTGGATTTGGCTACAACTGGGACATTAAATCCACCAGAAAACCTGGTATCCAGGCCCAACAGTGACTTTTTTTTTTTTTTTTTTTTTTTTTTTTGAGACGGAGTCTCTCTGTCGCCAGGCTGGAGTGCAGTAGCGTGATCTCGGCTCACTGCAACCTCCACCTCCCACAATTCTCCTGCCTCAGCCTCCCGAGTGGCTGAGGCTACAGGAGCACACCACCACACCCAGCTAATTTTTGCATTTTTACTGGAGACGGGGTTTCTCCATGTTGGCCAGGATGGTCTCGATCTCTTGACCTTGTGATCCACCCACCTTGGCCTCCCGAAGTGCTGGGATTACAGGTGTGAGCCACCGCACCCAGCAGACTTTTTTTTTTTTTTTGAGATGGAGTCTCGCTCTGTCGCCCAGGCTGGAGTGCAGTGGCGCCATCTCGGCTCACTGCAGGGGTTTCACCGTGTCAGCCAGGATGGTCTCGGTCTCCTGACCTCGTGATCCACCTGCCTCCGCCTCCCAAAGTGCTGGGTTTACAGGCGTGAGCCACCGCGCCTGGCCTTTTTTTTTTTTTTTTTTTTAAAGAGACAGGGTCCTGCAATGTCACCCAGGCTGTGTAGTGGGACAATCATGGTTCACAGCAGCCTCGATCTCCTGAGCTCAAGGAATTCTCCCGCCTCAGCCTGCTGAGTAGCTGGACGATAGGCACATACCACCAGTCCTGGCTAATTTTTTCATTTTTTGTAGAGATGGGGTATTGCTATGAATAGTGACATTAACATTGAAACAGGAGACAAAACAAACTCCAGTATCTCAGATCCAAGTTACAGAATCTCCTAGACACTCCTACCCACAGTGTAGGAACAAACTCAACGCCTCTCAGACTCATGGTCCTCCTTGGAAAACCCTTTCGGGTGACTTGAAAGGGTGAGTGGGGTGGGAGTAGCCCGGGTCCTAGAAAGCATTTGGAAAGGCAGGCACACAAGGCACAGCCTCGGGGCCCTGAGACCGGCAGGGCCATGCCATGTGACAGGCCACACCTGAGCCCCATCTTGAGAGCTGCACCACCAATGAGCTCTCTGGCAACATGGCCCGTTAGAGATTGTTTGGGCATCCAGGCCAAGACTGTCCCGGCCCACTGGCTGGAGGTGGAAAGGGAATGAGTGTCAGGGTGCACCTGCCCTCTTGCCCTCCAATCTTAGACCCCGTTGGAATATTTGCCCTGGGGTGGGCTCTCTGCAGGTGGATCTGATGGACCCTGGGGACACAGCATCCCCATGGAGGGACCAGCCCACTGTGCCACCTGGAGCCTCCCAGGAATTCCAGCAGGGAAGAGTCACACTCTAGAGGCCATGTGGACTTTGCATGAATCTCACTCCTGGCAGGGCAACCAGGTTCTGGGCAGTGCCAGAGCAAGGCGGGGCTGGACACACTCCTAACAGGGAGCTGTATGGGGCAAGCCCGCCTGCGCTGCACACAGCCTGCCGCAGGACGGCGCGGACTCTCCCGGGCACCATGAGGGAGGGGGAGGAGCGCAGGGGTGCTGCCTGCCCACCACAGCCAGCTCCCCGCCTCAGCCCCCATCTGGGGTGAGCGTGGCATCACTGTTGGGTTTGCCCACCAGACTGTCCAGCGTGCTGTGGGGTGTGGGCAAGCCTGTGCTAGGTGGGCAGCACATGCTTGCCCTGGGGCCTGGCTCCTGGTTGCAAGGTGAGCAAGGAGGCCGGGCTTGCTTCCCTCTTTGGGGCTGCTACTGAGACGATCCATGTGGCTGTGTCCCGAAACCCGTCCCCGCCAGTGCCGAGGGTGTGCCCCCCATGGGTGCTCCTAGCCCGTCCTGGGAGGTGCGGACCTCGGACAGATGGCTGGTTTGAGAGCTTCCTGAAGGCTAGCACGGACGTCCATGGGGCTTCCGTCTATCTGACCTTCACTGGGCATCTGGTGGCCTCTGGCCTCTCTGGCCTCTTTCTCTCTATCTGTTTCTGGTATGTTGAATCCCGTTTTGGTATCTGCTGTGGAGGCTCCAAACTCATCCACCAAACCTTGCCCCTGACTCCACGAAGACCCGGGCCCTTCACCTGATCCTCAGCTTCCTGCATATGACCTGCAAAGAGACACTCACCCCGGTGCTGACAGCTCTAACCCCATCCATTCCATGCCTGTTAGACCAGAGCGCAGCTTCTCTGTCTTAGGGTTAACCCAACCTGACCTGGCCATAGCCTGTGCCTGGAGCCTGCCTGACCTTTAACCCTGCTGCCAAACTGACTCTACCTGGGGCCATATCAGGGACTATGGCCTATTACCCCAGCCTGAGCCAGATCTTGGACCAGGGTCAGCTCCCATAACCACACTCAAAACAGATGCCCAACGCTTTCCATCCACGTGTGTTTATTTTAGATGCTTTCTGTGTGGGAGCTGGGGAGACAGGTCAGTAGGACCCCACGCCTGTGCCTGAGGGGCCCCAGTCTGGGCAAGTGGTCCCAGCCCTTCACAAGGCTGCACACACTCCCTGTGCACTCGCAGAGGCTTCTCTGAGGAGGAGGCTGTGAAGGAGGCCACGAATGCAAGGACATTTCCAGGCAGGCATCCTAGGTGCAGGGACCTGCCGCCCAAAGCCAGAGAGGTGAGGTCACAGCATCAGTAGCTCCCAGAGCAGCCTCTTCCTCATGTGTCCAGTGGCGCGTTCCTCATTCAGCCCTGGGAGAGGTGTTGGGGTAGTGTCACAAGTGCTCGGTCTGATTGGGCGTGCACACAGGACCCCTACATCTGGACCCCCAGGTGTGATCTGGGGCCTACGTGGTCCAGCTTGGGAGGACGCCGGGGCCAGCTTCTGGAGAAGGCCAGGCTCCCATGAGGCCTGACATAATGAACAGGGGGTGATGATGGCCTGGCTGAGAGGGCACAGCAGGTGTGGCCGGGAGACAGGTCAATAATTTTGAGCAGAGAGGATGCCCGCCAGGAGCCTTAGGATGCTGGCAGGGAATGGGGTGAGGGATGAGGATCGGGGGTGCAGCTGCAGGGCTGGCCAAGGCCCGGACAGGCCACAGCGTCCTGTCCAGGCATGAGGTGGAGACCCAGGAGGGCAGGCTATGGGACCACCAACTTTGGGGTCCCCCAGCAGACTCAAGAGGCCAGGTGCCATCTGGGCCAGGAGCCAGGCCCAAGGTTGGGGCATGGGGCATGCTCCAGGGGGCTGTGAGAACAAGAGCCCTGACGGGGACAGATGGGTGCTGGCTGTCCCCCTCTGTCACCATCAGGGTGGTGGGTGCCTGAAGAGGGGTCACGGGGGTGGGGGGTGGGGGAGGGCATTGGCGTCCAGCACCAGGCCCAGGGAGCCCCTCCGTCAGGGCGGGGACAGGCTGCTATGCGCGTGGGGTGCCCGAGTCGGACCCTGGCCCTCGGGCCCCAGCCCCGAGCCTCAGGCTCGGCGGGGTCCGGAGCAGCCCCAGCGGCCCGCGACGCTCCGGCGCTGGAAGGGGCTGTCGGCGAAGACTGGTGGGGGCCGGGCGGGGCGCGGGGCGATGCGGAGAAGGCGGGGCCCGCGGGGGCAGCCCCGGGCACGGGCCAGCATCGCCACCTGCTGAGCGGACACGTGCGCTGCCGCGGCCACAGCCGGCTTGGGGTCGCTCTGCAGTCGCCCTAGGTCTGCGAGGAGATCGCGGCTCAGGCTGGGGAGCCCAGGAGGGCCGAGTGCCCGGGCCCCTGGCCCTCCACCCACCGCTCCCGTCCACTCCGCCCTAGCACCAGCCACGTCTCCAGGACACCATCCCCTGGCAAGGTGGGGCCTCACCCTGGAACAGGGAGTCCAGCAGGTCCTGGTTGACACAGCCGGGGCTGGCGTGGTGGACAAGGAAGCCTGGACCACAGCAGATGCATGAGTGCAGGCCCCACAGCCCCCCAGGGGGAGGCTGGCCCAGCTCCCAAAGCCCCGGTGCCAGGGGCAGTGTGACCCCGGGCGGCCTCACCTATAAGCACGGCGGCTGCCCGGCGCAGGGGGTCCTGTGGACTCCGCAGGTAGCCCTGGGTCTGGCTCAGGAAGTTGGGCACGTGGCCTGGGTATCGCTGAACCTGGGGACAAAAGGGCTAGTGGCAGGACAGGAGGGCTGATCCTGAGTGCGGAGGAGGCTGCAGAGCTGAATCCAGGGGCCGGGGTTCCAGGGGAGCCCCCAGGGCAGGTGGCATGGTCGGAGACCTTGGACTTGCCCCACCAGTAGCCTATCTGGTTTGGCTGCAGTAGAAACGGTTGGGGGCCCCGGTGAACCCTGGAACAAGTGGGCTGCTGATCATACCCCCTTGCGGTCACCTTGCTTCCCCTACTGACCAGGCGGCAGCAGAGGTGGCTCAGGGCCTCGGGGCTGTCATAGTGGGCCACGGTGACCAACTCCTCCAGCAGGCCCCAGCAAAAGGCGTGGTCACAGCGGGCCAGGGTCCACTCTGAGCTCTGGGATAGGGGAAGTGAGCCGGGTCAGGGGTCCAGGAAGTAGAAAGGCAAAAGGTGGGGTGGGAAGAGGGGGAGCAAGGGCATCGGGTGAGGGGCAGAAGAGCCCAGGGCAGGAGACTGGATTGATTCTGCTCAAGGGAAGAGCAGTAGTAACCTGGCCGCCCGTCACACCTGCCACTGAGGTCCTTGGGATGGGTGAGTCCCTGACCTGTAATTGTCGGAGGGGAGGCACGGTGGGAGTGGTGAGTGTTGGATGGCATAGGGGTGGGATGGTGTCGGGGGCTGCTGACCTCAGCAGCGTCCCTGCTGGGGTCATGCAGGCGCAGCAGCAGCGGCACGAGACTCTGCAGCACCAGCTTCCGCAGGGGGCCGCGGAGCCCCAGCCGGAGCCCGCCCCGGCCCCGGCGCACCAGAGTCCCAAGGAGCCCGACGGCCGAGGCGCGGATTGAGTCCCGTGTCTGCGTGGGAGGGCGCAGTCAGGGCAGGCGGAGACAGAGAGGGGCTGCAAGGGTGGGAGGGGGCGGCCAGCGCGGAGCGAGGAAGCGGCGGGTCTAGGGAAGGCTGCTGACTCGGTGTGATCTGGGGACAGGGAACAGGGCCTGGAGCTGGACCTGGTTGGGAAGCCTGGAGAGCCCCTGCAGGGGGTGGGGCTTGAAGGGATGGGGTCCGGAAGGAAAAGTCGAGCGGGGAGGAGCTTGGCGGGACACGGCCCTGGAGGGGCGGAGCTGGGCGACAGCAGGCGGGAGGGGCGGGGGCGGTCAGGAGGGAAGAAATCTGGGACGGAGACACTGGGGGGACGGGGCCTGGGAGGGAGAAACTGGAGGGGCGGGGCGGAGCCTGGGAGGTCAGGGCCTGGGAGGGACAGACTGACAGACTGGGGGGCGGGGCATGGGAAGGAGAAACTAGAGGGGCGGGCGGGGCCTGGGAGGCGGGGCCTGGGAGGGAGAGACTGTAGGGGCGGGGCGGGGCATGAGAGGGAGAAACAGGAGGGGCGGGGCGGGGCCTGGGAGGGAGACTGGGGGCGGGGCCTGGGAGGGAGAGACTGGAAGGGCGGGGCGGGGCCTGAGAGGGCGGGGCCTGGGCGGGAGAGACGGGGGCGGGGCCTGGGAGGGAGAGACTGGAAGGGCGGGGGCGGTGACAGCGGCAGGGGCGGGACCCGGAGGCGGGGCGTTTGCTCACGTCGTCCAGTAGCGGAGGGAGGCGCGGTCCCAGCTCCGCGCTCAGGAGCCGCACAGGCGCCCGGGGCCGCAGCAGGAGCCTCCTCAGGGCGCCCAGCGCTGCACCCACGAGCCGCGCGTCGCCTTCGCCCAGTGCGCCCAGGAGCGCCGGCAGCAGCGTGCTCACGTGCCGCACCTGCTGGGACTCGGGGTCAGCCTCTTGCAGACCTCGCCGCGACCGGGCCAAGCCCCTCTCCACCCCTCCCCTTCTCTCACACCTTCCTGCGATTCAGCGCGAGGTGGCCCAGGCCCAGCAGGCCCAACCAGCGCACAGTGGGTTCGGGGTCTCCCTGCCAGGTGAGGAGTCGCTCCAGGATGACCTCCTCCCGCAGGAGCCGTGCGGTGGGCCGGCTCTGCAACAGCTAGGCGAGGCACATGGGGTCAGCACGCCCGCGGTCCCCGTGCAGGCCGCTGCGATTCAGGGATCAAGTCCAGGGTCACCCTTCACCACCCATCCGGGAAGCAGGCTCACCCCTGTGAAGAAGGCCATAGCCGTGAGACGCTGCGGGTCGTCCGCGCTGCGAAGCCGAGGGAGCAAGTCTGCGAAGAGGCCTCGCAGGTGGTGGTCGGCATGTGCCACCATAGCACTGGGGTGGGTGGAAATGGGAGCTCTCGCTCCGTTTGGCGGCCTTTCTCCTCGAGAAGACCCCATCCCAACACCACCCTCATGCCCCTGCCTTTTCCCTGTCCCCCTGCCCAGCACCTGGCCAGCAACGACTCTCTTCCTGGTGTGACACCCTGGGGCCCCTCCTCACCCTCCTCACCTGGCCAGCAGCAGGACGCCCTCCAGGTGGGTGTGGGCTCCCACCAGCCTCCTCCAGCCTCCTGCCTGCTCCATGCACGTGACCACCATGCGGCCTCCATCCCCGGTGAGCAGCGCCTTCAAGGCCTCCACAGCACAGCTGGTGGTGGGGACAGTGAGCAGGTGGGCAGTGGGAGCTGAGAGGGTGACAGCATGCTGGCCCGCCCCACGTAACCTGGTGTTGCCTCTCACCTGGCATGGCTATGTGGTGGCCCTCGGTGGGACAGAACCCAAATCTTGGGCATGTCGGGGGAGCACGGGCTGCGGGCCAGCTTGTGCAGCTGTGTGACCAGCGCAAGCAGCAGATGTGGGTAGAAGCCCCTCGTGGCTCCCACGCAGCCCGAAACAGCCAGCATCTCCCCAAGAGCACGTGTGGCCTGTGGAGCAAGTGGCCCACTCAGGCCTGGGGCACGCCTGGAGCTGCACTGGGCAGCAGAGGGACAGGCGTGCTGTCAACAGGATGGGGACAGCCTCAGACACGCATGGGACATTCCAGGAGCAGTTACCTAGGTGCAAACTCCCTATGCCCATCCTCCCCGCTCCTCGCCACCCCCCACCCCCGCCCCCACCCCCTGGTAATGGCTGGAGCCACCTACCGCCAGTGCCTGGGGCTCCGGCCCCGAAGCACCCTTCAGCGCCCACAGCAGTTGCACCAGCACCTGCCCATTTACACGCTGGTTACGGCTTAGGCTGCGCCAGAGCTCGGCTGCTACCCTGAGGGTTTGGAGGGGGCTGGTGTGAGACAAGAGATGGGTGGGTGTCCAGGGAATGTAGGGAGTCCCCAGCCAGGGTGGAGGCAGCCAGTAGGACTCCAGCAGGGGAGGGGCAGGAAACCCCTCCCATCTCCCCCCATCCCCAAATCTCAGAGAAACAAATGAAGGGTTAATTGTGCAGACCACAACATAGCCTATCTCAAGCTGAGCTGCAGGGTGGGGACCCACTGGGAGTCCCGTTGGGTCAGCGACAGTGAAACAAACCTGGCATTATTAAAAAGAAAAAAATTGCCACAGAGAATAAAACCAAAGATAACTTCTGGGGCCAATTAACCAAAGAGCCAGGGGTGTCCAGGCACGTTAGCCCCCCAGCCTCATTCACCCCACTCCGGAGCCAACCCCAGGACGGTCTCCAGGGGAGGCCACCCGAAGATAGAAGGTGGCTCCAAGAGAGGAGCCCAGCATCAGAAACTCTGTGGCAGGAGTGTGGGGGGAGTTTGCGGAGCTAAAAATGAGGGGAGCGGGAATGGATACGGGGCATGAGTCATCGCGGGGCTGGAATAAGGAGGCCCTGCCCCTTTTCAGCTCCCTCTTCTGGGGCCAGACTCCACCGCCAAGCGGGAAGAGGGAAGGAAGCCGCGTGGGGACCGCAGGGCCAGGACGGTTGGGTTACCGATCGGCGGGCAGAGAGCGGGGTAGCAGCGCACACACCACGTCCCGCGCATGCTCCAGGGCCAGTGCGCTCAGCACTCGCAGGGCCGCCCTCCAGGGCCTCCCCTCCGCTAGGCTGGGCACCTGCGCCAGCAGCCCACGCACCAGAGCATGCACCTGGTGGGGAAGGGGGCAGACTTCAGCAGTCAGGCCTCCTCCACCGTCCATTCCCCTCTGGCCTGCACCCCACCTCCACCCCCACCCTGATCCCGCCTGGCAGGAGCAGCCTGAAGATGGCAGGGTCAGGCTGCGCTCTCCAGGCCCCTCCCACCACCTTGGTGCCCGAACCGGCAGGATTCTGTAGGGCATGAAGTGGGTGAAGGCTGACCTGGTCCTCCAACCGCTCGCCCCGGGCCTCCAGGGCTGAGGACAGGGTGAGCACTGTCGCCTGGGTCCCTGCAAAGCCAGCCTCCTCCAGGCAGGCAGCCGTGTACAACGCGAGGTCGGCAAGAACTCCCTCCTCCCAGGAACTCTGGGGAACCTAGGGCAGGATGGGTGGGGCGTCTGAAGTGCCCAAACCTCTCCTAGCTCTCCTCCTGGTCCCTCGGCCTCCCACCTGGCTTCCTACAAAATCCCTTGCTCCTCTGTTGCTCACCAGCCTGTTTCACGCTGACCTCCCCCGGGGCCAGCACCGCCCCCCTGCCACCCCGCCTTCCACCTACCATCCACAGGACCCCCAGGCCGGTTCGCACAACATCCCTTCCCTCCCCCGTCACCTGGTGGGGCCCCTCAGGGGCTGGTTCCAGGGCACTGTTGAGGGAGCAGGGCTCGCTGCCAGCTTCAGGGACGGTGGCCCCACGTCCAGGCTCTGCCTCAGAGGGGGCGGTGAGTGCCTGGGTCTGTGGCTCAGCCTCAGGTTTGACCTCCCAGGACTTGGGCTGAGGGCCTGCGGAAGGGGGTCCCTGGGGCTGCCCCTGCCTGGCCCGGATTCCTTCAGTCAGTGCTGTCAGGGTTAGAGCCCCCACGGGAGCCTCCCGGGCCCGGCTCCGGCCCCACACACCCCCAGCCATGGCGGCCCTTGCCTGCAGCACCTGCCGCTGCTCCTCCTGCGAAGTTGTGCCCAGGACTGACCTAGAAGCCGCCCCGGGCGGGACCACGGACGGGCGTGGTGGCGTGCGCTAGCGTGAGCTTGCGGGGGCTGGGGAGCCACACGGACGTGCCTACAATGGGCCTTTGAGGGGCCCTCCTGCCTGGGCTGCTGGAGGGGAGTGGCCACCTGCAGCCTGAGTGCCTGTGGTGTGGCTCTACCCACCAGGGCCCTGAGAACAGGATCCCCAAGAGCTGGCAGATCCACGAAGAAAGGGGGAGAAGGGCCCCCACCCTGACTACCAGCCCCTGTTGACCAGGGAGCTCAGGGCAGTTGTGGACAGCTCTGAGGAGGTCCTCGCAGGGTCCAGGAGTCTGGGCCCCACCCTGAGTCGAGGCCTGATTCAGCCCCCAAGCAGCAGTCAGCTCCCCACTGGGCCTGGGGCTAGGGGCTGGCCCCGCCCCCTGCACGCTGGCTCCGCCCCCTGCACGCTGGCTCTGTCAGACACCTTGCAACAGGCATGACTGGGTGAGCTTGGGGCAGCCCGGAGGTGTGGAGGGGGCAGTGAAGACACCAGAGGAGCGGTGGCCCCTCCAGAGCTTGTGCAGGCCCCTCTGGGTCCTGGGTCCTTGGCCAAATCTCATGTTGAAACGTAATCCCCAGTGCTGGAGGTGGGGCCTGGTGGGAAGTGATTGGATCCTGGGGGCAACTTCCCCCTTTGGTGCTGTTCCCATGATAAGACTTCTCAAGATCTGGTTGTCTGGAAGTGCGTGGCACCGCCCCACCCCTTCCTCCGGCCATGTAAGACCTGCCCGCTTCCGCTTCCACCAAGATGGTAAGTTTCCTGAAGCCTCCCCAGCCATGCTTCCTGTACCTGCAGAACCACAGGCCAATTAAACCTCTCTTCCTTAGAAATTACCCAGTCTCAGGTATTTCTTTACAGCAGTGCAAGAACGGAAGAATACAGCCACTCTGGCTGGGCCCCTCGGAGTGCGCGGGTGCCCTGGGGGTGCCTGGGGTGTGGTGTGTTCTGTCCAATGTGTGTGAGTCTGTATCTCTCTCCTAGCTCGTACTCCCCGGGGCTGGCTGGACTGGGCCTCTGCTCCAAGTCCCCACCCTCCACCCTCAGCCAACCACACAGTGGTGCTGCCCACCCTGAAGCCCGGGGAGCCAGGTGAGCTGGTCTGGTGGAATGCCTGGGCAGACGGAAGTGCCCCAGGCGGTCAGCATTCCCCCCACACCCTTGCCTGTCTGTGCCACCTCAGGCTGCTTCGACAAGAGAGGCCCAGGCCCCCAGCCTCCACTTCCTGCCAAGCCTAGAACCTCTCCCCCAAGCAGTTCCTCTTGAAGCTCACGTTGCCCAAACTGGCGGAACCCTGAGATCAGGAACTTGCTGGTGCAGAGGCAGGGCCAGCCCAGCACAGCCACGTGCAGTGCCACTCTGGCCAGGTGTCTGGGGCTGAGTCATCTCCTGGAGCTTCAACTTCTTCCCCATTCTTCCTCTCCTTCCGTGGGCTGCTGGGTCAGGAGCTGTGTCCCTGACGCCAGATGCCAGGGTGGTGCTGGGTTGGCAGCAGCAGTGGCAGGAGACACCTGAGCACTCCCTTTTGACTTGGGGAGTTTGAGACGTCTTCACTGACCCTGAGCCTGGGGGGCAGTGCCTAGGCAGGCGTGGGAGCCCAGGGCCACGGCTGGACCCTCTTACCTGGCACTACCCCCAACCCTGTCCTGTCCCCAGCCTGCCTCTAGCAAGGAAAGGTCTGCAGCAACTCCCTCAACTCCAAGGCAGACACCAAAGCCCTCCCTGCCTGTGGCTTTGTAGTTCTAGTGTGGGATCTGACTCCCCACAGCCTACCCAAAGCCGGGGAACTCCTCACTGCCCTTCGGGCTTCAGCACAGGGCTGTCTCCCACGCCGGCAGGGCCTGTGCTTTCACTGGGATGCAAATCTTCCTGCTACCTCGAGCTCAGATTCCCGACTCCAGCCCAGCCGCAGCCCGGGAGGCGCAGCCCGTGGGCTGGGTGAACAAACGACACAAACAACACAGGACAAGCTGTGGGGAAAAGTGAGTGATTCGTGTTGTTTCCAGTCAGCCCCGCTCCGAGTCTCAGGGGGACTGCCCCGCACACAGACTGTTCACCAGGGCCTGCAGCCTCTCGGACAGCACCACCTGCAGGGAGCAGAGGACAGGAGCGGTGGGCAGGGTGAGGGCGGGGGCGCACAGGGCAGAATGACAGGGTGGGCCTCCCCCCAACCTGGTACTGTGCAGGGCTCCGCAGCCGCCTGTGCTCAGGGCTGAGTCGGCTCAGGGACAGCTGGGCCAAGGCTCTAGACTCTGCCAGGGATGGGAGCGGCTCACACAGCTGCAGGGAGGAGGTAAGGAAAGAGAAGCTTGGGGCTAGCTCCCAGTCAGGGCTCTACCGGGGCTGGGGGTCAGGATGAGGGCGGTGGGGCAGCCACCTGTCCCTGCTGGAGGCAGAGCCGCAGTAGTGGCTCCACCTGGGCTGGCCTCACGGTGCAGGGCTCCTGGGCCCCTGGAGGCCACACCCTCAGCTCCTGCCCAGCCTGTGGCACTGGCTCTTCTGCTAACTGCAGCATGTCCATGAGTGGAGACCCTGTGTGGACGGGGCAAGAATAAGCGGGGGCCCTGGTGCTTTGAAGGTGGACAGCAGGGGGGATGGGAGGGCCTCACCGTCAGAGCCCAGGAGCCGGAAAGCAGCCTTGCTCCCAGGCAACGTCTGCTTCTCGGGGTCCTCGGTCAGCTTCATTCGTGGCTGGCCCCCCACGGCCACCAGCTGCAGGAAGAGGGCGTTGAGCTGGCTGGTCCTTATCCCCCACCCAGCACCATCCCTCAGACCTGCCCCCACCTGGGCCCCCGACACTGTCCCTACCTTATAGACGCCACCCAGGGAAGGCTGTTGGGGGCAGGTGACCACACTGGTGCCAATGCCAATGACATTCACCTCACTGCCCTGGGTGGGGAAGGGGGTGGCCGTGAGCCCAGCTGCCCTGGGTGGGGAAGGGGGTGGCACTGCCCTGGGTGGGGAAGGAGGTGGCACTGCCCTGGGTGGGGAAGGGGGTGGCAGTGCCCTGGGTGGGGAAGGAGGTGCCAGTGCCCTAGGTGGGGAAGGAGGTGGCACTGCCCTGGGTGAAGGGGGTGGCAGTGCCCTGGGTGGGGAAGGGGGTGGCAGTGCCCTGGGTGGGGGAAGGAGGTGGCAGTGCCCTGGGTGGGGAAGGGGGTGGCAGTGCCCTGGGCGGGGAAGGAGGTGGCAATGAGCCCAGCCAGAACCTGCAGGGGCCCCCAGAGCCCCCCAGCCACCCTCCGCCTACCCACTCATCCACCCCACCTCCTGGGCCAGTCGGGCCAGCGCCTCCTCGTCAATGTTGTTGCTGACTACGATGAGGACTGACTCCAGCCAGGGCACCTGGAACCTGCCGCGTGGGTGGAGAAAGGGTGGGGGCCACCCCTCGGGTCTTCCTGATTCACCCTGGTGTCCCCCTGCTCCCCGCCCCGCCTCAGTCAAGGACACCTGTGCTCACCTTCTGCTTGGGAGCTCCTAGGGAGCCCCACCACTTACTTCCCTGCCACGGCCTGCAGTATCACCGCTGAAACTTCAGCAGAGTACCTCACTGTCCTTCCCTGCCCATTCCCAAACCCCGGGGATCTCCCACCAGGCACACCTCCTCCCCGGGAAACTCACTGGGCTGCAGCAGCTCGGAAGACCTTGCGGATCTCCTGAGCCTGCTGTAGCAGGTCACCACTGTCCAGCCTCACGCCCACTGCCCGGTAGCCCAGCTCTCCCAGGGCCAGGGCGACTGCTAGGAAGTTGGGGAGACCACTCCTGCAGAAATAGATAAGGGAGTCAGAGGCTGCTGAGGTTCTGCTGAGCCCACCCCTAAAGTGCCCGGGCTCACCTCCACACGCTGTAGGTGTCCAGGAGGCCCTGGAAGGCCCGGGGAAAAGCCAAGGCATAGGCCACAAAGGCTGCCCGCTCGCCTGGATGCGGCTCCTGCACCCCCAGCCCCAGGTGGGCACACACCTGCTCCAGCCACACCTGGGCTTTGGCCGCCAGGTCCACCCCAGGGCCCTCACCAGCTGCTGGCGCCAACATCTGTGGAACAGAGTCGGTGAAGAATGGGGGCCAGGAATGCAGGATGAGGCCTGGGAGCAGCCAGGGACACCCTAGTTTGAGAGCAAAGGTAATGCAGCCCGTGCCAGCTTCCTGGGACAGCACTGGGGTGACCTGCCTGGGTGGCACACCTCTCGCCAGGGCAAGGGCTGGCTTGGGGCCTGTCGCCTGGAGACAGCAGGGTTTAGAGGAGGGACTGACCGGGTCAGGGGGCACCTCGCTGCCTGAAAAGGAAGTGACGAAGGAGTGGGCCAGGGTCCCGGCCACCGGCACACCTCGCAGCTGGCCCGCTAGCACGTTGCTGCTGCTGTCGAAGCCTGGGGAGGAAGGCGGTGGGATTGGGGGACCTCGGGCCAAGATGGGGCTCCTCCTTCCCGGCCCTTGCCTTGCCCCGCACCAGACACTCACCGCCCAGGTAGCTGTAGGTGGAGGCTGTCAGGCCCCCATCGGGGCCCTGAGCCCGCCTCAGGCCCATCTCTAGCAGCCGCTTCTCTGGCCCTGCGATCAAGCGAAGCCGCGCTGCGTTGGTGGCCACCAGGCTGTGGGGAGCCAAGAGTCAGGGGGTCCCAGGGTGAGGATCACTAGGCCACCCAAGACGGCGGTTACCTGGGGCCTGGAACTTCCAACCTGGGAGCTCCACCCTCACCCAGCCCCTCCTTACACCCTGAAGAGTGGGGGCGGGAGGCCAGTCCTGGGACCCCTGGGCAGCCAGCCCCGCCGCCACAGTCCAGCACGGAGCCCCGGCGCTGGGGGCCCATCCCATGCCCACGCTCCCTGCCAGTGGCCCGCAGCCCACCTGGCGTAGCTGACCAGGCAGAGCAGCGGTGTCTCCAGCAGCTGCACCACCAGGAGCGGCCCGGACACCTGCAGGAGCGGCACCTGCGGGGAGAGAAGTCAGCTCCGCGCTCGGCCCAGCACCCCGTGGCCGCCGCGCCGCCCGCTTACCCCTACTCACTCCGGGGAAGGCGAGGGAGCCCTCGGGCAGGGCTCGCACCGTCACCTCGGAGCAGTCGAGGGCCCGAAGGTGCTCGAAGAACGCAGGATCCGTGTCTGGGGGCAGCACCGAGGCCAGGAACTGCACGTCTGGAAACGAGGTAACTGCGCTGAGACCAGCGCGGGGACAGACCGGTCGTGGGACATGGGGGGTTCCACGGGGGGACAAGGACTTCCACCGGCCATAGGTGGGGGTTTCTGCCGGGCGTGGGGGGCTCGTCGCGCGGACGGGGGACTACCGGCGTCCCGCAGGCGGAAGGCGCGCAGGAAGCGCACACAGTCGCGCAAGCCGGCGGCCAAGGCGAAGGCGCCGCCGAACGGGCAGCGGCGGAAGAAGAGCTCGAACTCGGCGGCGTCCCGCGCCCGGCCCGCGCGCCAATAGCCCAACGCCATGGTGGCCTGGTAGAGGTCAGTGAGCAGCGGCCGCGCCGCCGCGCGCGCCTCGGGGTCCTGCTCCGCCGCCATCCTGCTCCCGACGTCCGGACTCCGCCCCGCCCCGACCCCGTGACGCGCCCCGGCCTATGGCGCACTCCCTGTGGGGCTTATCGTGCCGTTTGGGAGCGGCACGGGACTCGATGGAGGACGGGTGGGGCTAATAGTATCGGCGCGCCGAGAGGGGCTGAAACAGCTGGACCCGGGATGGGGTGGGGGATGTCACCCAACTCCTCTCGGACCCCCCAACCCCACTCCAGGCCCAACGGCCTCTTTGGAGCGCAGCCCGGTCTTGGTCACCAGAGGTGCCCCCAGTCGCTCGTGTCTCTGCCCTTTGGCCGGGCAATGAGGTGCAGCTCAGGACTTGCCAGGCGGCGGAAAGGGTGGAGGACAGACCAGCCAGACTCCACCCCCACCGACCCAGAAGACAACCGCTGGCCAGCAGCCAGCTCCTGCCCTGGGCCTGGGGAGGGAGGCCAGAGGCTGCCTTAGTTAGAGCTTGAGCAGCCAGGCTAGGACGAGGCAGCCCAGATGGACGCAAATGTCGCTTGGAAAGAGCTTGGCACCCAGGAAAGGGCGGCGTGGGGCAGGGGGGCGCATGCCCACTGTCGGCTGGCACCAAAAGACCTTTTGTGGCTATGAAGGCCCAGTGTCCCTCAGTGGTGGCTTTTATGGGGTCCTGCAGTCCAAGCCCCACAGGAAACTTTCTAAAGGTTTGAGGGCAAAGTCAGGGGCCACTACCCAGGGAGAATCCATTCCCCTGTGGCTTGGGGCCCCGAGGACAGAGTCTGACCAGAAGTAATCAAGTAATTACACCCCATCCTCTTTCACCCCAATGCAAACACGGGTGGTCCAGGGGAGGGAGTGTGGCCACCCATGCTGACCACATACGGCTGTCAGGATGCTGAGGCACAGCTCCACAGAGCCCAGGCAGCCACGTTCTGGCCACCCCAGAACATCATGGGAGGGGCACAGTCCCTGGAGCAAGGGGCAGGGATTCCAGGAATGAATGAGGTGAGGGGAGGGCCGGGACAGCACATGACAAAGGGCATGGCAGCAGGGCCGGGTGCTACTGGGACTTCTTTCCTGGACAATTCCAGGCTTGCACGCTTGCTCCCATGGGGACAATGCCAACAGGAGGCAGAGTGGTGGGGTGGTGGCCTCTCCAGATAGTGACCTAACAGTTTCTGTTTCTGGCTTTTTAAACCCCCTGAACTGGACTTGCTTTTGCAATGGAAAGAAGAGGGAGGGCCAGAGCTTTGGGAGGGAGTGGCCAGGAGATGGAGGGACAGGCGGAGGTCTGCTGGGGGCAAGGTGACATGGCCACAGAGGGTGGCAGCAGCCAGGATGACTGTGTGGGAACAGCAGGGCAGAGATGGGGCTGAGACAGGGAGGGAGACAGGCCAGGTACGAGCAGGAAATGACCAGGACGGAGCCAGAGGGCCGGTCTCAGTCTTTAATCGTGGCAGGGCCTCACGCACGCGCGCACGTACACACACTCAGGCTTCAGATCTTGTTGAAAGCTGCGATATCGACACTCTGCACCTGAGGAGAGGCGGAGGGTGACGGTCAGGGCTGTTCCCCTACAGCCCACTCGGAGCCAGGAGCCTCCTCTGAGGTGGGGTTCACTCTGGGACTCGCTCCCCACTGCCGTGGGGTGGAGTGCAGGGTATGGGCCAGGGTCCCCAGTCTCCTCTCCCCTCCTCTCCCCGGCCGGCTCACTCACGTGCTCCTCAAACTTGGTGATCTCCTCCTCCAGCAAGTCTGTCCCCACCTTGTCGTCCTCCACCACACACTGAATCTGTAGCTTCCGGATACCGTAGCCCACGGGCACCAGCTTGGAAGCCCCCCAGACCAGCCCGTCCAGCTGGATAGAGCGCACACAGGCCTCCAGCTGGGCCATGTCCGTCTCATCATCCCACTGTGGGGAAAGGGGAGGAAAAGCTGGGGTCAGCCACCCTCAGAACACCCAGGAAGTACCTGCATGCACCCTACCCTCAACCACTGTGTGTCCACAATTCTGTTTCCTTAAAGGGCCCACAGAAAACAATCCAAATTCACACCTTCCTGCCTCCAAGTTTGTGTTTATCCCAAGACTTCTAAACTCGGCTTTAAAGTCTCCCCAGAACCCAGAGGGCAGGGGGAGGGTCACAGGCTGAGCCGGCTAGGCGGGCACCAGGGCAGTGCCTGGCCCCCTGAAGCCCCACCCCGCCCACTCACAGGCTTGACATCCAGCAGGATGGAGGACTTGGCCACCAGTGCAGGCTTCTTGGCCTTCTTCTCCGCGTACTGCCGTAGCCGCTCCTCCCGCAGCTGTGCCGCCTCCTTGTCCTCCTCCTCATTGTCACTGCCAAACAGGTCAATGTCATCATCCTCGTCATCCTCTGCTGGTGTGGCTGGCTTCTTGGCTGGGGGCTCCACTTGGCGCATGGGAGATACGTGCTGCCACAGGGGAAGGGACAGGAGGCACGGCTGAGACGCCCCAACCAGGGCCCAGAGCTGCCTGGCCACCTCCTGGCCCTCCTCCCTCCTTTGACTGGAGGAAGGGCAGCCCCTGTGTACCGCAGCTGTGTACATGCAGGGCCCCAGGAAAGACAAAAACTGCCTCCACCTGCCCAGGGCTAACTGTAAACCTTCCTGGGGACCTGAGGACTCCAGTATCCTGGCTGCCAGCTCATCACTGCTGCTGGGGCCAGCCCACAGGGCGACGTGGAAGCCAGCAGGGCCACGTGGTCCCCTGCAGTGTCAGGCGTGGGGAGAGCATTCACCTGGGTCTGTGGGGCCGTGGCCCGGTGGCCAGGCGAGCTCTTCTCCAGCACGTTCAGCCGGGCCTCCAGCTTGGAGATGGCCTGCTGCAGCTCCTGTACCACTGGGGGGGCAAGGGGAGCACGGTTAGATGGCAGGGGCCAGGGACAGCCCCAACCCACTGGCCCGGGGCCTCACCGCCACGCAGACTCTGGTTCTCCACTTCCAGACTGGCAATCCGGACGACGAGCTCACCGTGGTCTCCGCTGGTGCCGCTGGAGGCCCCGGGGCCTGAGCTCTGCAAGGCAGGAGGAGGGGAGGGCTCAGTGCCCAGCCTGCTCCTAGGGTCCCCCTGCCATGCTCAGGACTGCAGGAACTCACGGAAGGAAAACTACAGCTCGGGAGAGCAGGAGGTGCCCCCCGCTGATGCCCAGCTCAAACTTATGACCTCAGAGGTGGCGGCCACCACAGACCACAGTGAAATTCTCAGCCAGGCAAAGTCCAGGACAGGAGGCTCTTGGTGCCCCAGAGACGGAGGCTGTGGGGAGCTGGGCCATGGCTGCTGCTGCCCGGCGGAATCCTGCTGAGCAGCCAGGCTCAGAGGCTGGGTGGGAGGTGCTGAAGGACTCACAGTCCTAGGGACAACCTGGGACACGCCTCAGGGGACCAGGCAGCACTGGAAATGGGAGGCGGGAGCAGCTGAGGGCCCAGTGGGGGAAGAAGGAAGGAGCCCACCTGTGTGGACAGCAGCCACCCAAAGCTTTGTCTCCCTGGGCCTCACGCCTGCCATCTCACTCAGCAAGCCAGTCTCTAGGTGATCCAGGGCCCCAAGCCCACCTCATACTCTGCCATAGCTGAGACTGATACCTCGGGGCCCAGACAGGATCCCAGCCTCCTGGCCCTTAACACTAGCCAGTCCTTAAGCATCTACCTGCACGCATGGGCCATTTAGCCTGCCCACCCTCCAACAGGATGGCTCGAAGGACAGGGTGCACCTGGCTGCATGGAGCTCTCAGCAAACCCCATCTCGGCAGCTCCCCGGGGCTCCCTCTCTGTGGGGAGGGGCCTGGAGTAGCCGGGCAGGCAAAGCCGCTCCTTGCAGCAGGTGCGGACATACTCAGGCCTTTGCCCAACGTGCAAACCCATCCCTGGGGCCCTCCTGCCACCGTCCTTGGGACCATGCTGTGGGGAATGCTTGTTTATGTATCTGGAGGGTGTGGGAGCTAAGCCCCGCAGATCATGGGCAAGGCCGAGCCAAACTGGCCCAGGAGGCCCACCTGGCAGCAAGGCCAGGAGGAAATGGACAGGGAAAGGCCAGGCTGGCAGAGGCGCGTGAATGGTGGTGGGGGTACGGGAGGCACCGGCAGAAACTGACAAACTCGGGGGCAGAAGCCGGAGCACGGGAGGGCCAGGCTTTGGGGCGCCAGGGGGCATGGAGAATCACAGCAGACCTCCCGCGGGAGTGGGGCTGGGTCCTGAGGAGGCCGGAGTCTGTGAGTGGCACCTGAGGCCTCATGCACCCCACACAGCAGGCCCAAGGACAGGGAAAAGGTCCCCTCTGGAAGAGGCACTAAGTCAGCACTGGCCCCGGGCTGCATGATGAGCAGCGGGGGCCGTCTCACCACTGCCTGGCTCTGCGGGCCACTAGGCCAGAGCCCACAGCACTCAGGACACAGGGAGAGTCCCCTCCTTTGATGCTGACTCAGGGGGGACTAGGGATGCCAGGCATCAGAATCCCTGAGCACAGCTTCAACGGGCAGGCTCAGGTCACCCAGTGCAGTCACAGCGGGCCTCAGAGAGCCCCTCAGGGACTTGGGGGATGCCAAAGGCAAACACTTCAGAGCCAGACCCATGCCTGTAACCCTGTGCCAGCACCACGCTACCAGAAACCCTGCAGTTCTGAAACCCCAGTGTCTGCTGAGCACTCCCACCCCAAATCCAAGATGAGACTGGGCCCCTGCCATGGGCTGAATAATGTCCTTCCAAATCCACATGCTGGAGTCTTATCCCCCGGTATCTTAGGATGTGACCTTATTTGGAGACAGGGCCTTTGCAGAGGTAACTGTCACTGAGGGGCAGGGGGCTAATCCAATCTGACTGGTGTCCAATAAGAAGACATCAGGACACACACACACTCAGATGGATGACCGTGTGAAGACATGGAGAAGACGGTCTACATGCTGAGAGAGGCCTCAGGAGAAACCAGCCTTGCTGCCACCTCGATCATGGACTTCCAGCCTCCAGAGCTGTGAGAAAATACATGTGGTTTAAGTCACCCAGTCTATGGACCTTTGTTATAGCAGCAAACCAGTCCCTAAGCCCTAACAGTGCGACCACCTGCCTGTCCCAGAGACACCTTAGGGTTGACTCCACACAGCCAGGGCTGAAGAGTTCCTGCAGCCCCAGGGCCAAGCCCCCGACCGCTGCCTTCTGGGCACTGGAGTGCAATATGCCTGACTTGGGCGCAAAAATCTGTGCTCCCTTAATCTCATGTCTGCCTAGCCTGGACTTGGTCAGGTGCCTGGGCAAGCCAGGGGTGCAAGCCAGTGGGCAGAACGCAAGGCACAAAGGAGCACCCCACCTGGCAGACAGGAGTGGCAGCCCTTCCTGGGCCCACCCACCCAGGGATGCCCAGCTTATGGCCCGGGAGCCAGCACACCCCTAGGTGGCTGTGGCTGTGGCAGACAGAACAATGGCCCCCACAAAGCCACATACGAGTCCGCAGAGCCTGTAAATATGGTCTCCCATGGCAAAGGGATTCTGTAGATGTGATAAGATTAAGTTAAGCGGCAGAGAGGATGCTGGATCACCCAGGTGGGCCCACTGTCATCACAAGGGCCCACACTAGGCAGCAGGAGCGAGGGAGGGGAGAGGGAGGCTGAGTGACAAGACAGCTGCCTGGGAGCCTTGGGCCAAGGACCGTGAGCAGCTTCCAGCAGCCAGAAGAGACAAGGAAGCGGATTCTCCCCGCAGAGACACCAGAAGGACCACAGCCTTGATTTTGCCCCATAAGATGATCTCAGACTTCTGGCCCCCGGAACTGTAAGGTGAGGAACTTGTGCTGTTTTAAGCCACGGAAGTGTGGCAACGTTACAGCAACATCAAGTGGAAACCAACACAGATCCTGGCCCAGGAAGTGGGGTGCTGCTGGAATGCCTAACAATGTGGAGATGGCTTTGGAGTTGGGCAGTGGTGAGGCGGGAAGAATTTTGAGGAGCGTGACAGAAAACCCCTAGACTGGGCCGGGCACAGTGGCTCACGCCTGTAATCCCAGCACTTTGAGAGGCCGAGGTGGGCAGATCATAAGGTCAGGAGTTCAAGACCAGCCTGGCCAACATGGCGAAACCCTGCCGCTACTAAAAAAAAAAAAAAAAAGAAAAAAAAATGTCAGCTGGGCTTGGTGGCAGACACCTGCAGTCTCAGCTACTCGGGAGGCTGACACAGGAGAATCGCTTGAACCCCAGAGGCTGAGGTTGCAGTGAGCCAGGATCATGCCACTGTACTCCAGCCTGGGCGACAGAGCAAGACTCTGTCCACAACTCACCCACCCCCTCCAAAAGAAAAACCCTAGCCTGTCTTGAGCACCCTGTTGGCAGAATTCAGATGCTAAGGCCCTCGGTGAGGACTCAGAGGAGGTGAGGAGCAGGGCAGAGAAAACACGTCATCTTCTAGAACAACCTAAACTGCCACGAACATGCTGTTGGTAGGAATAGGGATGTTAAAAAATGACAGCGGGGGGGACCATGGGCCACACAGGAGCGCTCCCTTCAAACCTCACGTGACCCGCCGGGCTGGACTGTGAAACTGCCTGGGACTAGTGACGCCCTGTTTCCTTCTTCTTTTTCCCATTTTGAAAGGGAATGCCTGTCCCACAATTGTATTTTGGGAGCAGATAACTTGCTTTCCAGTTTCACTGGTCCACAGATGGAGAGGAATTTTGCCTCAGGATGGACCACGCAATCCCCCATGCCTGATTGGATGGGATTCTGGACTTTGGAGGGACACTGTGGGGGACCCAGGCTTCTGCAGATGTTGGTGAGGAGCAATGCACCTTACAAATGAGACAATGAGAATCTCCGGCGCCCACGTCCCAACCCCCAGAGCCTGCAAATCCACTACCTTACATGGCAAAAAGAAGAATTGGCAAACACGATTAAATTCAGGATTTTGAGGTGGGAACATCCTGGACCTGGGATCCTGGGGGCCCAAAGCAAGTACAAGAACCACGTAAGTGACAGAGCGAGGCAGGAGGTTCGAGAGAGGCGCGAGATGGAAGTGGAGGCGGGGCGGGGATGAGGCTGCCTGCTGAGCACCTTGAAACAAGCAACGTGGGCATCCACCAGAATCTGGGAGAGGCAAAGGAACAGACTCCTCCTGAGCCTTTGGAAGGATGGCGACCTTGCTGACACTGGGGACAGCCTCGTGAGACACATTTCAGATTTCTGGCCTGGAAACCCGGCATGATACAGATGTACTGTTTCCAGCGTGAGGCTGTGGAAAGCCATAGCAGCAGCCACAGAAACACTGACCCCGTTCTTGGGGCCAGGACACCACCCCGTCCCGGGGAGAACGCAGTCCCAACTCCTCGGGAACACCAGGGCTGCCACCTCCCGGAGGACACCCCTTCCCCAGCCAGCCTGTCAGGCCACAGCTACTGCCTCCAACTCCTGATCTTGGCCCGGGGCCTGGAGGCCAAGCAGGGATACAGGGCTCCTTCTGGGTCTCCAACTCAAGACGGTGCCAACTCTAGGCTCTGAACTCCTTGCGCCTTGCAGAACCACCACTTCTCTCTCCCCAGTGAGGCAAGATCTAAGAGGGAATGTGGGAAGGCCCAGCAGACACACAGTCCTGCCACAGGGAGCAAGCAGGGAGGCACAGGCTCTCATGCCAGGTGCCCACAGGACACCCTGCAAATGGCACCACTCAGCTCCCAGCCGGCCCCACAGGAGCGGCCAGTGTGACCGCCAGCCGGCAGACGAGGTAAGCACGGAAGGGACGCGAGAATAAGAACACTGTCCGTGGCAGTCCGGGCATGGAGGTCACAGAGCCACACGTCCCAAGGAGCACAGCGCCGTGCACCCTGCCCTGACTCTGCTGTGAAGCCAAAACAACCAGCAGCATCAGGAAAAATCAGACATGCTGCTTGGCCGAGCAGGAGCCCGCAGGTCCGTGGGCCGCGGGTACTCACTCCAGCCAGGGATTTCTGGATGTTCTCTCTGGCTCTCGCAATGTCACGGAGGATCACGCTGGCGCCGTTCTCCTGCAGACAGTGCAGAAAGAACCAGTCTTTTTTTTATTATTAAAAAAGAATTTAATTAAAAAACAAACCAAAAAACCCCATGAACCCTCACATAGAGACAGCAAGAAAGTACTGCACAGAACGAGAGCTTGGCGGGCCAGAAAAGCGGGAGATGCCTGAGGCTGTGACGACAGGCAAAGGCGCCCATGTCTGCGGGGGAAGGAGTGCCAGGCCTGGCCCCACACCAAGTGCACAGGCGCCGGCAGGAGGGCCCTGAGCAGACCCGGCCCGGGGGCCCGGCCAAGGCCGCCTGCCCCGAGACCCCACTCCCAGCACCCACAGCAGAGCCACTGGGCCAGGGTGCCTCTGCCTTCCTGGCCTGGCTGAATCCGCTTTGTGTGCCCCGGCCACTCCTGTCGGGCAGCAGAGCCGCCCAGCCGCCCCACGTGCAGCTCTCACCTGGCGGGAGGCACCTGCCACAGGCCCGTTCATCTGCTCGTAGAATCTCCTTTCTGCGTCGTCATATTTGAACTTGTCGAACCAGATCTTCTCATGTGCTAGGAAGTTTGTAGCCATTTTTCTGCTGGGAGGGGAAAGAGGCAAAGTCAGCATGGCTGGGAAGTGGGCCTCGGCATCAGGACAGCCCAGAAGCACCAAGGTGCAGTGGGGCTGACACCCGCTTCAGACACCAGCGGTTCTCCACAAAGCGACACCAAGCCCGTAAGCCCTCACCCCACATGGCATCCCCAGGCCTGTCTTCCAGACGAGGAGTTCTCAAAGTGTGGTCCGAGAACCTCTGAGGGTCCCCAGGCCCTTCCCTTTCACTCACACGAAGCTGGGTTTATGTCAAACAGCTGAAGTGCGGAGGCAGGTATGAGGGCCCAGCTGCCTCCCACTAAGCCAGACACCCGAGAGATTTGCAAAAACCTCAAGCAAGGCCATTCTGCTCACTGAATTTTTTGGTTATGGGAAAAGTATTTCTCATAAAAAAAAAAGATGTTAGTAATATGTAACAAGTTTCTTCAACAAATAAGTACACTTAGCATTTCTGAGTTTTTTTGTTATTTTTTTTTTGTGTGAGATGGAGTCTCACTCTTGTCGCCCAGGCTGGAATCAGCGGCGCGATCTCGGCTCACCGCAACGTCCGCCTCCTGGGTTCAAGCGATTTTCCTGCCTCAGCCTCCCGAGTAACTGGGACTACCAGTGCACACCACTGTGCCTGGCTAATTTTTTGTATTTTTAGTAGACAAGGTTTCACCATGTTGGCCAGGCTGGTCTTGAACTCCTGATCTCAGGTGATCCACCCGCCTCGGCCTCCCAAAGTGCTGGGATTACAGGCGTGAGCCACCGTGCCCGGCCCATTTCTCAGTTTTAATTGCTAATGTGGTAAAAATCAATAGATACAATGAAAGCTCTTTGGGGTCCTGAGAGCAAGAAGGTTGAGAATTGCTGCCCTAGACAGGGACCATGGCCCGCAGGCAAATCCAGCCTGTGGTTTTACTGGCACAAAGCCCCACCTCGTGCCACTCCCACTGGCCAGCAGCAGAGGAGCTGGGCAGATGACTCTGTGGCCGGGGCCCAGACCCTCTGGTTCTTTATGGAGTTTGCCGCCCCCCACCCTGGACTGGCCAAGACCCTCTTACTGTCCAACCAAGCACAACAGAACTGTCCCCCTCCTGCCCTGCCGCCAGTCTGTGTGTGGACTCCGGACCATCGCTGGACCTTGCCAAGTGTCCTCTCGGTAACAAAGGGCTGGAGTCTGTGAGCGTCCTCTGCGTCCCTGACCCAGGACACTCTCTCGGCAAGGAGGGACCAGGCCACCGTGAACACCAGGGCAGGTGGAAGGGCAGGAGGTAGCATTCCCCTATGGGGTCCTGCCCTCAGGTTATCTTGTTAACCAGCAAATCCAGACCCCTAGGGGTCCAAGGTTGGAACCACTTCCTTGGGGGCCTCAGCAGCTGCTTGGGACCTTCAGAGTCCTTCCCTGACTCAGCCCGCCCCACCACCAGGACACCCTCGCCAACAGGCCAGCCTCGCCACTTCCATGCCCTCTGTATTCCCCTCCAAGTCCAATCGTCCACCCACCTGCCTGGCCCCAGAGACCGCTGCTGGGGTTGCACCTGCACCCTGGAGCAAGCCCACAGCACCCAGAGGGAGGTCACACAGACGGGGCACCCTGGGATGGAGGCCACCTGACCAGCCACATGCCCATGCATCTGAGACGCCACCACCTTCCCTCAGAGGTGGTTTCAGGTGACAAGGAAAGCTGGGGGTGCACAGGATGGACAGGCAGGGACACACTGGCTCCCACATCTCATCGCAGGGGAGCGCTAGGGCCAGAAACCAGCTTCAATGCTTCCCGCCCCTATAAGTAGCCTTATCTTCTCAGCCCTGGCATGTGACAGCCACAGGGGACTTGGGGAGCTTCCCAGCCAAAGAGGGACCCTGGGCAAGGCAGAGATTCTGCCCTGTGCTGAGCCCTTCCCTGCCCTCATCCAGGCAGCCTGGAACTTTGTAACCTCAAGCAGTGTCCCTGGAACCCACAAGCGCAGCACCACCTTTACTCAGCCTGCTCCTGCATTCAACTCTGCTGGGCCCACGGGTCTCGGGGAGCCCCCACCCCAGGTGGGCAGGGGAGGAAGCTGGAGGAGCCCCAGCCTGGGATGGCTGTCCCTGTGCCCACAGCCCAGGCTGGGTGCCCACCCAGCACGTTTCTCCTACTTGGGTCTCAGGCTGGACACGGACAGGCCAGACCGAGGACCGGGTCGGTGAGACAGGGAGGCAGCTTCGAGGCACCAGGCCACCCGCAGGGCCTCGGCAGCGTGGTGGCGGCACTCGGCGCTGTCGTAGGCAGGCTTGCTGAGCCAGGGGGCCTCTGCATCCTTCTGCAGGAAGTAACAGTAGGGCAAGGCAGAGGGGGCCTCCCCATCGGCCCGTCGCAGCCCGGCCCGCTTGTTCCCTAAGATGTTGCGGCCCCGCCGGTCTCTGCGGCCCCGCCGGGCACCCTCGGCCAGGCCGGCTCGCTCTTGCAGGCGCACCTTCCCTGGGGGATGGCCGTCAAACAGGGCCTCGTAGAAGCCCCTCTCGGCTGCATCATACCGGGGCTTCTCCAGCCACACCTCCCGAACCAGTGCCTGCAGGCTGCCCAGCGGGGGCTGGCCATTGACCGGTGGGCTGGGCTGGTGGGCCAGGTCGGGGACGGCCACCTGCTGGCCTGTGTTGGGAGTCCCCTGCCTGCGGCTGCCGTCGGGGGCCAGCAACAGGGCCTGAGACCACTCCACGAAGGCCCGCTCAGCCTGGTCGAAGGAGGACTTGTTGACCCAGATCCCCCAGGTCACGTGGTGGCAGGCCACCTGGTTTCCATGGGTGCAGAGACCCCAAGGGGCCAAGGCAGGAGGCCAGGCTGCCTGGGCAGCCACATCTGCCAGCTTCTGGCGGTAGGAGCTCTCTGCCTGGTCGAAAAGTGACTTGTCCAGCCACACGCGTTCGGCCGAGAGGCCCAGGAGGGCCAGGTCCGCGGGGCCGAGCCCGCTCTTGGGGGAGCGCTTCCTCTTTTTCTGCAGGGGCTTCCTGCTGTCCTGGCTCTTCCTGGGATCACGCCTGCTGCCGCCGTCAGGGGCTTCCGCCTCATCAGCGTCCTCAGGGTCGTCCTGGCCGGGCCCATTCATGGCTGGCCCCTCGGCTGGCAGCTGCTGGGCGGAGGCGGCCGCCTGTGTGGCCTCGTGTTCGTAGAAGCGCCGCTCGGCCTCCTCATACTTGTGCTTGTCTTCCCACACGGTCTCCAGGGTGCAGGAGGCCTTCCCGCTCCTCATCTTCCGGACACAGCGATAAAAAGCAAGCAGAGGGCAGAGTTGCAACACAGCGGGTGGCCGCAGCCCCGTGCCCACCCTCCCCGTGCCCGCCCTCCCCGTGGCTGCCCTCCCTGGGCAGGGGCTGAGGATGCTCCCCAGTGGGGCTTCCATGAGATGACATTCGAGGACTTCGAAGTCAAGCCCATGTGGGGACGTTTTGTTGTGAAGAGAAAACAGGCCGGGCGCAGTGGCTCATGCCTGTAATCTCAGTACTCTGGGAGGCCAAGTGCCTCCCAATACATGAACAATATATAATTTTGTTAGTGAATGTATGGCCCATGAAGTATCTGAGACATACTTACACTAAAAATTTTTCGTCATTTATCTGAAATAAGCTTTAACTGGCTAACTAGCTTTCCCTGCATTTTTCCACAGGCCAGGCCTGGCCACCCCACCATGGTGGCTGGTGTTCCCATTCTACAGAACGGTCTCTGTGGCTGTCCTGGCCACACCACTGCCACACCCAGAGCACCCTCAAAGTTCTTACAAAAGAAGGAGCCTCGGCCAGGCACGGTGGCTCACACCTGTAATCCCAACACTTTGGGAGGCCGAGGCGGGCGGATCACAGGGTCTGGAGACTGAGACCATCCTGGCTAACACGTTGAAACCCTGTCTCTACTAAAAATAAAAATAAAAATTAGCCGGGCGTGGTGGCAGGCGCCTGTAGTCCCAGCTCCTAGGGAGGCTGAGGCAGGAGAATGGCGTGAAGCCGGGAGGCGGAGCTTGCAGTGAACCGAGATGGCGCCACTGCACTCCAGCCTGGACAACAGAGCAGGGGAAAAGAAAAAAAAAGAGGGAGCTTCTTTGTGGGCCTGACTGTCCTCCCCAGGAGGGGGCCAGGTGGCCGGGCAGAGGGTGGAGTGCCCACTCATGAAGGAGACGCCAGGGAGGATGCTGGTGACCACTGTGTAGAAAGGAGGGGCCAAGCGCCTGGAGCACTGAGACGGCTCTAGGCTCTCTATCAGCTGCCCCCGCCTCCCAGCTGGAGTCCATACCTTTGGGTCCATCCAAGCTAAAGGGGAATCATGGGGCTCTCACAGTCCCAGGACATCAGGGCCCCCTCTAAGGTTTTGCTTCTGTGTAATGTTAAGAGGGACCATCTTGGTGGGAGGCAGGTTGTGAGGCTCCACTCCCCACTTGCTACTGTGGCCTGGGAGCCTCAGCCTCCTCCCTGGATGAGGTGTTCCCTCAAGCTCTGGGCGACCTCAGTCACCTGCTGCCCCAGTGCTCCAGCAGCCATGTGGGATCCTGCCGGGGGCACGCTCTGCTCCCAGGTGTCCAGTGTGGTGTTACAGAAAGGACAGGCCCAGAAGGCCAGGGGCAAATCTGCTCTTGGGATGCAGGTCAGCACCCCAGCCCGCGCTCAGCCTGCGATAGCTTCCTCCCCAGCCATGCCCGACTCCAGGCTCTGCTCCCCAAAAGCAGAAACGCCTGGGCCTAACCAACGCCTAGGAGCACCCTCAAGAGGGGGCTGTGCAGCTGCCCCTCACAGACACCGCTGCTAGTCTGCTGCCTCCGCAGGTGTGTCTAGTGGAGCCTGAGGGCAGACAGACCCAGTGGCCCCAGGGCACCGTGACTGGGACCACCTGCCTGGTCTGCACCCAGAGGGAGGCAGCCTTCGGTCAAGAGCAGACCCTTCACACCAGTGGCTATGGGTCTTCGCCCCTCTTCTAACATCCTTACCCAACAAAACCAAGGCTGGCTCCAACGCCCCCCGTGGGGTGCTGAGCTGTCTACGCTCCACCCAGGCAGGGAGGACTTTTGGGAAGGCACCCCTGGCACTGCACTCTGCAGCCTCTAAGTGGAACATGGAGTTCTTTGCGGGCATGTGGCCCGAATCCCGCAGTCCCAGCAACAAGTTCTAATGGCACCAACGAGGAACCGGGGCCCATGGGAGGCCACAGGGCCCATGAAGACGCTCCCTAGGCTCCCCTGCTCATTCCTTCCCCAGGCTGGGGCAGCACTTACCAAGGCCAGGCTGATGGGCAGAGGCAGGGGTTGTGGGTTGGGGGTGGGGTGGGAGCAAGAGCCCAGGAGACAGGGCATTGTGACATCGTGCGGTGGTACCCCCACCAGTCTCTCTGCTCCCATGGAGCCGTGCAGGTCCCATCAGCAGTGCCACTGAGCTGGCCCCCAGTGTTGATGCCCTACCAGACTTTATTGGCCAAAGTGGCCTCAGACTATGTTCTTGGGGGCTCCGGGCAGAAGCCGCCGCTCAGGGAGGGGAAGCCACTTCAAGGCTCCTACCGAGACCTGGCACTGCCACCTGTTCCCTGCAGGGAGCCGCATGTCAGCTGCTGACCCGCCAGCCCAGGACAGGACCCTGCTCACGGCCACACAGGGTGCCCACCTGCTGCTGCCCCATCCAGAAAACCCAATTCCTCCACTTTCCAGATGGGAAACTGAGGCCCTCTGGGCAGACTGGGCCATGCGCAGGTGGTGCTGGGTTCCCTCAGGTGCAGCGAGGGCTGGGGGTTCCCCGGTCAAATGAAGGGGAATGGGGCATGAGGACAGGCGAGTACTTACTTTGCTTTGGCCTCCTAGGACAGCATGAAGGAAAAGCAGCAAGGTTAGAGGCAGCCAGAAAGACTAACCGGGTCAGACACAGCAGCAGGTCAGCCCGGGGCGGCCGGGGGCCTTTCCAGAAGCTGCTTGGCGAGGTGGTGTGGAGGTGACACTGGTGGAGATGGAAGCTGAGCGCCAGACAGACCCGCCGCCACCACAATCCCAGGTGGCAGCTGAGTCCACACAGGTGACGTCACTCCGTCATCCCCTGAAAGGGGAGCTCTTGGGATTACTGTCAGTTGGAGCCTAGGCAGGCCCTGGGGGACAAGCAGGGACCACTATCTGAGCCAACCTTTCCCAAATCCACCCACCCTGTCGTCACCTGAGCAAGGTAGCCTGAGACAAGATAAGCCAGCGCCCACAAGCATCCCCTGGAGCTGCCAAGGAGCTCCCCCAAGCCCCTCACCTGCACTGCCCCTGTGTCCGGTCTGCTGAAGGAGGCCCGGAAGATGACAAGGACCCTCAAGGGGGAGGCAGCCCAGGGCTCACATTAATACAGGGCCTCTCTCTCAGCAGGAGCCACCGTCAAGACAGGGCTGGCACCCAAGGGCCCCAGCACAAGCTACAAAGGCCTCCCAGACTGACTCTCCCACAATGTGCACACAAGGACAGGACCTCCACCCAGTTCACTCCTCGGCTGGAGACACTAGGTGTCCTGCCCCTAATCTCACCAGAGCCACCTCATAAACCCTGCAAGCTCTGCGAAGGGCAGCTGGGCACAGCTGAAAGCCCAGCCACCAGCCCATGTCCTGGGTGGGACTGGGCAGGAGGGGCCACCTCCTACTGCTGATCAACCCGAGAGCCCTGGCTGGGATCCGTCTTCCTTCACCAACGGGAGCTCCGGCCCCAGGGCCCTGCCCACCTCTGTGCACCCCACACTGCAGCAGGGAGCACCCTGCAGGGAGGAACTGGGCACCCTGCAGGGGTCTGGTGGAGACGAGGATGCTACGGAGGCAGCTGCCCCATGGGACCAGTAAGAGGGATCTTGGGTGGGCTTCCCTGCAGAGAGGAAGCCCTCAGGAGACACCACAGTAAGCCATGCTGGAGACCTGGAGGCCAGGCCCGTCACCTGGGGAGCTGGCCACTAACAGCGGGCAGAGAGCCTCCCAGGACAGCCAGCACAGCCCCCCACACGTCCGAGCCCACCTCCTCATTTCCCCGCTTCCCGCATTCCCAAGCATGGGAGGACCTGCCGGACGCAGCGCACCATCTCTCCTAACAGAGACCAAGTCTGAGCTTCAAAGCTTGCGCAGACGACAGGCACGTGCAAGCCTCTCCTCTCCAGCAGGAGAGCCCGGAGCAGGACACAGCGACTCTTTCAACTGCGTCCCGACAAACGGTCAGCCCCTTCGCTCCTGCAGTTTATCCAAGCTCAGGAGGAGCTTTCTAAAGAGAACACAGGGAGACAGCTGGCTGCCAGAGAAGCAGTCTTGGAAACGCCAGAGCCAGGCCCCAGGGGGAAGTGGCCAAAGTGTCCCTACTCTGCTCCTGGAAGCAGGCCAGGCTCACCACCAAGGCTCTTCCCTGAGGGGTAGACAGTGTCTGCCAAGCACCTGAGCCTCTGGCAGCTGCCCAGAGTTTGAGAGTGCCCTGGGGTCCTGGCTCTGGAAGGCTCCACCCAGCTAACAGGGCCTGTGACACAGGTGGCAGCCAGCAAGACCCACTGCAGCGGCATGGCCCTCACAGCCTCCCCTGTCCCTGTCCTGGGAGCAGCCCCGGCAGACTCCTACCCAGAACACTCCAGGTCAGGAGGGCAGGGCCCTGAGGAAGGTGAGGACATCCTGGAGAGCTGTGGCCACCAAGGTGCTGCACGGCCTGGAGGTCTCCACACATCTGGGCAAACGGAAGCTTTCTGGGAGGAGCTGGCTCCCAGGCCCTGCCCTCCACGCCACCCCATCACAGTCGCACACACAGACAGGCTCCCAGATTGTCCACCCTCCACAGGGAGAAGTCAGGGAGGTGGGCAGGGGACGGGGTCAGCCACCGGCTCAGCCTGTGCACGCCCACCCCTCCCAGCAGCACCCCTCTCCGGCCCACCTGGCTGGCCTGAGTCTGTGGACTGGCACTGCCTGATAGAACTTTCAGTACCTTCAGTGCCCAAAGGGCGCGACGACTAGCCCTTAAAAGAGGCTGGAGCCCCTGAGGAAGCGGGTCTTTAGGCAAAACCACCGCACGGCAGAGCAGCCACAGGACAGATCAATGTCTTCCTGCGTGGAGTGAGGCCTTCGGTCTTTTTTTGAGACGGAGTCTCACTCTGTCACCCAGGCTGGAGTGCAGTGGCGCGATCTTGGCTCACTGCAACCTCCAACTCCCCGGTTCAAGCGATTCTCCTGCCTCAGCCTCCCAAGTAGCTGGGACTACAGGCATGCGCAACCACGGCCAGCTAATTTTTGGGTTTTTTTTGAGACGGAGCCTCACTCTGTCACCAGGCTGGAGTGCAGTGGTACGATCTCAGCTCACTGCAACTTCCACCTCCCGGGTCCAAGCAATTCTCCTACCTCAGCCTCCCAAGTAGCTGGGATTACAGGCGTGTGCCACCACACCTGGCTATTTTTTCATATTTTTAGTAGAGATGGGGTTTCACCATGTTTGCCAGGCTGGTCTCGAACTCCTGACCTCAGGTGATCTGCCTGCCTTGGCCTCCCACAGTGCTGGGATTACAGACATGAGCCATGCGCCCAGCCTAATTTTCGTATTTTTAGTAGAGACGGGGTTTCACCATGTTGGCCAGGATGGTCTCGATATCCTGACCTCATGATCTGCCTGCCTCGGCCTCCCAAAGTGCTGGGATCACCAGCATGAGCCACCACGCCCAGCCGCCTTTGGTCTTTTTAAGAGAAAAAACTCCACAGTTCCACATTCCCACTCAGCCACTTTCCTGTCTGACCCCTGGATATTCCAGCCCCACTGGGAAACGCCAGCCTGTCCTGCATATCTCAGAGCACTCACTGTAGCTACCCAACCCACCCTGCCCCAGGCCAAGCCCCGCCCCAACCACGTCTTTTCTTAAATGCCACTGCAGGCCAGCTCCATGGCCAGCCCTGCTTGAGGGGCTCTGGCCGACCTGCCTGCCCGGCGCAGCCCCTGTGCCTCCTGGGTGACTCCAGCACGGCACAGGCTTTCTGGAACCCCAGACAATACCCACGCCACACCTCACACGGCACCCTTGGCTGTCAGCGAGGTGGGAGAGCTGGAGACCTGTGGCAGGCTCCTACACCAGCACTTAGCATAACTCACTGCCACCAGCTTCCAACACGCTGATGTCACCTTAACACACTGGCACAGGATGATGACCCACAAATCCTCAATGCCACATTTCCTGTCCTCAGCCCCCAGAAGGCTGACGCCAGTGCACGGCACAGCCCAGGTACTCTTTGTCCATCATCAAGCACGTGTGCCCACCTGTGCTAAACCTTGCAGCCTCACCCAGCAACCCGGGAGCAAAGCCCAGAGGGCCTAGTCCTCCAGAGGAGGCGGGAGGCAGCGGGGGCTCTGTCGGCTGGGCGCTCACTCTGCCAGCACTGACTGCGTGTGAACCCTGCAGCAGCCCAGGGGAGATGCTGCTGTCTCACAGGATTGGCACTGCGCCCAGAAAGCCTCTACAGAGGCAGGTCTAGGAGCCTGGCTGGGCCTGAGGCATGTGGTGAGAAGGCGAAGGTGAGCGTCTACTTCCTCAGAGGACGCTCGGGGGCTCCTTCCACACCTGCCCAGCCCCTCAGCTGCATCCCCCACCCCCAGAACGGGGCTGGGCACACACGGGCTCCGGAAGTAACCAACTGCCTGCGAGCCAGCTGCTTAAGGCTCATGGGGTCCAGATGACGGGGTGGGCGGAGCTGTAGAAGGAGGCTGCTCAGGTGAGATGGCCTGGCCTGCCTCCCTGGGAGGTGAGCCGCAGGCAGTGTCAACTTAAGAAGCACCCCGCCCTGTCGGGCAGGGACAACCCCAAGTTTAGCTACACAGTTCTTCTGCTGCCAGGCGGTCCTTCATTCTGGAAACCAATCCTGACGTCTCATCAGGTCCCCAACCCACTCCGCCCCCTTTGCCTTCTTCCTTCCACTTAAAGCCTCTGAAAGTACTACTTCTTAGCAACAGCATCCCCGCCCCCTTCAGAGACTGCCCGACCACCCTATCCAAATCAAGAGACAGAAATTTTGACCCAGTCACAGTACAGGCTTATTCCTTTCCGTGCTCACTAGCGTCTAAGTTCCAAAAGTGTTGCGTCCGTGCCTATCCCCTCCGTGCTCAGCTGATGCGTGCAGTAACTGGTGCTTGACAAAGACGTGGTGTACGAAGGTCTGCAGGCCAGAGAAACAGCTGGGGCAGATGTCTGGTCTCCCACGGAGACGGCAGCAAACACAGGCCTTAGGCCCCAGCAGCCTGGCCGAGGGGCTTCCACGACCGGGATGCGCCGTGAGACAGTGCTCCCGGCGCCCCCGTCCCGCGGACGCCCTCCAAGCCGGCCACGTGGCCTCCGTCGCCCCGCCTCTCTGCGCTCGCCCCAAGTGCCGCACTTGGCCCACGGCCCCTAAGCCCGCGCTGGCGCACTTGTGCCTCAGTCCCTAACGGCGCGAGCTTCTGGCGCAGCCCGGGCCGCCCGCCCTCCCGGCCCCTCGGGCGTCTCTGTCGCGCCCGACTCCTTCCGGCGGGGGCCGCGGTACTCACACGCCAGCCAAGGACGCGGCGACCAAGGAGGAGGAATCGGCGGACGCGGGAAGACTGATGAAAGGGAGGGCCGCCCGGGCCGCGCACGGGAAATGAAGCACTGGGCTCTACCAAGAGCCACGGGCCGGGGGCCCGGGGGGGGGACGCGACCCTTGCACACGCCCCGCCTGGCCGCCAGGACCCTCGACGCGCCGTGCCCCGACACTTCAAAGGCAGAATTCCGTTGGAGATGACCGCGGAGGCCGCTCTTCCCCGGAGGAGTCTGCACAAGTGCTGGGAACGGGCGGCAGCGCGCGCGCCCCCCCTGCGCTTCGCGGCCAGTGGTGTCGCCGGTGGGGGCGGGTCCGGCAGCCGGCAAGCGCCGAGTGACGCACGAGGCGGCCAGCGCGCAGGCGCGGGGCGGGGCCGGGCCGGGCTAGGTCAGCGCGCGTGCGCCCGCCAAGCTGCGGGACAAAGGGGAGGGACCCGTGCGGCCCCGCCCCCGAGTGCCCCGCCCCGAGCGGCTGGGCGTGTGGCTCCCGCGACCCGCGCGGCCCGGGTCCCCCCCGCCGCAGCCATGTACCCCGCGGGCCCCCCGGCCGGCCCGGTACCGCGCCGCGGCCGCCGTCCCCTGCCCGGGCCCCCCGCGCCCGCCCCAGCCCCCGTCCCCGCTGCACGGCCGCCGCCCCCCGCGCCCGGGCCGCGGCCCCGCGTGGCCGTGAAGATGGCCTTCCGCAAGGCCTACTCCATCAAGGACAAGCTGCAGGCCATCGAGCGCGTCAAGGGCGGCGAGCGGCAGGCCAGTGTGTGCCGCGACTTCGGCGTGCCGGGCGGGACGCTGCGCGGCTGGCTCAAGGACGAGCCCAAGCTGCGCTGGTTCCTGGAGCAGCTGGGCGGTGAGGTGGGCACTCAGCGCAAGAAGATGCGGCTGGCCAACGAGGAGGAGATCGACCGCGCCGTGTACGCCTGGTTCCTGGCGCTGCGCCAGCACGGGGTGCCGCTGTCTGGCCCGCTCATCCAGGCGCAGGCCGAGGCCTTCGCGCGCCAGATCTACGGGCCCGAGTGCACCTTCAAGGCCAGCCACGGCTGGTTCTGGCGCTGGCAGAAGCGCCACGGCATCTCCAGCCAGCGCTTCTACGGCGAGGCCGGGCCCCCAGCCCCGAGCCCCGCGCCCGGCCCGCCCGTCAAGGAGGAGCCCGCGCTGCCCTCCGGCGCCGGCCCCCTGCCCGACCGCGCCCCGGCCCCGCCGCCCCCGGCCGAGGGCGGCTACGGGGACGAGCAGATTTACAGCGCCAGCGTCACCGGCCTCTACTGGAAGCTGCTTCCGGAGCAGGCTGCGCCCCCGGGCGCAGGGGACCCCGGGGCGGGGGGCTGTGGCCGGCGCTGGCGGGGCGACCGCGTAACGGTGCTGCTGGCCGCAAACCTGACCGGCAGCCACAAGCTGAAGCCGCTGGTCATCGGGCGGCTGCCGGACCCGCCCAGCCTGCGCCACCACAACCAGGACAAGTTCCCGGCCTCCTACCGCTACAGCCCCGACGCCTGGCTCAGCCGCCCGCTGCTGCGGGGCTGGTTCTTTGAGGAATTTGTCCCAGGCGTCAAACGCTACCTGCGCCGAAGCTGCCTGCAGCAGAAGGCCGTGCTGCTGGTGGCCCACCCGCCCTGCCCAAGCCCAGCTGCCAGTATGCCCGCCCTGGACAGCGAGGATGCCCCCGTGCGGTGCAGGCCGGAGCCCCTCGGTCCCCCGGAGGAGCTGCAGACACCGGATGGCGCTGTGCGGGTGCTGTTCCTGTCCAAAGGCAGCAGCCGGGCACATATCCCCGCACCGCTGGAGCAGGGCGTGGTGGCCGCCTTCAAACAGCTGTACAAGCGCGAGCTGCTGCGACTGGCTGTGTCCTGCGCCAGCGGCTCCCCGCTGGACTTCATGCGCAGCTTCATGCTCAAGGACATGCTCTACCTGGCTGGCCTCTCCTGGGACCTGGTGCAGGCGGGCAGCATTGAGCGCTGCTGGCTGCTGGGCCTGCGGGCTGCCTTCGAGCCCCGGCCCGGCGAGGACAGTGCTGGGCAGCCGGCCCAGGCCGAGGAAGCCGCCGAGCACAGCAGGGTGCTCAGCGACCTCACCCACCTGGCGGCTCTGGCCTACAAGTGCCTGGCTCCGGAGGAGGTTGCGGAGTGGCTGCACCTGGACGATGATGGGGGTCCGCCCGAGGGCTGCAGGGAGGAGGTGGGCCCAGCCCTGCCCCCTGCAGCGCCTCCGGCCCCAGCCAGTCTGCCCTCTGCCATGGGGGGCGGAGAGGACGAGGAGGAGGCCACCGACTATGGAGGGACCTCAGTGCCGACTGCCGGGGAGGCCGTGCGGGGGCTAGAAACAGCTCTGCGGTGGCTGGAGAACCAGGACCCCAGAGAGGTGGGGCCACTGAGGCTGGTGCAGTTGCGCTCACTCATCAGCATGGCCCGGAGGCTGGGGGGCATCGGGCATACCCCAGCAGGCCCCTATGACGGTGTGTGACCAGGCCAGCCCAGTGACCTTTCTCCTGCTGCACTTGGAGGGAGGGGACATACACACAGTCTCCCATCTCTCCTCCCCTCCCCCTGGGGTGGCCCACCGCATGGGTACAGGGGGTTCCAGGAATCCAAATCCAGCATGGCTTGGAGGAGCTCTGTTGGTGAGAGGTCGCCCTGCCTCACTGGCACCCTGGGGGCACAGCTGGAAGAGAGGCCTGGCCCATGCTCCTCTCAGGGCAGGCACATGTACGGGGCATACAAGGCACAGCGCCTGTTGGAACAGGTGGCTGTGTTCCTGCTCTGGCCCCCGTGGGGCTGGGCCTCCGCCCCTGCACCAGTCACATGCACTGGACGAGGGCCGAAACTCCTGTCTGCTATCGAGCCCTGGTGCTATGTGGCCCCGGAGCCACAGCACAATCATCTCAGTGGCGAAGCACACCACTTGATTCTATTTTTTTTTAACACATTAAATCTGTTTTTAAAGATACTCTTCAGAGGGGCCGTGAGAACAGGGGCCGGGTGGGCTGGTCTCGGGCCGCCCTGCGGTTTCTCTGGAGGTCAGAGGCCCCAGGTACTGGAGCATCACTGTGGAGTGGGAGGGGTGGAGCCCTGTATTAGGTTCTGGGTGCAGCAGGGAGGTGTAGAGTTCCGTTTCCTTGGATTTTTAGTTTTCCCTAAGAAAACTGAACAGATCTCTTATTCCGTGGGATTGGCAGCTGCCTGGCTTTGGGCCCTGGTGACTTGGCCAACGGCAGGAGAGTTTCCCCTGCTTCCTCATCAGCCACAGACCATTCTGTCCAGTCCCAGGGCCTGGAGCCACCTGACTTACCTGGAAGCAGGCCCTGGCATTAGCCCCCAGGGCAATACGCAGTGCCACCCTCTGTGGGCTCTCCTCCCCACCCTCAGACTTTTCTGCCTCTCCTGGGACTGCCAAGGATGTGGCTGACAAGCTGCTCCTGGGAGGCCTACTTTGAAAGGAGGAAAGGGCCCCAGGGCCTGTCAAACCCTGGTTCTGTTCTGCTCTGGCCAGGTCTAGACCTACAGTCCTTCTGGTTGGACTGGGGCCAGGGATGCCCATGCCTCCTCAGGTAGGGTGGGAACTGCCTTTGCAGAGATGCTGCCCGAGCTGGTGTGAGGGGCAGGGAGCTGGCCTGCTTGCCTCCAGGTGTTGACCCCTCGTCCCCATCTGCCCCCAGTGTCCTCCTAGGAGAGGGAACCTTGAAAACCCAGAGTTGTGGAGTGCAGGGGTAGGCTGGAGGCCTGCACGGGGAAGGGAAGGGCTGTGCACCAGCTTGGCAGTGGGGCAGCTGGAGGGTGTCCCCCAAAAGTGACCTTTATACAGGTCCAGGAACAAACAGTTCCTTGGAACTGCCCGCAAGTGAAGAAATATATACATATATATGTATATATCTATATCTCAAAATCTGAGAGCTCAGGGAGGCCGTGGAAATTTGGGGAAGAAGAAACAGACTCCCTGAGCAGAGCTCAGGGCAGCAGCTCCAGGCATGCCTGCTGAGCCCATCAGGCCACCGCCACCTGCAGGAAGAGCCTCTGGCCTGAACTGCTGGGGATGGGCTGCAGAAAGCCTGAGACATTTGGGCCAGCACCTTCCCAGGGGCACAGGCCCCCAAGGCGGGGACACCACCTCTGCTCTGCCAGGCCTGCCTCCAGGGCTCTGAGGAGAAGCTGACTTCACGGCCGCGGTGCCAGTGAGGGCTGCATAGCCAGGCCTTGTCTGTAGTCTGGGCGGCCCGTGGCGCTGCCCTTCAGCCCAACTACTCATTGCCGCTGCGTCTTTGGCGAGGCTTTCATTTCCAACCTTTCTTCCCATCTCAGCCCTTTTGTTGGCCCGGGTCCCAGGAGGCTGGTGTCGGTGAGGGCAGGCCCGCTCCTCTCATCGGGGTGGCTGTGGCCTGTCCCCCAGTCCCTCAATGGCCACTTTCTATAAACAAGGCAGCACTAATTTTTGCTATAAGATAAAAGAGGCCAGGCACGTTGGCTCACACCTGTCATCCCAGCACTTTGGGAGGCTGAGGCGGGTGGATCACCTGAGATTGGGAGTTCGAGACCAGCCTGGCCAACATGGTGAAAACCCCGTCTCTACTAAAAATACAAAAATTAGCTGGGCGTGGTGGCAGGTGCCTGTAACCCTAGCTACTCAGGAGGCTGAGGCACGAGAAATGCTTGAAGCCAGAAGGCAGAGATTGCAGTGAGCCAAGATCACAACACCGCGCTCCAGTCTGCGCGACAGAGCGAGACTCTGTCTCAAAAAAAAAAAAAAAAAAGTGCAGGTGCACGCTGGTGGGGACATTAGGAGCCTGTCAAGAGTGGGTCTGCCTGCTGGCACTTACTAGACGGGAAATACCCCCTAAAGAGGGCTTAAAAAGCATCTTCTCCCTAGCACGGGGCATGCTGGCACAGGGTGCTGTGTGACAGAGGCTTGGCCGCTGGGCCCCGCTGCTGAGAAGGCTGCTCTGCCCATGCCTGGCCCTGTGGGCAGTGCCAGCCATGGATCCCTGAGACCCTGGGCTGGAACCTGGGGCCCCGTCCCAGCCCTACCTGCAGCTCACTAACCCTCTCTGGGTTCTGCTCAGTGTCTGAAGTGATGGAAAGACCCCAGGGTTGGTGGCTGTAGCGGCCCCCAGGGGTGGCAGAACCCTTTGGGAGGCCAAGTGTTCTTTCCCAAAGCTGCGCGGGTGCCATCGCCTGCCAGGCCCTGGCTGTGGTGACAGACGTGGGCTGGGGTGAGGCTGCATCTGCTTCCTCTAACAGCCGTGGCTGCCTGCGGGCTCTGGCCTCCGCTCTGGCAGATTCTGCACATTCCCTGCAGGCGCAGGGGTGGGTGGGGGTGCCTGTGGCCTCGGAGGTACAGCCAGCTGTCCTCAGCTCAGATGGCCCCCAAGAGCCCCCAGCTCCTGTTCACTGCTCTTCCAGTTAGTGACCCCCGTGTCAGCATCATTGTCAGAGTTCCTGGGCTTGTGGGGGCTGGAGAAGGGAAGGCGCTGAGGAGGGAAAGATGAGTGCAGGTTTTGTTGAAACCACCCGACCCGCGTTTTCAGGGGGACGAGGCCACTGCCTTGGCCCAAGGACCTGCAGGCTTGGGGGACCCCCTCGATGTCCACTGGGCTGCGGATGAAACATCACACTGTGGTAGGAAAGGAAGGGGAGCACCCCCAGACGGGGGGGTCCTGCAGAGACCCCAACCCCTTACCTACCTAGTTGAGACACCCATGGGGAGCAGCCCCAACAGCATGTCGGAGTCCCTAGGCTTGTGGGGTCATGCTCTGTTGAGGGCCCTTCCTCTAACTGGCGAGCTTGTTTACAGCTGAGCTCGCCTGGTCAGATGGGCCCAGTGGCTTTATCTAATAAAGGCTGGACATGTCCACTTCATGAGCATCCCTGTTTTGAAGTCTTATTTTTAAACTCTTGATCCAACGCTTGGATCAGGAATACCCCCTAGATTAACAGTTGGGGCATAGGGCATAAAAGTGGAACATTGATCAAAGATACCGTAATCATATCCATCGTTTTCTGTCTTGAAGAACAGTTTTCACCTGGAAGTAGAAGGCACAGGGGAGGCCTGGCTCACCACAACGCTCCCTGCCGTGCCGAGAACTGAGCCCGTGTCTTTGTCACAGGCCCTCACCAGCTGGGCCAGGAGTGGCTGGCTTGGGATCTCCACCTCCCGAGCTGAGCTCACCTAGTGCCCAGGGCTTGTCAGAGGTCCCAGGGGGAGACAGGTGTTGGTGCAAAGTCAATGATTTCTCCTTGCAGATGGGCTTGGTGTGAATGCAGGTGGCCGTCAGAAGGGCTGTCCACCTTCCTTCAGGGGGCCGCCTGCACCAGACCCCAGGCTCCCAGGCCTGCCCAGGCTTGGCATACAGTCCCCTGGGGTGACAGCGTGCAGGGGAAACTGCAATTCCATGCCCTACAAAGCCCCCAGGTGATGTAGAGGCCTGTAGCAGGCATGGGGAGACCTCTGCTGTCCACAGTGCCAGCACCCCCTTCGGCTGACACCTGTGCTTGACCAAGGTTCCAGGCCTCAACTTATGGGGCAGGCATTGGACCTTCTTTTTTTTTTTTTCCAAGACAGAGTCTTGCTGTCACCCAGGCTGGAGTGCAGTGGCATGATCTTGGCTCTCTGCAATCTCCGCCTCCTGGATTCAAGCAATTCTCCTGCCTCAGCCTCCCAAGTAGCTGGGATTACAGGCACGCACCACCACATCCAGCTAATTTTGTATTTTTAGTAGAGATGGGGTTTCTCCATGTTGGTCAGGTTGGTCTCAAACTCCTGACTTTGTGATCTGCCCGCCTCGGCCTCCCAAAGTGCTGGAATTACAGATGTGAGCCACTGGGCCCAGCCCAGAACTTGGTTTTATCCACCTCTGGTGAAACATGAGCTCACTTGGTGCTCTCTGGCCTCTTTATTCCCATCTCCTTAGGCTGACCCTGACAAGTGCCAGGGCCAGGCTTGGACCAAGCAGTCAACTGAGTCAGCCTGCCCTGGGAACCAGGCAGGGGAGGGAGCTTACGGACGGGCTAGGCTCAGGAGAGTAAGAGAGAGCAGATGAAGGGCAGAAGTCCGTGGCCGCAGAGGCAGCTGAGCATGAGGGATGGAGCGTGCTGCTGTCCTGCAGGTGCCGTTAGCCCTGTTTTGCACTGGTGGATTGATCTGCTCAGGCGCACAGGGAGATGGCACAGCAGGACCCGCCGCCCAGCCTCGCTGAGGGCATGCTCCCGCCTCACCTCCAGAGGCTGTTGGGCGGAAGCCGAGAGCTGCAGCAGTTGGGGCCAGCGTGGGACTGGAGGCCCAGGTGAATCTTGTGGGGCAGGGGACGGAGCTGAGGCTGTCCGGCCCGGGCCCTCCCCACCCAAAGGCCCTAGAACCCTAGCCTTCAATCCTGGGGGTTTGCTTCTCCCCTGAGTCCTGGCTTTCCTGACCTGCCGTCCGTTAGGGACAGGTGGAGGGGCCAAGTCTTGCCATCAGAGGCCAGTGTGGTGGTGCCAGAGCTACGGGGTATTCCAGGACCCCTGACCTAGGCACGGGGCAGGAGGGCCCAGAGCCACCTGGCCACTTGTCAGGAGCTTAGGATTGGGAGGAAAGAGGGAGCCTGTATCCAGACTAAAGCCAGGGGTCTGCATGTGTCCTGGCTGGCCAGGGCCACCCTCCCAGACCTCAAGCCACCCCACCTACCACTGCCCACCTGGTGCCACCCCAGCACTGCCGCAGACCTGGCCCAGCAGCTCCTGCTCCTTAGCAGGGGATGAGCACGCCCACCACAGCCACCCTCTTCTCCAGGCTGCAGGGCAGGCTCCAGCTCCCCATGGGGGCCCCATCAGGCCAGGGCCCCTGGCTTTACTGCAGGGGAGAGGGTCTCTTGTGCAGACCCCATATGGCTCGTGCCCCCTAGAGCTGAGATGAGGCAGCCGGCCTGGCTGTAGCTGCACGGAGCCACCTGGAAAGCCAAAGGCAAGCTCCAGCTCCAGACCAGGCATTGGGCCAGCCGTGCCTGTTACCGTAAGTTCTGTTCATGGCCTCAACCAACTGCCCAACCATGCGGGCAAATGACCAAGACGCCATCTCTTGGGCCCCTCAGAACCAATGTTGCAGCAAGGTGGGCTCACTGCAGCAAGGGGCAGAGCCACCACCACGGTGCCTTCTGCTCACTGGGGAGGGAGGAGTGTCCCCACTGGTCGGGGCTCCCCCGCCTGCTGGAACCTCCCAAGTCCTGCCCCCTGCATTTCCCTGTGCAAGGGGAGAAGGAGCAGTAGGAGACCCTCATGCAGGAGGGAGGGAGCCGCAGTCCTCAGGGGAAGGGACACAGGGAGAGGCAGGGGCACAGAGGCAGGAAAGGATGGCCAGAGCCCAGCCTACTTTCTGCTGAGCTCCTTGGCCCGGCAGGTGGCAGCCTCCACGGCGCTCATGGTGGCTGCTCGCAGCCCGCCCTGCTCCAGGGCGTGGAGTCCATAGATGGTGGTGCCACCCGGGGTGCACACGTCTGAGCGCAGCTGGGCTGGGTGTTGGCCCTCGTGCAGCAGCATCTTGGCCGTCCCCTGAGGAGAGCGTTAGGGCCTGGTGACGGGGGGAGGTGGTGCGGTCCCCACTGTGCGGCCTGCCCTCGTTGCATCCCCCAACCTTGGCCCCAGCTTCTCGAGCCTGCTGTTTCCCTGCGCACTGGAAGAGGTACAGGCCTGGGCCTTCCCGATGTTCCCCAGGGGCCACCCTCACTCACCAGCAGGGTCTGGGCAGCGATGCGGTGGGCCAGGCTGCTGGGCATGCCCATCTTGACGGCTCCTTCAGCCAGGGCCTCGGAGAATGCACACACCTGTAGCCGCGGCATGGTGGTTGGGGGGGATAGGTGTCAAAGCCTGGGGGCTCAGGACCTTCAGGAACAATGCCCAGAGCAGTAGCCGTGGGTGGCCAGAACCAAGGCCTGAGCCCAACGGTCTGCAAAGGGGCTGGCCTCAAAGATCCCCAAGGCAGTGAAGTCCCGGGGACAAGCAGAGCTCCCAGTGGGCCTGGGGAGCAACCACGCAGGCCTCAAGGTTGGACTCTGAGGGCAGAGGCTGTCAGAGGGACTGGGGTGGGCCCCCTCTTTGCCGAGGGTGGGGCCGGGGATGGACGAGGCAATACTCACGAAGGCCACGCCACTGCCACTGAGGCCAGTGTGGATGTCGACGTAGGCTTCAGGCACCTCCTCACACCGCCCACAGGCCTCCAGCAGATGCTGCAGGAGCTTGGTCTCGCTGCTCCCCACGTGGCGGCCCCGCGCCATCACTATGGCCCCTTCCTGGACCACACAGGGCAGGTTGGGCAAGACCCGCAGCACCCGTGTGTTTGGGGGCAGCAGCTGGCCAGAGAGAGGTCAGAATCAGGGAGTCTGTAGGACTGGGCCCTGCTGGGCAGGCCCCAGCAGGGGCCTCAGGAAAGGTCCACGTCAGCTCGCGGTGGGCTCCAGCGTCTGCCTCCCAGGTACAGCACCAGGAGGGAACCCTAAATCCAGCCACTTGATCCAGGTGGGCCACACGGCCACCTCTCAGGCTCTCTGGGGGGCTGCCTGCCGCCCAAGCCTGGCCAGCAGAGCCTATACTGGGACCAAGGCCTTAGCCCAAGGGACACTCACCTCCTCCAGGGTGCTCAGAGACACCCCAGCAGCCACGGACACCAAGATGTGTTCAGTGGTGACCACAGGAGCCACCTCTGCCAGGACAGCTGGCAGCACATGAGGCTTGGTGGCAAAGATGACGAGCAGGCAGCTCTGCAGCACCTCCTGGTTGGAGTGCGTGGTCCGGCAACCCAGAGCCTGCGCCAGGGACACCAGGACCAAGCCTCAGGGGCCATGTAAGCGGCGCACCCTCTCCATCACAGCCCTTCCTGCTGGATGCCACACGTTCCCATGGTCCCAGGGCCTCTCCCATTGCAAGTGTCTAGACCACCCCGACTTCTCCAGTGCCCAAGACTCCCCCAGACTAGCCCTACTCCTCACAGGCCATCCTGATGTCAGCGCCTCCCCAAGCCCTGAGCCCTCCATCCCCAGTGAATGTCTGTGACCACCACCCAGCATGCAAACACACCCATGCACATGCACGCACTCACGAGCATGCATTCATATACACACACGCAGACACATGCACTCACGAGCATACATACACATGTACACATGAATGCACTCATGAGCACAAACACATGCACACACACCCACTCGAGCATGCACTCATGTGTACACGCACGCACTCATACACGCACACACGCACTCATATACACATCTGCACAGGCACACATGCACAAGCACATACGTGCACTCACGACCACACAGGTGCACATGCACTCATGAGCATGCACTCATACACACACGCACACACATGCACTGACATACATGCACTCACCACACGTGCACACGCACACACAAGCGCACGTGCAAACGCACATGAGCACATACATACACACATGCACACGCATAGCCTCACATATACACACGTGCATATACACACACTCACGGACATGCACTCACACATGCATACACACACACACACAAACACTTTGCTTTGGCCCTCCACAACCTTACTTTCCTCCTGGCCTCTAATCTCCCTTTTCCCAGCCCAGACCAGCCAGTCTGCAAACTTCAGCTAAATAAACCACCCATCCCTGGCTCTGATAAGTGTCTTAGTGGGACAGGAGCCAAGAGCTATCCTGGGCTCCTGAGGGTATGAAGAACCTGGGCTCTATGCTCACTTGAAAGTGACATAGGTTCCTGTCTGTTGGTGCACTGGCCAGTATGTGCTGAGCTTCCACTTTTCCTGGAAAGAAAGGAAAAGGAAGAGGGGTTGGTGAAGGGGTGGGATAGGATGGCACGGAGAGGAGAGGGAGCTCACTTGGCCTCTCAGGCTCAGCCACGCCTGGCCCATCCTGGGCCCCCTCCTGGCCCCAGGAACCCAAAGCGGGATGCACCATTCACTGGGCCCAGGCAATCAGATCCACTGATTCTACTTGGCGGTCAACGCCCCTGACTGCTGCTGGGTATGGAGGCCAGGAGCTTACCTCATTGGTGAGGACACAGATCCCTGGGGCCTCTGCCTCCAGGGAAGGGAAGGCTGCCTGGAGCAGAAGAGGCAGTACCTCTGGAGGAACACCAGGCCTTGGGGGAATGTGGTGGGTACAAAGGCAGTTGATTGGCCACAGAAGGCCCAATCGGGGCCCAGGTTCTTCGAGAGGGAGAGTCTATGCTGGAATGTCTAAGAAAAGGCTAAATGCCTACTTGGTAGAAATTATCTGCTTTTGTCGGGTACGGGGTGGAAAGATTGGGTTAGATTTTGGTAAGGTCGAACAGGAAGGCACAAGTGTACACCACAACCTGAACACAGCAATTAATCATGACAGTGGCAGCCAAACACACCAGTACTAAGCTCAACACTAGACATTTATGTCTCATTTAACCTGTACAGCTCTGGGAGGCATGCGGTACTGCCAGGTTTCACAGGGAAGACTCCTGAGACTCATAGTAAGCTATTTCCCGATTGATCTTGACTCTTCTGGACCCTGAAGTATGGCTGAAGGCAGAGAGTCAAAAGTCACCCAGCTCTCCCTATCCACAATCTGCAGAGAGGCTTCTAAATGCCTGGAGGAGTATATGGTCAGCATAAATATTCCGGGTATAAAGCAGTGTTTCTCAACAGGGGATGATTTTGCCTGTCTCCTCCCCCCACCCAGGGGACATTCGGCAGTGTCTGGAGGCATTTTTGGCTGTCACAACGTGGGGGTGCTGCTGGCACAGGATGGATAGTCTGGCCCAGGTGTCCCTAGAGCCAAGGTGTCTGGGGGAGAAGCCCTGCTGCTCCCCATGAGAGGGGCTGGCGCGCAAAGAGAAAATCAGAGGCTGGAAGAGGTGAGCCTGGCCAAGGCCACGCGGCCAGGAAGCCGGCCACGGAAGCGGCACCTAGCCACGTGTGACTCAAATCTTCCCGCAGCCACGTCAAAAAAGTAAGAGCAAACAGGCGTGGCCCCGGCTGCGCCCAGCGGAGCGGAGACCCGGTTGGCTGGGCCCGCGCCCCCGGCCCCACTCTCGCGGCAGGACACCTCCCACGGGGCTGCTCCCACTCCAGACCGCAGGCCTAGCCCCGCGCCGCCCCACCTGCTCTGATGAGGCCCTGCGCGATGGCCCCCGCCATGCGGCCCGCGCCCACGAAGCCCACGCGCCGCGGAGACGGCTCCGCAGCTGCCATCTTGTTGCCTCGGACGCCGCTGCGCTCACCGCCCATCCACAGGCCGCGCCCCGCCCACAGATCTAGGCCCCACCCCCGCCCTCCAATAGGACTCGCCTCCCCGTCCCCACCCTCGCCGATTGGTTACTGGGACGGCACACTCCGGCCGGCTTTTTGTCCGCACTCTACAAGTTCGCAAGGCGCGGGAACCCCGCCTCTCGCTGCTTATTGGCCCGAAAGGGCTATGCCGCCCCTCACTGCCCATTGGCTGAGAGAAACTGGGGGCGGGGCCGTAAGGGGCGGGGCCGGCGGGGTACTCGCGCTCGGAGAGGCCGGAGGAGCGGGGAGGGGTCCCGGTCGCGCGTGCGAGGAGCACATGTTGGTTTTCCGGAGGGGAGGGGTAGCGAAGCGGGTTGCGGGGCTGGTCCAGAGCGTGCGGTCACTGAGGCCCCGCCGACCACAGACGGTGGAGCTGCGGGGAAGCACTAGGGGCGGAGACCCAGGTCACGGAGAGCAGGCCAGGGCCAGGGGCCTGAGACCGACGGAGGGGACAGTCGGGGAGGGGGTACTCGTCACTTTTAATGACACAAGGAAAACAAGGCTTGAAGATCTGAGTGCGGTTTTTTCATCATCCAATCTAAAGCTGCATGTTACATATGTTATTTTCTTTTGAAGCCTTTGACATTTTCTTTTTTCTTTTTTTTGAGACGGAGTCTCGCTCTGTCGCCCAGGCTGGAGTGCAGTGGCGCCATCTGGGCTCGCTGCAAGCTCCGTCTCCCGGGTTCACGCCATTCTCCTGCCTCAGCCTCCCAAGTAGCTGGGACTATAGGCGACCGCCACCACGCCCGGCTTATTTTTTTGTATTTTTAGTAGAGATGGGGTTTCACCTTGTTAGCCAGGATGGTCTCAATCTCCTGACCTCGTGATCCACCTGCCTCGGCCTCCCAAAGTGCTGGGATTACAGGCGTGAGCCACCGTGCCGGCCCAAGCCTTTGACATTTTCTAAGCTCTTCAGTAATGAAATCCTCTCATTGATTCAACATTCACTGTGCAGCTGCAGCCTCTGGGCCCTGCTCTGGGCCTGGGCAAGATCACCCCACGGCAGCAGATGGGACAGGCTGGACCCCACCCTGCAGCCCTGCTTGGTGGCAGTGTAGACAGACTACAGTCAGCACACACGCAGGACAGCCAGTGTGTCAAGGCTCTGAAGCAAATGAGGTGGAAAGGGACAGAAAGCCACCAGGAGGCTGCTTCGGCCACTGCAGCCGAGAAACGTGGGTGGTGGACACTTTGCACCAGCACACAGCGTCAGCAGCTGTATCTCCTGCCACCTCGGATCCTCCCAGCCCCTTCCCACAGACTCCCTGGATTTTCTCCCAGGCCCCCTGGGCCAGTGATGGCTCAGGACCAAGGCTGTGGGGAGGTGAGAGGGGCCAGAGGCATCCAGTGCCATGCCATCATACATAAGGACAAAGCTCATCATAAACAAGTGGACTGAGGCGAGGTGAAGGAGGATTGCTGGCTGAGTGCCCAGGGCCACAGTGGGTAAAAGGAGGCCCAGGGGCCCAGCCCCGTTCAGCTTCTCCGTCCCATGCCGGGCTGGGCTTCTGAGCATCAGCTGGGAGCCCTCAGCTGACGTGGACACCCAGCCAGCCAAGGCTTGTGTCCAGGGCACCTCTCTGCTCTTGGCTGGGCTTCTTCCCACTGTTCACCTGGTGGATCCAAGCAGCCACATAGGCGCCACCCTCTCCAGGAGGCCTTTCCTGAACCCCCACATGGGCAGAGCCTTTATCCACAAAGGGCTGGGGCCAGGGGATACACTGTGAACGAGGCCAACCCGTCTCCTGGAGCTCGAGGTCCTGGGGTGTCAGCGGGAGGGTTAGGGGTTGAGGCGGGGCTCCCAGAGGTTTCCAGACAAACAATCCCAGCAGGGCAGGGTGGATGCTCCGAGAGGCGCTGTGAAGGTGCCATCAGGGAAGGTGTTTTGGAGGCTGGGCCACCTCAGCTGAGGCCTAAAAGGTAGGGAGGCCTTGACCCAAGAGGGGGCCAGTCTCAGGGGAGGCCTGGAGGACACCTCGGCTTGCTGGACACAAAGGGACAGTGAGAGATGAGGTGAGCGGTTGGCTGGGTGCAGGACACACCGGTCTGGACTCAGTGCCGGGACAGGGAGGACACATCACCGCTGCCGGAATGAACGAAGAAGTGAAGCAGCAGGTCCTACCTGCAGCCAAAAGGCATCATGTGCGTGAAGACGGCACAGGGCGCCCAGGAGAGGGACCCTGAGGACGTGGGCCCAGAGTTGGGCCAGGAGCCAGGGAGGGCATCTGGGTCCTGGATGCAGTGGACCAGAGGGTTCTGGCATAGGGGCTTCCTCTGTGCGAGGCACTGAGAAAGGGGGCGACGGGCAAGCCGGGGCCTGGAGCCCAGTGCTCCTGGTCCATACCCCAGCGCCACCCTGCCTGGCTGAGGCACTGGCCCGGGAACCATTCTGGACTTTGCTGTCTCCCCTCTGAGAATGGACGGGGGCGGCGAGCAATGACACCCCACCTCTGGTGGCTGGAGCTGACCTGTCCAGCAGGCACCTGTCCCTCTCCATGGGATAAGGCCAGGTGGGGGACCCACGCCCAAGCCTGAGAGCCACAGAGAGGAGGGGCCAGGCCAGGGGAAGCCCGAGCCACCCAATCATCAGCCTCCCCTCATATCCATCCATGGGCTCAGCTCGGCTGGCTCACTAGACGTTTCTGGCCCACTAGACCAGCTTCCCCAGAGCCCTCAGGCTGAGGCAGGGAGGTCCGGGTGAGCTCAAGTTACTCAGGCCTGCAGGTGGCCACATGTGGAGGGGCTGGGACTGGCCCTGCCCTGCACATCCTTGTCCAGCTGACAGTCCACACCAGTCTCACTGCTGCCTGCCTGCTGCCTGCCCACGTGTGCCTTCCCATCTCCAGCCTCTGCGGCCTTTCCACCCCAGGGAGTCACCAGCTCTTGGGGGCTGAACAGTAAGCCAGGGGGATAGTGGGTCCTGGGACTGGCCAGGCTAGGGGGCAGTCCCTGGGTGTGGGGGACGGCTCAGCACAGAGCTGCCAAGGCCAGGCCTGTGAAAATGCACTTTATTGGCTCCCAGGGAGTGGGATGCAGGATCAGAGTGGACACGCGCAGGGGGCTGGTGTGGGGAGCAAAGCGCCGGGCCTGCCCGGGACCCTGGTTTCCCTGAGGACCAACGTGAATGGGGGCCCCACTGGAAAGATGCTTGGGGCTGCAGAGCGGATGGAATGCAGGCCCAGGTTGCTGGGTGGTGCCCTCAGCTCCTGGCAGGGTTGACGGGTGGTGGCCGCTGGGCTCTGCCAGCCGATGGTCCGCTGGCACCTGATCCTGTCTTCCAGCTTCACTTCCGGGCCTGCTCGTAGTTGTCAGTGAACCAAGCACAGGTCTCCTTCACCGCTGCAGAGGCAGGCAGGTGAGGGCCATGGACAGGGAGGGTTGGGGCCGCATGGGAGGAAGTGGGGGGAGGAGGCCCAGGGACAGGGAAGTCACCCCTCAGAGCTTTGGTGTCCCACCTCCAGGGCAGTACAGGCTCTGAGGGGGCACCTCACCTCTGCCCTGGTAGCGAGCATGAGGGAGGGGCTGGGGCAGGCCTCCACCAAGTGGAGGGCTGTGGGGTCAGGGCTCACCCTGCTTGAAGGGTGTGAACCGGAAGTCGGGCAGGTAGGTCCTCAGCTTGCTGTTACTGGCTGTCTTCTTAAACTGCCCATCCGACTTGGTTGTATCAAACTGGAGGCTTTGTCAAGGCCACAGCGAGAAGAGAACCTCCACCCCAGCCCCCGCAGCTTGCCCTTGAACCTCTGCCATTCCCAGGGGAGCCACAGCAGAGCTCCTCCGCCTGCCAGGGTGAGCATCCTCCCTCCGCAGTGTCCCACCCACGCTGGCCCTACACCGGGTGGCCACTGAGCCCGCCCAAGGGGCCCCCGCCCAACCCCCAGCACTGGAGCCAGAGGATACGGTGACTTCCCCATGGAAGTCCATGGCCTCCACCACCGCCTCGGCTGCCTCCTTGATGGAGACCTCATCTTCCTCGCCCACTGTGGGGAGCCACCGGGTCAGGCCTCCCCTTGGTGCCACCCGACGGCCCATGAATATTCCTGCTCCCACCCCTCAGCCAGCCTCCCAGGACAGCCTTGGATCCTGTCCTACCATGGAGGAAGGGGGCTGAGGGCTGAGGTACCCACCGGAGAGGATGATGGGCTCCACTTCATTGTACTCCCGCAGGACCCAGATAAAGAGCTGGGCCAGGTCCTAGAGGTCAGACAGGCAGGGTCAGAGACCATGGGTATAGCCAACCCTCTCCCAAACGCCCCTGCTGGGGAGTCCATACTGCTGTCCTTGTTCAGTGGGGGCTCAGCCTGGGGAACAGGGGTCCCTCCTTTCTCCCTTGGAGCTCAGAGCTACGCCAGTGACTCCTGGAGACAGGAGCCTATGGGGCCTCCACGAGGACCAGAGATGGCTCCTCTCGGAGCTCAGCCCAGATTCTCTGCTGGTAGGAGCCTCCCTCCTGCACCACCTCCCCGACAGCCCAGCAGGGGCCAGCCCAGGGCTCAATAGGGCAGGTTCTCTGGGGAGAGCTGTGCCTTCCTTTACGCACCAGCGAGTATATGAACTGCCTCCGCGGATTCCCTGTACCCCACACCGTCAGGGCCGAGCCGCTGCCTGCAGATTTGGGGAAGGAGCAGGTGTCAGAGGCACTGGGTCACCTCCTCCCGAGCTGAGCCCGGGCACCCCATCGGACGGACGCACTCACTCTTGGCCAGGTGCACCTTGTGGATGAGGCCAGGCAGCACGTGGCCATCCTCGATGTTGAAGTTGTCGTGGGGCCCGAAGACGTTGGTGGGGATGACAGCGGTGAAGGTGCAGCCGTACTGCTGGAAGTAGGCCCTGCGGAGGCACAGCGTCTCCTGCCCTCGTCCTGGGCCCGCGATCCCACCCCAGGCTGCCGCTGGCCTCTTACTGAGGCTGGCACGAAGACCCGACCAGCCGGCCCCACCCGCCCCTGGGGGCCCTCTCCCCGACTCCTGGCTGGGCCTCAGCAGGATGGGCGCGAGGACCTGTTCTGCACGTCGATCATCCTCTTGGCATACGAGTACCCAAAATTGCTGTTGTGGGGAGGCCCATTGTGGATCTGCGGGCGTGGGAGAGGCAGAGGCCGCTACTTCCTGGCCCTGCCCACCGGCTCCCCGGCCCCACCCACAGCCAGGCCCTGCCCCTCACCATGGTCTCATCTATCGGGTAGGTCGTCTTGTCAGGGAAGATACAGGTGGACAGGCAGGACACCACCTTGCGGGCGCCCACCTCAAAGGCCGAGTGCAGGACGTTGTCGTTCATGTGCACGTTTTTCCTCTGCAGGGGTGAGGCGGGGACAGTTCAGGCTCCCCAGGCCAGATCCCAGCCCTTACCTGCTCCTCCAGACGCAGAAGTGGAGACACACCCTGGCCCTTCAGCCCTGGGAGGACCCAAGCCTGCCCATCCTAACCGTTTCCGGACAAGGCAGTGGGCTTACAGACACCATTGCTCTCCAGCCCCACCAAGGCTGGAGGAGGGGCTGGCTCTGCCTTCCACTATGAGGAGAACCACACCCCCAGCTCAGGGCTGGGCCCCACCCAGGAGGCTGCTGAGGTCAGGGCATAGGACCCCACTGGAGGCTGGGAAGGAGCCCAGTCTGGCCCTGGGCTGGGCTGGGGCTCCCACTACACGGGGAACAGGGCGGTCTACTTCCCCACACTGGAGGAGCTCCCACCTGGCTCTACTTCCCAGGATCAATGGAGCCTGCGCTTGCCGGGTCCACCCCGCGGGCCCCACTTCCCGTGCATGAACTAGACACGGCATGGCTGGAGCCCTGGGACTGGTCTTGGGAGAAGGGAGAGGTGGTGGCCAGGCAGCCTGCTGGGAAGGCCGAGACACCGACAAGGAGGGCTCTGGGGTGACAGGGCTCCTGGGCAGAATCTCCTCTGAGCCTCTGCTCACGCTAGTGCCTCCTACGCTTAGCAAAGCCAGCTAAGGCAAGGCTGCTGCCCAGTGACTGGTGGGGCCAACCCTCCGGAACACAGCTAGCCACGGCAGGGCCCTTACACCACGCCCCCTTCCCCCAGACACAGGCAGCAGATGCACAGAGCGCGGTTCACACCCCTGCACCCCAGAGTGTGTGGTGGGCCCGGCTAAGGGGAGCTGGGCCAGCACAGTCCTGGGAGCCAGAGGCTCCAGAGGCCCTGGGGACTCAGGGGGCAGGAACCAGCTCCCAGTCCCACGTGGCCGCTGGCTCTTTTCAGCCTCCCAATGCTGCAAGTCAGCTCCACAGCTTTGCCTACTGGGCCAAGTGCCTCCAGGCCCCCTGCATGGCCCTCTGTCCACAGCACCAAGTGTGAGTGACTGGGGGTCCCTCAGGGGCTGCCCCCACCAGGCTGTGCCAAGCCCTGATCCTCAGGGACTTCCTGGGGTGGGAATGTGGGCCTGTGAGAGTGGGAAGCCCGCCAGGAAGTTCCCAGAACCTGGGATCCTGGTTTCCAGTGCTTGCTGGGGCCACCCTCACTTACCCAGAAGTCCAAATTGTATTTGATATTCCGGAACAGGCCCCCCACCATTGCAGCAAGATGGATGACGTGTGTGGGTTGGACCTTCTCAAACAGGGCGCGGGTCTGTGCTGTATCCCTGTAGGAAGCCAGGCTGTCAGGAGGCTCTGGAGGGAACCAGCACCCCAGGGTTGGGTGCCAAGTGCAGGAACTGGGTGGGACTATGGCAGGAGGGACAGTCAAAAGGGAGGGTGGCCCCAGGGCCTGGCTGATATGAGGGTGCAGGCTTCCAGGAAGAGATGGGAGGGTGTTTGTTTTTCCAGGAACACAGCCAAGCACACCCAGGCCAGGCCAGCCACCTGGCAGGAAGGACCCAGAAACACAGCTACTGTTAGACTCAGCAACATGCCCAGCCTGGAACTCTTAGTTCTAGGGTGGGGGGTAGGATGGAGAGGAAGGGCTGATCTGGGGATGGGCTCACTCACGTGAGATCGGCGTCTTTAGAGGAGACAAACACCCAGTCCTCTCCAGGAAGTCCAGCTCCATCTGCTACCACCTTCTGGATGGCTTTGCCTACCAGCCCAGAGCCCCCTGTCACTAGAATCCGCATGGATCCCTGGGGTTCACCCATGTCAGTTGCACCTGTAATGTCAAACAGTGGGAGGCTGAGGTCATCACGCTCTCATCCTTTGGAGCCCCACTCTTCTGTGGCAACTGGCACAGAGTGAGGCCCTCAGAGTGGGGCATAGTCCACTGGCAACCAGAAAGACCCAGCTGGACCGAGGCACTCCCTCGTCGCAGCCCTGTTCCCCTGGGAGCTCTCAGCCTACAGCGCCGCAGGGGTCCTGAGCTACCACCCAGCCCAGAGCAGCTGGTCCCAACCCACGACTCCCCACTAGGCCGAGAAAAGGTACATTCTACTCCCCTCTGACTGACAAGAGGGGAGGCAGACAACCTTGGGACGGGGGCTCCTGGCACAGGTCGTTAACACGGTTCGCAGCTAAAGCCCGCATGCTAGGGACAGGCACGAGACGGCGCCTGTGTGCAGCCCACGCCCACTCGAGGCTGGCTGGTCCTGGAGAGCCCTGGCGAGCCAGATTCCTCCAGGGCAGGACAGGCCTCGGGGCGCAGCCACCCTCAAGGATCCCATCCTGGGAGCCGGAAACCTGCTCCGGCTCCCCCGGCAGGGCCCCAGGGCCAGCCCTTAGGGGAGGGGGCCCTGCGCAGGCGTCGCGCGGCTCCCAAGCACGCGGGGAGACCTCACCGCAGCCAGACCCTCTACCACAGCCCCAGGCTGCCCCCATGCCCCTCGATCCCAGACCCCCACAGCGCTCCCTGACTCTCACGGAGCATCCAGGGCCCAGGGCGCGGCTGAGTCCGGTGCCACCTCACCTGCGTCCAGCCCCACCGCCGGCTCCCCGACAGCGGCTTCCGGCCGGGTGCGCTCCGGCTGCCCGCGGAGCCAGGTGGGGGGCGGGGCCGGGAGGCTGGGGCGGGGCACTCTGGGAAATGGAGTCCCGGGGGCGCGCAGCGTCCCGGGCACAGCTGGGACTTGGAGTCCGCGGCCGCAAAGCCGCTTGGGAAGCGCAGTCTCGTCCGCCGGCCGCGCGCGGGCGGGTCCCCGGACGAAGTCCCGGGCCGCAACCTCTTTAGGCCGCGGGGCGCTGGGCCCAGGCCCTGCTTGGGACGGCGGAAGGACACGAGAGGAGGGCCAGCCGGCAGCGCCGCGCGGGATGCCCGCGGCGTCGGAAGGAGCCTCGCCGGCGCTGGGGCCAGGCGGGCTTACGCTGCGGCGTCTCCCTTTGCTCCCCTTCCCTCCCAGGGTTCCGCCCCCGAATACCCAGACCTCGCGCCGCAGCCTCTTGGATTCCGGCCGCGATGAGGAGCCCGGGTTGTCGTCCCAAGCACTTGCACTGTCACCCGCGCCCATGGGTACGCCCAGGCTCGGGCAGCAAGCAGCAAACAACACCAGAGTTACGGCGAATCACGTTGGGTGACTGTGGGTGACAGCGGGTCACGGCGGGTTAAGAAGGATCACATCGGATCACGATGGGTCACGGCGAGTCAAGGAGGGTCGCGGCGGCTCACAGTGGTTCCCACGGTCGCGCTGCGAGCCGCCAGCTGCTCCTGCCCTCAGCTCAGAGCCCAGTCCTGCTGCCTGGGGCGGGAGGGGGTGGCAGCGCGGCCCTGACATCGAGAGGCCACCGTCATCGTCTTCCATCGAAAGGCGTTTAAACTTACATCCCAAAGTGACCTTCTGTTCTTCTTTCACCTTTCTCCCACCTGCCCCACCCTGCGTCACCATGGATGTCAGCTTCCTGCCCACTCCCCACCCTCCTGTGAACCCTCCCTCGGCCTTCAGAGCCAGTCCCTGCCTCTTCCTGGCTCGGTCCAGTCTCACCCCAGGTGCTCTGCTGTGTGGCTGCCATTGCCACCGTCCTCACCCTGTCCTCTGTGGTCACCACGCAGCCAACGTGTCTTTCCAGTGTCATCTGGCTTTTGTTACACTCCTGCTCAGAAGCCAGTGTGGGCTTCCTGTGTGGCTTGGACCGGGACCACACAATCTGCCCCACCCAGTAGTTATCTCGGAAAGACTAATTCCCAAGCTGTCTTCAGCCCTCCATTGTCATCAACTTGTCCCCAGACTCCATTCGCCCAAAGCAGGAAAGCTCTGCTCATGGCCCGAAGACACAGTGGCCTTCCTCAGGGACATTTCCCAGACAGTTTTGTGCTTGCTCCCGTACCAAGACCACCCATGGCCTGTTTTCCTAAACCCCACATCCCAGATAGCTTGAAACTATGTTTTGGGATCTTTTATCAGAATTTCTGCTTTGTCTTCAGAATGGCTCCGTCCCCTCAAATCCCTATAAATTCCCTTTCTGGCTGAATGCAGTTTCTTTGGACAGCTTTCCTTTCTTGAGCTCTGGTTATGGCAACAGCGCCAGCCTCATCTTGCATGGCAGCCTCCCCTCGGGCCTTTTGCCTTCCAGCCACACTCCTTGGTTTTGGCATTGTACTTGCTCTAGGTCAAGGGCTTTGGAGGCAGATGGCTACATCTGAGGCCTCCTCCAGCATGTCCTGGCTGATACCTTAGGTGAGCCATTTGGCTTCCCTATTTCTGTTTCCTCATCTATAAAATGGAGATAATATTAGAAGTCACCTGGCAAGGCTGCTGTGGCTCGAGGGGGCTCCTAGGTGGGGAGCAGACTTTCACGGAGTGGTGTTGGACCTGTGGAGGGGAAGACACAAGAGGCAGGAGTGGGGCTGTGATGCCATCAAGCACAGCGGCTACTGGTCCCCCACAGGGAGCTCTGCCACAGAAGTGGTCCTCAGGGCTGTCCTCGGTTGGACCAGGATGTCCAGGACTTTGCAATGTGGGCTGTCCCAGGGAAGGGTGTGACCCTGGCGAGTTGCAGCTGATGGCTGAAGGCCGCTTACCACACCCTGAACAACTGGGACACCCAGCCTGTCACTGGAGGGGTCTCCCGGGGCCTCTCATCGCAGCATCCACCACAGTTGCTGAGGTCCACATGGGCCAGGCACTGGGCTAGACATGGAACGAGACGGGGGTCCCTGACCTTACGGAGCTTCCTTTCTACTGGCAGGGACAATCAGTACCAAACAAGTAAACTCAAAGTATTAAGTGCCAGCCGGGCATGGTGGCTCAGGCCTGTAATCCCAGCACTTTGGAAGGCCGAGGCGGGTGGATCACGAGGTCAGGAAATCGAGAACATCCTGGCTAACATGGTGAAACCCTGTCTCCACTAAAAAACAAAAAATTAGCCGGGCGTGGTGGCGGGTGCCTGTAGTCCCAGCTACTCGGGAGGCTGAGGCAGGAGAATGGCATAAACCCGGGAGGCAGAGCTTGCAGTGAGCCGAGATCGCGCCACTGCACTCCAGCCTGGGTGACAGAGAGACTCTGTCTACAAAAAAAAAAAAAAAAAAAAAGTTTAAGTGCCAAGCTGCAGCCATGTGTTAGCTGTTGGTGGGGTTGAAGTGGCAGGCGTCAGGTGTACAAGGCAGATTTTGATCTGTGACAACCTGCTCAGGCGGTGTTCTCAAGCTCTTTGGGCCTGCGGACAGGGAGGCTGAAAGGTCTGTAAGCCCTGTGGGGAAGAGGCCTCAAGCCCTTCTCGCCTTAAGAGCTGGGTCCCATGGTAAGCTGGCAATAGGGTTGCAGCAGCCAAGGTCTCCGGGCCTGGATGAGAGGTGGGGTCGCTCAATGTAGGGCTTTCACACACACCCCTGGAACACAGAAGCCTTTCCAAGAGCCGGGGAGCCCCTGGAGAATCACAGCAGGAGTTCCACATGGATTCTGCCCTGGAATTCCTGTAGAAGGTCCTTGGATGAGGGCACGCGCCTAGCGTGTCCCCCTTGGCCACAGCTCCTTCTCCCACGTTGCTTCTCTTCCTTTATTCACCCTGGTACCTGGCCTTGGTACCTGGGCTGTCCTCCTCATCAAAGGGACAATTCAAAACTCTGCAGTTGATTTTAAGAAAGTAGGTGAATTTATTGGCTGGGAAAGACTTCATGTAGTTTTGCACTTTAGGTTACTTCTAATTCTTTGTTTGCTTCTGTCAAAATTTAAAAAGGACCTATTCAAGTGGTCAACTGACAGGTCATTAAGTACACTTGGTGATAAACTGCTGTTATGTTTTTTGCATATAAGTCAGAAAGAGCTAAAGAAATTGAGTGTCGGCTGGGCACAGCGGTTCACGCCTGTAATCCCAGCACTTTGGGAGGCCAAGGCGGGTGGATCACGAGGTCAGGAGATCAAGACCATCCTGGCCAACAAGGTGAAACTCTGTCTCTACTAAAAATACAAAAATTAGCTGTGCGTGGTGGCGCATGCCTGTAATCCCAGCTACTCCAGAGGCCGAGGCAGGAGAATCGCTTGAATCAGGGAGCCGTAGGTTGCAGTGAGCAGAGATCACGCCACTGCATTCCAGCACTCCAGCCTGGTGACAGAGCGAGAGTCCATCTCAAAAAATAAAAATAAAAATAAATTGAGCGTCATTGCTAAAACAAAATTCCTCCCAATCCTATCTAACAATTTAGGTAAACAAGTTTCCTCAGTGCTAGCAGAAAAATGGAAAAAGAAAACCCAAAATACGAATATAATGTTTTTTTGGTGGGGGGGGGGGGCAGGGGAATGTAATTATTTCGATTATTTCGGACTGTGACTCATTCTAGCAATGAGTAATGTCTACCAAGAATCAATGAGCCGGCGCGGTGGCGCGCGCCTCTGGTCCCAGCACTTTGGGAGGCCGAGATGGGAGGACCACCTGAGCCCGGGAGGTCGGGGCTGCAGTGAGCCGAGATCGCGCCACTGCACTGCAGCCTGGGCGACAGAGCGAGACCCTGTCTTAAAAAAACCAAAACCCGAAAACCAAAAAACTCCACAGCGCGCCGCTTCCCCACTTCTCTGGGGCGCAGAGAGGTGAAGTTTGGCCCTCACGGTATTTACTTCCCCTGGATCCTCGCCTCCTGAGAAGCTGGTCTTGGGCTGCGGTCGGACCTCGCCGCGAGCTCCAGACCCGAGTTTCCGAGCCCGCGCTTCCCGGCCCGCAACCCTCCCAACCGCGTAGCAACGCCGCTCCTGCCGGACACCCCTGGCCCCTCCGGGGGTCTTAGTCCCCGGGCCCGGAAGTCCGCACCACTGAGAGGGGAGCCGATCCCTGGCGCTCCTAGAACGGCGCAGGAAGTTTCCCAGGCGGGGCCTCTCGCGACTTCCGGTCGCGGCGGGCTGGCGGCGGTGCAGGCTTTGTCGGCTGATCTGTGGGGCCCGCGCCCGCGGGGTCCAGTCAGCGGCTGCAGGGTCGGGCTCGCGCCGTCCTCTCCCCGCCCGCGCCGGGTGAGTGGCGCGTTCCGGACGGGGGCGGGCAACGCCTTAGCCGCAGCCCCGGCTGGCTCCGGAGCCCGGCCGCCTTGCCAGGGCACAGTCCGCCGAGAGGGCCGGGCGGGGTCCGCAGGCCGCTGCCCGCCCCGCTAGGGCGTCCAGGAGCGGGGCCTTGGCTAGTCAGTCTCCCGGACGCAGCCACGGCCGCCCCCGCGAGGCTGCGGCGTCTCTCCAGCGAGCCCGCCTCGGGCCCGAGCCTGGGGTCTTCTCCCTGAGGAGCGCCGTGTGGGTACCCCTGGTTCCCTCTCCTTCCCCCCGCCCTGAGCCCAGGCCGGAGAGCCGCGGGCTTGAGTGTCCGTGTCGCAGTCTTCAGGTCCGCCAGGCCTGCGTGAGGTTGATGCCGCAGACATGTTTTACGGTGTGGCAGGACTGGGTGTGGGCGTTCCCGCGGCTGTGCCTGAACCCTGCCTCCGCTCCCTGGGGCCTCGAGGCCTCTCGGTGCTGGAGGAGATGCAGCGCCAGCATCTTCTGTGCTGTTGGGGATAGGGGTGGGGAGGGAAACATGATGAGCAGAATTAGAATTAAGTACAAGACTTGGACCTGGAGAATTCCCAGATGGGGAGAGGTGGTGTGGCTACGCTGTCCTGCTTTTTCTTGAAGGTACCCTTTTCCCTTCGCGTCTTTAAGAATCCCAGTGGCGTTCTCTGTGCTTCTGTCAAGGCTGTCTTGCTCCCTTCACACACAGGCTACGTCATGGTCCAGGGACTCTCAGGGTCTGGGCAGCGCCTGGATGCTGGCCTCAGACTCATAGGTAGTTGGTGTGAAGCAGCTCAGGGAGCTGCCGAGCTTGTCTTCGCTGCCTCAGGGTCATGGAAGATGACCCAGGAGAGGACACAGGGGGCTCGTCGTTGTCCTTGGGCAGAGCCCTGAGCAGCATGCCGGTAGCAGAAGCCAAATGGCCTGGGTGGGGCGGGGGCAGTTGACAGCTGGCTCCAGTTCTCTGACCTTACGCTTCTTACCTCCCTGAACTTCCGGGGCATCGTGGGGAGCACTAGGAACAGAAGCGCTCCCTGCCTAGCCTGTGGCGCCCAGTAGGCCCCTTGGTGTGGCGCGGGGCAAGGAGGTCCAGATGTTAGTGGAGCTCTAGTCCACGTCTCACTCGGTTGCCCTCTGGTTCTGCTTTTCCTGTTTCCTGAGGGTGAAGCTTGGTGTATCCTGTTAATTTCTTCAGGCTGTAAGCAACACACAGTGACTCTGGCTGGGAGCTTGAGGCTGGAATATCCCCTTACCAGTGTGGGTGCAAGAGCTGGGGGCTTCTAATGCCAGATGGGACACCCCTAGACACCCCAGAGCTGCTGTGGCTGCTGATGATACACAACATCTGCTGTTGAGACAATTTCAAGTGATATTTATTTATTTATTTATTTTTGAGACGGAGTCTTGCTCTGTCGCCCAGGCTGGAGTGCAGTGGCATGATCTCGGCTCACTGCACCCCCTGCCTCCCGGATTCAAGTGATTCTTCTGCCTTAGCCTCCTGAGTTGCTGGGACTACAGGCACACGGCACCACGTCCGGCTAATTTTTGTATTTTTAGTAGAGACGAGGTTTCACCATATTGGTCAGGCTGGTCTTGAACTCCTGACCTTGTGATCTGCCCACCTCGGCTTCCCAAACTGCTGGGATTACAGGCGTGAGCCACCGCGCCTGGCCTCAGGTGATGTTTTATCCAGCAAATTCTGTGTTACAACAGGAGATGGGTCCATGCTAGTCAGTTTGTTGTGTGGAGCCACAAGTCAGGTGGCTTCCTTTTTTTTGCATTTCATGTCAGTTTCTTTAAATGAAAATGTATTGATTTAATTTTACTTAAATTCATACAAGAAAAAGTTAAGCAAAAACTGAAGATAGCTATTTCCTTTTTGAGATAACTGTTTCTTCAAAGCAAGATATTTGCAATTTTAAAAACTTTCTCTAGAGGCGGGCAGATCATGAGGTCAAGAGTTCGAGACCAGCCTGACCAACATGGTGAAACCCCATCTCTACTAAAAGTACAAAAGTTAGCCAGGCGTGGTGGCACGCCCCTGTAATCCCAGCTAGTCAGGAGGCTGAGGCAGGAGAATCACTTGAACCTGGGAGGTGGAGGTTGCAGTGAGTGGAGACCATGCCATTGCACTCCAGCCTGGGCGACAGAGTGAGATTCCGTCTTAAAAAAAAAAAAAAAACTTTCTCAAAAGTTAAAAAAATTATGAAAATTATTAAGAGGCACACATATGGTTTTAAGATATGTTCTTGTAAACAGAAACACCCTGTTTCTGGCCGGCCGTGGTGGCTCACACTTGTAATCCAATCCCAGCACTTTGGGAGGCCGAGGTGGGTGGATCACCTGAGGTCAGGAGTTTGAGACCAGCCTGGGTAACAAAGTGAAACCCCATCTGTACTAAAAATGCAAAAAAATTAGCCGGGCGTGGTGGCAGGCGCCCATAATCCCAGCTACTTGGGAGGCTGAGGCAGGAGAATCGCTTGAACCCACGAGACAGAGATTGCAGGGAGGTGGAGATTGCAGTGAGCCGAAATTGTGTCACTGCACTCCAGCCTGGGCGACAGAGTGAGACTCTGTCTCAAAAAATATATATATATATCAAATAAAAAAAATAAACAGCTTGTTTCCAGGTAGTATAACAGCCATTTTAAAATTTAAAATCAGAAGGTATCAACTGAGTTCCAAAACAAGAAACCAACATCTCCACCCCACCGTTCTCCCACTTCTTTTTTTTGAGATAGAGGTTTGCTCTTGTTGCCCAGGCTGGAGTGCAATGGCGCGATCTCAGCTCATTCCACCCTCTGCCGCCCAGGTTCAAGAGATTCTCCTGCCTCAGCCTCTCGAGAAGCTGGGATTACAGGCGTGTGCCACCACACCTGGCTAATTTTGTATTTTTAGTAGAGATGGGGTTTCACCATGTTGGCCAGGCTGGTCTCGAACTCCTGACCTCAGGTGATCTGCCTGCCTCGGCCTCCCAAAGTGCTGGGATTACAGGCATGAGCCACCATGTCCGGCCCACCCCCTTTTTAATTTATTTTTATTTTTATTTATTTATTTTTGAGATGGAGTTTCGCTCTTGTTGCCCAGGCTGGAGTGCAATGGCGTGATCTCAGCTCACTGCAGCCTCCACCTCCGCCTCCTGGGTTCCAGTCATTCTCCCGTCTCCGCCTCCCAAGTAGCTGGGATTACAAGCATGTGCCACCATGCCCAGCTAATTTTGTATTTTTAGTAGAGACGGGGGTTTCTCCATGTTGGTCAGGCTGGTCTCGAACTCCTGACCTCAGGTGATGTGCCTGCCTAGGCCTCCCAGAGTGTTGGGATTACAGGCGTGAGCCACTGCATCTGGCCTGTCTTTTTAAAATACAGACTGTGTTTCACCATGTTGACCAGGCTGGTCTCTAAGTCCTGAGCTCAAGCAGTCTACCTGCCTCAGCCTCCCAAAGTGCTGTGATTACAGGTGTGAGCCGCCGCACCTGGCCCAGTTTGAATTTATCATCATGGGGAGAATTGAATCTGAATATTTTGAGTTGTATATTAGCATTATTTAAGACGTAGGTTAAAGTTGCTGTAACAGATTCAAATACGGTGTTTCAAATAAGAAACTTGAGTTGTCTTATTCTCTCTTAAAGGTAGGGTTGGCCTCCAGGGACTCTGGCTGCCCTGCCTCATCAGCACTGTGGGGAGGGGAGAGAGTGGACAGCACGCACACATCACTTCCCTTCTCGCCTCATCTTGGTCACAAACTCACCTAACTTAAGGGGACACTAGGAAATGTCATTTATGGGGCAGTCATTAGTAATTTGATGGGGTTTCTAACACTTAAAGGAAGAAGGAAACAGGAATGCTAGGGAACCACATTGGCTACCCAAGTGTCCAGTGGACCTTTCATCCCACACATGGGGATGTGCCAGTGTGGGTCCAGACCACTGCAATAAAGTGAATAGCAAAACAAAGCAAGTCACAGAAACTTCTTAGCTTCCCAGTGTATATAAAAGTTACGTTTAGGTATGCTGTGGTTACTATTCAGTATGCAATAGCATTATGTCTAAAAATGTAAATAATTTAAAGATACTTTATTGCTAAAAGATGATCATCTGAGCCTTAAGTTGTAATCATTTTGCTGATGGAGGGTCTTGCCTTTCTTGATGGCTGCTGACTGATCAGGGTGATGGTTGCTGAAGGTTGGTGTGACTGGCAGTTTCTTAAAATGGGACGATGAAGTTTGTCACATCAGTGGAATCTTGCTTTCACAAAAGATTTCTCTGTAGCATGCAAAGCTGTTCGCTAGTATTTTACCCAAGTAGAACTTCTTTCAAAATTAGAGTCAAGCCTCTCAAACCCTGCCTGTGTTTTATCAACTAAGTTTATGGAATCTTCAAAATCCTTTGTTGTCATTTCAACAGTGTTCACGGCATCTTCACCAGGAGCAGATTCCATGTCAAGAAGCGTACTTGTTTTCCTCATCTCTAAGAAGCAACACCTCAGCCGGGCATGGTGGCTCGTGCCTGTAATCCCAGCACTTTGGGAGGCTGAGGCAGGTGGATCACCTGAGGTCAGGAGTTTGAGACCAGCCTGGCCAACATAGCCAAATCCCGTCTCTACTAAAAATACAAAAATTAGCTGGGCGTGGTGGCGCACTCCTGTAATCCCAGCTACTCAGGAGGCTGAGGCAGGAGAATTGCTTGAACCCGGGAGGTGGAGGTTGCAGTGAGCCGAGATTGCACCACTCCACTCTGCCTGGGGAACGAGAGTGAAACTCTGTCTTTAAAAAAAAAAAAAAAAAAAAAGCAGCAGCACCTCATCCATTCAAGTTTGATCACGAGATTGAAGCAATTCAGTGACATCTTTAGGCTACACTTCTAAATCTAGCTCTCTTGCTATTTTCACCACATCTATAGTTGCTTCCTCCACTGAAGTCTCAAACCCCTCAAAGATTCATGAGGGCTGGAATCAGGTTTTTCCAAAATACCAAATGTTGATGTTTTGACCTCCTCCCATGAATCATGAATGTTCTTCGTGGCATCTATAATGATGACTCCTTTCCAGAAGGTTTTCGGCTGACTTTGCCCAGATCCATCAGAGGAATCATTATGGCACCTACAGCCTTGTGAAACATATTTCTTAATAAGACTTGAAAGTTGGAGTGACTCCCAGCCAGGGGCTGCAGAATGCACGTTGTGTTGGCAAAAGAAGAACATCAGTCTCCCTGTTCATCTCCATCAGAGCTCTTGGGTGACCAGGAGCATTGTCAGTGAGTAGTGTTTTGAAAGGAATCTTTTTTTCTGAGCAGTAGGTCTCATTAGTGAGCTTAGAATACTCCATAAACCATGCTGTAAACAGATGCACTGTCATCCAGGCTTTGTTATTCCATTTCCAACACAGGCAGAGTGGATTTAGCATCATTCTTAAGGGTCCTAGAATTTTTGGAATGGGAAATGACCATTGGCTTCACGTCACCAGCTGCATTCGCCCCTAACGAGAGTCAGCCTGTCCTTTTCAATCTTTGAAGCCAGGCATTGACTTCTCTCTAGCTGCGAAAGTCCTAGATGCCATCTTCTTCCAATAGAAAGCGGTTTTATCCACACTGAAAATCTTTTTAGAGTAGCCACCTTAGTCAACCATCTTAGCTAGATCTGGAGAACTTGCTTCAGTTTCTCCTGTAAAGCTTGCAGCTTCACCTTGCACTTCTATGTGTGGAAGTGACTTCTTTCCTTAAACCTCATGAACCAACCTCTGCTGGTTTTCTGCTTTTCTTCCGCAGCTTCCGTCACCCATCTCGGCCTTCATAGAATTGAGGACGGTTAGGACCTTGCTGTGGATTCAGCTTTGGTTGCCAGTCACACCAGCCGTCGGGCAAAGTTGTTGTTTTAATCTCTCCAGACCACTCAGACTTCTTCCACATCAGCAATAAGGCTGTCTTGCTATCCTGTCATTTGTGTGTTCACTGGAGCAGCTCGTTTAATTTCCTTCTGGGGCTTTTCCTTTGCATTGCCGCTCAGCCGTTTGATGCAAGAGGCCCGGCTTTCTGACTGAGTTTTAGACATGCGTTCCTCACAAAGCTTAATCATTTCTAGCTTTTGGTTTAAAGTGAGAGATGTGGGATTCCTCCTTTCACGTGAGAGGCCATGGTAAGGTTACTAATTAGCCTAATCTCAATATTGTTATATCCAGGGAAGGGGGAGGCTGGAGGAAAGGGAGAGATGGGGAACAGCCGGTTGGTGGTGGATGTAGGAAACACACATTGATAATTCAGCTTCTTATATGGGTGCGGTTCATGGTGCCCCAAACAGTGACAGTAGTTTTAGATTCCTGTTACCTGCCGGGCACCTGGCATGGGTGTGGAGGGCAGAGTTCTGAGGTGGTCTCTTAGATTCCTGGCCCCTAATGTACACACCCCTTCTTCCAGTTACTCATTCAGACACTCATCTGGTACTGTCATGAAGAGACTTGCAGATGTCGGGAGGTCCCAGGTCAGTGAGGTGAGAAGGGAGGTCGTCTGGGAGAGCCTGACCTAATCACACAGACCCTGGGAAGCAGAGGTTCCTCCATCTGGTTGGAGAACAGAGGCTGAGATTAGATGCGTGAGAAAAATGTGATGTGCTGTGCCTGCCTTGAGATTCAGGTGGCCCCTAGGGACGGCTCCTGCTCACAGCCAGTAAGCACACAGGGTTCTTAGTCCTACAGTTGCAGGGAACTGGATTCTGCCACGAAATCTGAATGAGTTTGGAAACCAGTTTTCCCCAGGGCCTCCAGGTGAGAGCTCAGCCCGATGACATACAGTTGCAGCTTTGCGTGACCCTGCGTGGAGATCCCAGCTGGCCTGGCCTGGATGTGTGACCTGCAGAACTGTAGGGTAACAAATGCATGCTGCTTTAAGCTGCTGAGTTTGTGTAAATTGTTTTTGGAGCAGTGGATAACTGGGAGAGGGCTTGGCACTGGGCGGGTGGAGTCCCCTTCTTGGAAGCAGTTCCCAGAGTGAGGATTCCCAGACTGCAGGCTGGGGCATTGCCCTCCACAGCGGGGTTGGATAGAGCATCCCAGTGCCTGCGTGAGGTCGCATAATTCCGGGTCCAGTCAGCTTTTCCAAAGTGAGCACCTGTGTGACTCAGGGCACCACCATGTGCCCCTGCCAGTGACAGTGTCTCCTGAACACCATTGCAGCTTACATCCTTCCACCAGGGATTGGCTCTCTGTTTTCTAGCTTTATGTAAATGGAGTCGTACAATATGAGCTCTTTTGTGCCTGGCTGCTTTTGCTCAGCACTTCGTCTGTTGTGAGGTCCACCTGTGCTTTTATGTGTGGCAGTTTTTTTTCTGTGCATTATTGTTTGTGTGAGTCTTCTGTTGCTAGATATTTAGGGTGTTAGAATGTTGCTAAGAACACTCTAGCTACAGACTTCTGCAGGGTAGGCTTGCAGTTTCTCCAGCAACCTAATTCCCTTGAAAATATCCTCACTGTTGGGGCTGCTTGCTGCCAGTGCATCCCACGTCACAGCTCTGGTTTTGGTTTTTGTTTTTTATTTTTTGAGATGGAGTCTCACTTTGTCACCCAAGCTGGAGTACGGTGTTGTGATCTCTGCTTACTGCAACCTCTGCCTCCCAGGTTCAAGTGATTCTCCTGTCTCAGCCTCCCGAGTAGCTGGGATTACAGGTGCATGCCACCACACCTGGATAATTTTTGTATTTTTAGTAGAGATGAGGTTTCACCATAGCCAGGCTGGTCTCGAACTCCTGACCTCAAGTGATCCACCCACCTTAGCCTCCCAAAGTGTTGGGATTACAGGCATGAGCCGCTGTACCTGGTGCAGCTCTGGTTTTTAAACGAGCAGAACCTCCAGTTTTATTTACTGGCTTCTGGGCTGGGCTGATCCCCCCTCCCTCATTATATTGGCAGTGGCCTTGAGGTATTGAAGACAGTAGTAGTGGATGGGAAGGCAACATTACTGATCTTCGCAGTGGCCCGGCTCCCACTGCCCAGCAAGAACCCCAAAGAGAAGGCTCTTGAGGCGAGACAGTCAGCCTTCTCATCCTGAGAGCCACATTAATGGGTCCTCAGTGCATAAGCAGAATATATATGGAAATTAAGCAAATACATGGCTGGGTGTGGTGGCTCACTCCTGTAACCCCAGCACTTTGGGAGGCCAAGGTGGCTGGACTGCTTGAGGCCAGGAGTTTGAGACCAGCCTGGCCAATATGGAGAAGCCCCATCTCTACTAAAAATACACAAGAATTGCTTGAACCCAGGAGGCGGAGGTTGCAGTGAGCTGAGATCACGCCACCATGCAATCAGCCTGTGCGAGAGAGCAAGACTATCTTCAAAAAAAAAAAAAGCCCGGGCGCAGTTGCTCAAGCCTGTAATCCCAGCACTTTGGGAGGCCAAGGTGGGCTGATCACCTGAGTTTGGGAGTTCGAGACCAGCCTAACCAACACGGAGAAACCCCATCTCTACTAAAAATACAAAATTAGCTGGGTGTGGTGGCGCAAGCCTATAATCCCAGCTACTTGGGAGGCTGAGGCAGGAGAATCGCTGGAACCCGGGAGCTGGAGATTTTGATGAGCCGAGATCGTGCCATTGCACTCCAGCCTGGGCAATAAGAGCAAAACTCCATCTCAAAAAAAAAAAGAGAGAAAATACAAATGGTCGGCCGAGCGTGGTGGCTCACGCCTGTAATCCCAGCACTTTGGGAGGCCAAGGCGGGCGGATCACAAGGTCAGGAGATCGAGACCATCCTGGCTAACGGTGAAACCCCGTCTCTCCTAAAAATACAAAAAAATTGGCCAGGCATGGTGGCGGGCGCCTGTAGTCCCAGTTGCTCGGCAGGAGAATGGCGTGAACCCAGGAGGCAGAGCCTGCAGTGAGCTGAGATGGCGCCACTGCACTCCAGCCTGGGCAACAGATCGAGACTCCATCTCAAAAAAAAAAAAGACAAATCCTCAGACTTGAGGCTGGTAAAGTGCAGGCGCCAAGAAAGAAACTTTCTCTCAAAGCAGTCACTGTTCCTTTGGTCTCTGCTTTCAGAGAGTGGATTCTGGCTTCCCCCCTTTCCATGGCAGAGCCTCAGATATCATTGTTTCGTTATAACATCTATGAGGGAAAAAGTGATTCCTGGCTGGGAGCACCATGTGTGGAGTGTGCACATTCTCCCCACGGCCGCCTGCTTTCCTCCACGTCCCAAAGATGTGTCCATTAGGTGAATTGGGGTGTCTCCTTGGTCCCAGCATGAGCGAGTTTGGGTGTGTGAGTTGCCCTGTGGTGGGACCCTGTCCTATCCGGGGCTGGTTCTCACCTCGCACCCTGAGCTGCCAGGATAGGCTCCAGCTACCCAGAACCGTGCATTAAAATAAGTGGGTAAATAATTATCTTGTTTTTCTTAATTTTTTTTTTATGGGAGATTTTCCAGTAAAAACTGAGAAACCTGCTAGACATTCTAAAAGAGCTGTAGCAAGCACTGTTAATCTTTCTTTAAGGTAAGGTATGTATAACTCACATTTATTTCAGTGTTTAATACTAGAAGTGTTGGAGCTTTTTTTTTAATTAGAGACAGGGTCTCACTCTGTCACCTAGGTTGGAGTTCCATGGCATAGTCATGGCTTACTACAGCCTCAAACCTCTGGGCTCAAGTGATCCTCCTGACTTAGCCTCCCAAATAGCTGGGACCACAGGTATGCAACATCACACCCAGCTAAATAAAAAATTGTTTTTTAGAGATGGAGTCTTGCTATGTTGCCCAGGCTGGTCTTGGACTCCTGGCCTCAAGTAGTCCTCCTGCTTTGGCCACTGGAAATGCTGGGATTATAGGCATGAGCCACTGTACCTGGCTTATTACCTTGTATTGAGTGTATTATGTATGCATGATTAGAACATTCATTCATACAGCAGATATTGATGAAATGTATTACTTTATGCCAGAAATTGTTTGGGTTGCTGAGGATAAAGAACAGAACAAAGTTCCTGCCCACACAGCACTCACATACTTGTGGGGGAGACAACAAAACACATAGTTTGTTGCCTGTGGGGTGTGTGCGTGTGTGTGTGTGTGTGTGTGTGCATGCATGTATATATCACAATTCATTGATTCTAAGATACACTTTCTCCATATTTTAATGTCTCTGAAATTGAGTTGCCTGTTAGAATTGATGGAGTGTTTTTTGTTGTTGTTTGAGACAGGGTTTTGCTCTGTCACCCAGGCTGGAATGCAGTGGCACAAGCACGGCTCACTGCAGTCTCAACTTCCTGGGCTCAAGTGATTCTCCTGCCTCAGTCTCCCATGTAGTTGGAACCACAGGTGTGCTACCTTGCCTGGCTGTTTTTAAAAATGTTTTTTGTAGAGATGGGATCTTTCTACCTTGCCCAGGCAGACGTTGAACTCCTGGTCTCAAGTGACCCTCCCACCTCTGCCTCCCAAAGTCTTAGGATTACAGGAGTGAGCCACTGTGCCTGGCTTGATGGAGTGTTTTCATTTAAATTGGTACTTTTATTTTCCTTCATGGTTCATAAAATTGTGTCACATCTCGCAGTCGATGGCTGCTTTGATTGGGTGACTTATGATTGGTCAAGTGGTCAGAACTGTGCAGAGAAAGCAGAGGCAGGAGAGAGGGCATGCTGAGGGTGGGGGTGCCTTGCTGTTTTTTTTGTTTGTTTTGTTTCGTTTTTTGAGACGGCGTCTTGCTCTGTCACTCAGGCTGGAGTGCAGTGGCACAATTTTGGCTCACTGCAAGCTCCGCCTCCTGGGTTCAGGCCATTCTCCTGCTTCAGCCTCCCAAGTAGCTGGGACTACAGGCGCCTGCCGCCACGCCCGGCTAATTTTTTTTGTATTTTTGGTAGAGATGGGGTTTCAGTGTGTTAGCCAGGATGGTCTCGATCTCCTGACCTCGTGGTCCGCCCGCCTCTGCCTCCCAAAGTGCTGGGATTACAGGCGTGAGCCACCATGCCCAGCCAGCCTTGCTGTTTTATAGTGTGACTAGGAGGGACTCTGATCAGGTGACGTCAACACAGACACCTGAAGGACATCTAGGAGTGAACCCTGCAAATATCTTTGGAGTCTTTCTACGAAAGTGCAAAGGCTCCGAGGGGGCAGGGACTGCAGGGGCCAGTGTGACCAAAGAAGAGGGAAGGGGAGGGCAGGGTGAGCAGCAGGAGTCCAGGCCCGGTGGCCCTTGTGGGGCCAGAGTAGGGGATGGGAAACCTTTGTCAGTTTTGAGTAGAAAAGTGACATCTGATTTATGATTTTAAAGCGTAATTCTGCTGGCTGTGTAGAAAAGAGCTGGAGAAGGGGAGAAGTAAGCAGGTGGGAGGTGGTCACGCTTCATGGTGAAAGGCGATGGTGCAGATGGCAGCCCTGTAGGCTGTGGGCGTCTGGCGCTGGGCATGGTTTTGAACAGATGTGGAGTGTGAACAAAGGGAAGAGGATTCAAGGGTTATTGCAGTGTCTGTGGCCTGAACAAATGAGATAATGGAGAAAACTATAGAAGGAGGAAAATCAGAAGTGAGGCTGGACGCATTAGGGTTGAAAAACTTCTGAGAGCATCCAAATGAAGGTGTTGGGTGAGGAGCTGGTCAGGTGTGGGGGCTGGAAAGAAGGCCAGGTTGGAGGCAGGCATGTGAGTGTTCAGCATAGATGGCGTTGGTGTCTGATAATGAGTGCACTCCCCTCTGTAATGGACAGAGATGAGGGCTGAGCCCTAGACACGCCAGGGCTTTGAGGCGTCAGGGGACACTGGGAGGAGCTATCAGTGAGGCGGGTAGGGAACAGAGAAAGGCTGTCCCAGATTCACATAAGGAGAGTGACTTCTGAAGGAGCGGGGCTGTGTCAGTGCCACCGCAGGTTGAGTTGGAAGTGTGGCCATAGCTGACCCCTGATATGGTGACGTGGATGTTTGGGGTGAGAGCCCTACTGTAGTAGGCTCAGGGGAAGGAGGAAATGGAGAAATCGAGCGTGGGGTGGGGGCTCTTTGAATGGGGCTGCGGAGGAGGAGAGTCATGGGGTAGTAATTGGTGGGACATGGGGCCCATGACGTGCATTTTTCAGGTCGCTGGGAACTGGCGCACTTCTTCATGCTGAGGGGAGTGGTGGGCTTGGAGGGCAAGGACTTCAGGATGGAGGAGAGGGATGGGTGCTCAGGTGCTGTCCCTGCATGTGTGAGAGGGAAAGGGAGCTCACACACAAGTGGAAGTGTTGCCTTTAAGTCAGAACAAGGGCAGTTTAACCCAGGTAACAAGCCTGGCAGAGGATGGGTGGAGATACAGGCTGGCAGGAGACGTGGGAGGCAGTGGATGTCCTTGCCTGATTTCTTCTGTTTTCTCATTGAAACAAGAAGCAAGGTCACCAGTGGGGAGGGAGGAGGGAGTGCTGAGTTTGTAAGAAGATAGGAGAAGTGGAAGGTCCTGTGGGGAGTGGGAAGGGTAGGAGTTGCTGGCAGCTCTCAGGCCCCATTAGGCAAGCAGCTCTGAATTTAAAGAGCTCAGTCAGCTGGCTGGATGTGGTGGCTCACGTCTGTAATCCCAGCAGTTTGGGAGGCCTAGGCGGGCAGATCACGAGGTCAGGAGATCGAGACCATCCTGGCTAACACGGTAAAACCCCGTCTCTACTAAAAATACAAAAAAATTAGCCGGGCGTGGTGGCGGGCGCCTGTAGTCCCAGCTGCTTGGGAGGCTGAGGCAGGAGAATGGTGTGAACCCAGGAGGCAGAACTTGCAGTGAGCCGAGATTGCACCACTGCACTCCAGCCTGGGTGACAGAGCGAGACTCCATCTAAAAAAAAAAAACAAAACAAACAAAAAAACAGCAAGAGTGCAGGCACAAATCAGAACACAACCTCGTTTTAACCAAAGGTTGGGCTTTCCCATCCAAGTATCATGGAGGGAGGAAAGGGCAGGGGAGCCCGATTCTGTGCAGGAGGGTGATTCTCATGCAACTTACAGTGAACACAGTGCCCCAGATCATGGGCTCTAAGCTAGGTATGGAGGGGAGAAGAGGACATGAAGGAAGGAATGAGGAACAGTGAAGAGGTGGCAGGGCTGATGTGTTTATACGTTTGTTTAAAGTATCTGTCTCGGTTTTTTAATGGAGTTCAAGCATATCCCCACCCCTCTGCAACTCATCCAGGATTCACTAATGGTCAGAGGAGTGTTGTGCACCACAGACCAGTCTGTCCTGGTGTTGGATGTTAAAAGTGGAGCCACAAAGAAGCCATCTTATGTGGGACAGGCTTGGGTGTGAGACCAGAGCTGTGGGTAGCAGCATGTTGGGTCAGGATGAGGGGCAGAGGAAACACTTTCCACCTCTTGGATATGGATTTTATCCTGCCCTGATTCAGGAGATCCCCATCTATTAAGTAAGGGGAAAGATGATTTTGTTGTCTTTTGTTTCAGATTCTAATGTAGGAACTGGTGAGAAGAAGGTGACTGAAGCCTGGATTTCTGAGGATGAAAACTCACATAGGACGACGTCAGACAGACTCACGGTGATGGAGCTCCCCTCTCCCGAGTCTGAGGAAGTCCACGAGCCCAGATTAGGGGAGCTCTTGGGAAATCCAGAAGGTCAGAGCCTGGGGAGTTCCCCCTCTCAGGACAGGGGCTGCAAGCAGGTGACAGTGACCCATTGGAAGATCCAGACAGGAGAGACAGCTCAAGTGTGCACCAAGTCAGGAAGAAACCATATTCTGAACTCAGACCTTCTTCTGCTTCAGAGAGAGCTCATAGAGGGGGAAGCCAATCCTTGCGATATCTGTGGCAAAACCTTCACGTTTAATTCGGACCTAGTTAGGCATCGGATTTCGCATGCTGGGGAGAAACCTTACACGTGCGATCAGTGTGGGAAAGGCTTTGGCCAGAGCTCACACCTTATGGAGCATCAGAGAATTCACACTGGAGAGAGACTCTACGTCTGTAATGTGTGTGGGAAAGACTTCATTCACTATTCAGGTCTCATTGAGCATCAGCGCGTTCATTCAGGAGAAAAGCCCTTCAAATGTGCGCAGTGTGGGAAGGCGTTTTGTCACAGTTCAGACCTGATTAGGCACCAGAGAGTTCACACCAGAGAGAGACCTTTTGAATGCAAAGAGTGTGGGAAAGGCTTCAGTCAGAGCTCCTTACTTATTCGCCATCAGAGGATTCACACGGGAGAAAGGCCCTATGAGTGCAATGAATGTGGGAAATCCTTCATAAGGAGCTCGAGCCTCATTCGCCATTATCAGATCCACACAGAAGTGAAACAGTATGAATGCAAAGAATGTGGGAAGGCATTCCGTCATCGCTCAGACCTTATTGAACACCAGAGAATTCACACCGGAGAGAGACCCTTTGAATGCAATGAGTGTGGGAAAGCCTTTATTCGGAGTTCAAAGCTCATTCAGCATCAGAGGATCCATACTGGGGAGAGGCCTTACGTATGCAATGAGTGTGGGAAGCGCTTCAGCCAGACGTCAAACTTCACCCAGCATCAGAGAATTCACACTGGAGAGAAACTCTATGAATGTAACGAGTGTGGGAAAGCTTTCTTTCTGAGTTCATACCTTATTCGACACCAGAAAATCCACACTGGAGAGAGAGTGTATGAATGTAAGGAATGTGGGAAAGCGTTTCTCCAGAAAGCCCATCTCACTGAGCACCAGAAGATCCACTCTGGGGACAGGCCCTTCGAATGTAAAGACTGTGGGAAAGCCTTCATCCAGAGCTCCAAGCTGCTTCTGCACCAGATTATTCACACTGGAGAAAAGCCCTATGTGTGCAGTTATTGTGGGAAAGGCTTTATTCAGAGGTCAAACTTCCTTCAACACCAGAAAATTCATACTGAAGAGAAGCTCTATGAATGTAGTCAGTATGGGAGAGATTTTAACTCAACTACAAACGTTAAAAATAATCAAAGGGTTCACCAAGAGGGACTCTCCTTGAGTAAGGCCCCCATACATTTGGGTGAGAGGTCTGTAGATAAGGGGGAACACACAGGTAACTTATAAAATAATTACTTTCCCGCCCAGTGAGTGATGTTTGGAAATGCGTGGAATTAGGATTCATGTGGTTTCTAAGATTTGGACATGTCAGAATTTTGTGAGTCATGGATGGGGCTGCTTTTGCAGTGGGTGCCACCTGCCACTGTGCAGCCCTACTCGGCTCAGCCCTTCTCCTCAGCTGTGAGCACTGTCCTCAGGAGAGTCACAGGGCTTGACACCTGACTCTGAGCTGGAACAGTAGGGGCAGGGAGAAGACAGGTCTCAAGAAAAGGTTTTTAAGAAGTTTCATCCCCAGTTAAGCAGAGTCCATCCTTGACTTAAATCCCTTATTACAGCACAACTGTGTATCTAATCTTACGATTTAGGAGAATGTTACCTAGGACATTTTGATGTGTTAAGTTGAAGAAAGGTAACTCGTGTATGAACCCCGAGCCATTTCCCTGTTGTCCTGAGGAGGAACTCCAGGCCTCCCATCGTGTGCCCTAAGGCCTCCTGCGTCCTGGAGCCCTGCCTCCCACTGCCTGACTTCCTGCCACACGGTTAATGCTGCAGCAACACCGACTGCTTCATCTTCCCTGTGCTCCACGTGGCTTCCTACCTCTCTCGCCTTTGTTCTTGTTGAAGGGTCTCTTCTCAGCTAATTAACTCTGAATCATGGTTCAAGACAAGCCTCAGGCATCATGTCAATGGGTGTTTCCCTCAAGCTTAGTTGGCAGCACTCTCCACACTTCTGTGGCTCAGTGATTACTGCTATTACTATATTTACTTGCATATGTCAGAATGATGTGATAGACTATCTCTGTCACTATGCTGTTGGGTTCCTGAGGACAGTGATCATATCTGATTGATTTCCATGTGTCCACTGTCTAGCACAGGGCAATAAAAAATACACCCCTAAATCTATGTGTAATTGGCATCTCTCTTGCTTTGTCCTTTCTATACTGCCATTCTAAAAATTTTCAGCTGTTGGCTGTTTTTTTTGTTGTTTGTTCATTTTGTATCAGTATAATCTACGATTCTGTTAGAAGTATCTTCTCAGCCCTGCTACTGTCTGCTGCTCCTACTTAGAAGTTGCAGGCAATATCCTGTGCACATCCACGCCCTCCTGTGTGCCACCTTACAGCTCATGCAGAACTGTCTACTTGATCTGGAGGGCATTGACACCTGGCTCAGCTGGAACAGTGGGGACAGGAGGAGGCAGGTCTCAAGAGAAGGTCTTTACTTACTTGTCTGTATCTTTCTGTCTCACTCGAAAGGCACAGTCTCAATGCGCTACGTAACTCTTCTGTTGTAGCAGTTCTGAGGTTGAACTGAGCTCTTGTCATTTTCCATGCTCTCTGGCTCATTGTGTCATTTCAAAATGTATTGATATCTATAAGGAATAGTCCTCAATGTTGGGAAAACAGATGAGCAACCCACTACCCTGAAGTCATCCACCGTGTAGTGGGGAAGACGGAGATCACAGTAGGGTGAGTTAAGTATGTGCCCTCAGGTGTGAAGGAGCACAGGTGAGGGGGTGCCTGCTGTGGCACAGAGCTGGGAAGGCCTTACAGAAGAGGTGACATTTCAGCTGGGCCAGAGATCAGTAGAGAGCAGCTGAAGAAGAAAATAGGGTCCAGGAGAGGAATCTGCAGAAACATGGAGCCATGACAGATGGCTTTTTGGCTAGGACTGTTCGAAAGCAGGCGAGGTAAATGGACAGTGGACAGCCGCCTCGCCAAACTGTTAGTCTTTACCTCTGAATTTCATCTGGACATGAACCCCAAAGTCCAGTTTTGTAACGATATAATTTTTTTCTCATGAGGCCATATTTTGAGTTCTTAAATACTACCAACCCTGAACGTCTCAGGACAAATAATTCAAAAAAGAGATCTACATTTTCTGGAAAATCAGCATTACTAGAGATGTTTCAAATGTAGATTTTACCAGACCATTTTAATCAACTTTATTGAGATTCAATTTTCATATAGTAAAACGCCTATTTAAGTGTACAAGGTTTTGAAAAATCTATACACCTGTGTAACCACCACCACCTGTGTAACCACCACCGCCAGAACCAAAAACGTTTCTGTCACCCAAAGAAGTTCCCTTTTGCCTTTTCCTAGTTAAGCCCACTCCAGCCCCAGATAACCACTTTCTATCCTCATAGATTAGTGTTGCTTGGTTTAGAGCCTCATACAAATGGATTCATTTACTATGTGTTCTTTTGCGTCTGATGTCTCACTTTGGCATGTTTTTAGACTCATCCAAGCTGTTTTGTGTTTCAGTAGTTCTCCTTGCTGAATAGTATTCCATTGTGTGGATAAGCCATCATTTGTTTATTCATCCACGTGTTAATGGGTTTCCAGTCTCGGCTCTTAAAACTATGAGCATTTGTGTAAAAGTATGTATTTGCACATGTGTTTTTATTTCTCTTGGGTAAGTACCTAGGACTTTAATTGCTGTGTTGTAAGTGTCTTAGTTCATTCAGGCTGCCATAACAAAATACCATCAACTGGGAGGCTTATAAACAACAGAAATTTATGTTTTACAGTTCTGGAGGCTGGGAAGTCCAAGATGAGGGTGTCAACATTTGGTGTCTAGTGAGGGCCTGCTTCCTTTTAAGTAGATGTCTTTTTACTGTGACTGCACGTGGTGGAAAGGGACTAGCAAGCTTACCCCATTCATGAGGGCTCTCCCCTTGTGATTCTGTCCCCTCCCCAAGACCCCACCTCATATCATCTTATGGGTTAGGAATTTGACATGAATTGTGCAAGGATGTAAACATTCAGTCCATTGCAATACGTGTTTCTAACTTCCTAAGAAATTGTCACACAGCCCTCTGTAGTGGTTGAATCATTTTACACTATTACTACATTATGGGAAGATTCCAGTTGCTCCATATCTTTGCTAACACTTGGCATTGTCAGTCTCTTAAAATTTAATCCACTCTAGCCTCCTTATGATTTTAATTTGTATTTGCCCACTGAATAATGTATGTCTATGATTTCATCTGCTTATTGCTTTTCCGTGTCGTCTTTTGTGATGTGTCTGTTCGTGCCTTTTGCCTGTTTTTAAGTTGGGATGCTTATTGTTGACTCAAGTTCTTTCCATATTCTGCATGAAAAACATACATGTAATATATAGAATTCTTTGTCTCCATTTGTGACAAATATTGTGAATATTTTCATGTTTGGTTTGCCTGTTCATTTTCTTAATGGTGTCTTTTGAATATTTTTTATTAAGCCTAATTTATCAAAGATTTGGGTGTGGTGGCTCATGTCTGTAATCCCAGCACTTTGGGAGGCCAAGGTAGGCAGATCACCTGAGGCCAGAAGTTTGAGACCAGCCTGGCCAACGTGGTGAAACCCCGTCTCTACTAAAAATACAAAAATTATCTGGGCGGGTGGCACACCCCTGTAGTCCCTGCTACTCGGGAGGCTGAGGCAGGAGAATCACTTGAACCCAGGAGGCAGAGGTTGCAGTAAACCAAGATAATAATAATAATGATTTATGATATTTTATAATAATTTGAGTTTAAGAAATTTGCCTACTCAAAGGACATGATTTTTTCCTATGTTTTTTATTTTTATGGAACTTTTATAGTTTTACCTTTTACATTTAAGTCTGTGATCCATTTTGAGTTCATTTTTGTGTACCATATGTGATAAGGGTCAAGATTCACTTTTTTATCTGTGTGGTTGGTTGGTTCGGTTCTATTTGTTGAGACTCTACTTTCCCAATGACCAAGTCTTCACAGGTTTGTAAAAACTGAAGTGACATAGAAGTGGTCTGTTCTGGACACCATTCTTCTTGTGTGTATAACTTTACACCAATATGACACTATATTGATTACTGTAGTTTTATTTGAGGCAGAAATCTCATTCTGTTGCCCAGGCTGGAGCGTAGTGGCACAATCACAGCTAATGTAACCTCGAACATCCGGGCTCAAGTGAGCCTCTTTCCTTAGCCTCCCAAGTAGTTGGGACTGTAGGCATGCATCACCACATCTTGCTAATTTTTTATATTTTTTTGTAGAGATGGGGGTCTCACTATGTTGACCAGGCTGGTCTTGAACTCCTGGCCTCAAGGGATCCTCCTGCCTCAGCCTCCCAAAGGGATTACAGGTGTGAGCCACCACTCCTGGCCAACTGTAGTTGAACTCAGGTATTGGAAGGGCTTCCGTTTTGTTCTTTTCCCATTTTTTTTTTTGACTTCTAGATCCTTTGCATTTTCGTATAAAATTTGAAGTCAACTTCTATCAACTTCAGGCCAGGCCCGTGGCTCATGCCTGTATAATCCCAGCACTTTGGGAGGCCGAGGCAGGCGGATCACTTGAGGTCAGGAGTTCAAAACCAGCCTGGCCAAGATGGTGAAACCCCATCTCTACTAAAAATACAAAAAAATTAGCCAGGCGTGGTGGCAGGCGCCTGTAGAATCCCAGCTACTCGGGAGGCTGAGGCAGGAGAATTGCTTGAACCTGGGAGGTGGAGGTTTCAGTGAGCTGAGATCGTGGCATTGCACTCTAGCCTGGGCAACCAAGAGTGAAACTGTCTCAAAAAACAACTTTTATCAATGTCTGCAAAAAGAAAGTCTTCTGGGATTTATAGATCAATTTAGGGAGAAATGACATTTTAACAATTCTGAGTTTTCCAATTGTTGAACATGGTGTACTGCCCCATTTATTTAGATCTGTTAATTTCTCTCAGTTTGCAGCTCTCACATTTTGTTAAATTCATGTATTTAATATTTCTGCATGCTATTGCAAGTGGTAAGGTTTTCAAAAAGCTGTTTTCTAGTTATTGCTAGTATATAGAAATGCATTAGACTTGTACATTGATCTTGTATCAAGCAACTTAGATCAGTTAACTTATTCTAGTAGCTTTTTTCTAGATTCTTTAGCATTTTCTATGTAGATAATCATGTCATCTGTGAATAAAGTATTTTACTTTTCCAATTTATATGGACTTTGTTCCTTTTTCTTATTGTACTGACTAGGGCATCTTGTTCCGTTTTCCTTAGAATTGGTAAGAGTATGTCCTTGTATTGATATCAGGATACTGTTACTCCCAAAGAATTGCGAATTATTCTATCCTCTTCTGTTTTCTGAAGTTGTTTATGTAATATTGATACTATTATTTCTTCCTTAAATGTTTTCTTCCCTTCTTTCCTTCCTTCCCTCCCTCTCTCTTTCTCTCTCTCTTTTTTCTTTTCTTTTCTTTCCTTTTTTTTTTCTGAGACCCAGTCTCACTCCGTCACCCAGGCTGGAGTGCAGTGGCATGGTCTCGGCTCACTGCAACCTCTGTCTCCCAGGTTTAAGCGATTCTCCCACCTCAGCATCCCGAGTAGCTGGAACTACAGGTGCGTGCCACCATGCCCAGGTGTTTGTATTTTTAGTAGAGACAGGGTTTCACCATGTTGCACAGGCTGGTCTTGAACTCCTGGCCTCGTGATCTGCCCACCTTGACCTCCCAAAATGTTGGGATTACAGGAGTGAGCTACTGTGCCCAGCCATAAATTCAATTTTTTTAAACAGCTGTAACAGTTCAGGTTTTTCTATTTCTTCTTGTGCCAAGTTTGGTAACTTTTATCTCTCAAAGAATTATTCATTTCATGTAAAACAGTGAATTATTGGCATAAAGTTCAAAACATTCCACTACATTTTATTCAACATTCTATTTTAATTATATTTAAAAGGATCTCCTCTGGCAGGGCGCAGTGGCTCACTCTGTCGCCCGAGCTGGAGCGCAGTGGTGAGATCTCAGCTCGCTGCAACCTCTGATTCCTGGGTTCAAGCAATTCTCCTGCCTCAGCCTCCTGAGTAGCTGGGATTACAGGCACCCACCATTATGCCAAACTAATTTTTTCTATTTTTAGTAGAGACGGGTGTTTCACCATGTTGACCAGGCTGGTCTCAAACCCTTGACTTCATGATTCGCCTGCCTCGGCCTCCCAAAGTGCTGGGATTACAGGCATGAGCCACCGCGCCCAGCCAGAGTAGATTAATTCATCTGAGAGCTTCACCCTCATGATCCAATCACGTCTTAGACGCCACCTCTCAGTACTGCCATATTGGGGATGAAATTTCTACATGAGTTTTGGAGGGGCAGATACTCAGCATTCTGTCCAAAACTCATGTCCTTCTCAAACAGATTTGTTGCAATCCCATAGTCCCCAGATTTTATTCCAGCACTGAATCAAAAGTCCAGAGTCCAGAGTCTCATCTGTGAGCCTGTGAAATCAAATAAGTTATCTACTTCCGAGATACAATGATGGTGACAGGCAAAAGGCAGACATTCCCACTCCATCAGGGAGGGGTAAGCAATAAGAAAGGGTTAGCAGGTCCCAAGCAAGTCCAAAACCCTGCAGGGAAGGCATTAAATCCTGAAGTTGGAGAATCATCTCTTGACTCCATGTGCCACTTCCTGGACACCCCAGGGCGAGGGTTGGGTCCCCAAGGCCTCAGGCACCCCCACTCTATGGCTTTGCTCTACCTCCTATGGGTTAGAGTCTGGTGCCTGAAGCTTTTCCAGGCAAGCATGCATGCTGCCAGTGACTCCACGGTTCTTGGGTCCCAGTGGTGGTCCCACTCCCATGGCTCGCTAGACATTACCCTGGTGGGGACTCTCCAGCACCTCCAACTCATTTCCACTCAGCATTGCTTTAGTGGGGGTTCTCTGTAGTGCCTCCACCCCTGCTACAAGTCTCTGCCTGGCCCCTCAGCTTTCAGTGGTATCCTGTGCAATCTGGATGGAGGCTGCCAAGCCTTCACAGCTCTGGCTTTCCCTAAGCCAGCAGAACTAGCACCACATGGATGCCACCAAGGTTTAGGGCTTGTGTGTTCTGGAGTGAGGCATTCACATCTGGGGCTACTTGAACAACGGCTGTGGTGCCCAGAGCAGAGTCCTAAGGTGGCCCTGGGTGAGCTTGTGGAGGGCTCCTGGGGTCTGTCCCCCGAAAACATTCTGCCTTCCTAGGCCTCTGAGCCTCTGATGGGAGAGGCAGCCTCGATAATCTGAAATGCCTGCTGGGACTTAGTTTCATTGTCTTGGGAGAATTGCACCTGGCTCGCTTCTACCCAAGCTAATTTCTTTCACAAACTTCACTGGGCTATACCCTTGGTTTCCTCTGCTGAACATACTTTTACTCTACATGGCCAGGCTGAGTTTTCCAAATCTTTCCACTCTGCTTCCTTTTAATTTATAAATTCTGTTTTTAAACTATTCCTTTACTCTCAAAGCTCAGCATAAGAGGCCAAAAGTAACCAGCAGCTCCTTCTTTTTTTTTTTTTTTTTTTTTAAGATGAAGTTTTGCTGTTGTTGCCTAGGCTGGAGTTCAATGGTGTGATCTCGGCTCACCGCAGGCTCTGCCTCCCGGGTTCAAGCGATTCTCCTGCCTCAGCCTCCCGAGTAGCTGGGATTACAGGCATGTGCTGCCACACCCAGCTTATTTTGTATTTTTAGTAGAGATGGGGTTTCTCCACATTGGCCAGGCTGGTCTCGAACTCCCGACCTCAGGTGATCCGCCTGCCTTGGCCTCCCAAAGTGTTGGGATTACAGGTGTGAGCCACCACGCCCGGCCACCAGCAGCTCCTCTTTTTTTCTTCCAGATATCCTAGTTCATCACTCTTAAGTTTGACCTTCCTCAAAGCCCGAGGCATGGACACAATTCAGCGAAGCTCGTTGCCAATTTATATTAAGGATGACCTTTACTTCACTGTCCAACACTTTGTGCCTCCGTTCCATCTGAAACTTCATCAGAATGGCCTTTATAGTTCATACTTCTATCTGCGTTCTGGTTGTGACCACTTAATGGATCTCTAAAGAGGTCCAGTCTTTCCCTAGTCTTGTCTTCTAAGCCCTCACCAGAATCTAGGCCTTTTCTAGCCTGCTCCCCCAAATTCTTGCAGCTTCTGCCCATTACTCAGTTTCAAAGCTGCTTCTACATTTTTGGTTATTTTTTATTAGCAGCACCTCACTCTCAGTACCAATTTTCTGTCTTAGTCCATTTTCTGTTGCCTACAACAGAATCCCTGCAACTGGATTATTTATGTTTGTCTGACAGAATCTCACTCTGTTACCCAGGCTAGAGGGTAATGATGCCACAATAGCTCACTGCAACCTCAAACCTCTGGGCTCAAGTGATCTTCCTGCCTCAGCCTCCCGAGTAGCTGGGACTACAGGTGTGCGACACCATACCTGGCCTGAAACTGGGTAATTTATAAAAGAAAAGATTTTATTTCTTACAGCTATGGAGGCAGAGAAGTCCAAGGTCAAGGGGCCGCATCTGGTGAGAGTCTTCTTGCTAGTGGGGACTCTGCAAAGTCCAGAGATGGTGCGGGACATCAATGGTGAGGCGCTGAGCATACTTACGGGATAGCTCAGGTCTCTTCCTCTTCTTACAAAGCCTTCAGATCCCCTCCCTGGTAACCCATTGATCTATTAATCCACAAATGAGAGCAGAGCCCTGGTGATTCAGTCACCCCCTTAAAGGCCTTACCTCTCAGTACTGCCACATTGGAGACTGGAGATTAAATTTCTTTCCTTTTTTTTTGAGATGGAGTTTCACTCTTGTTGCCCAGGCTGGAGTGCAATGACGTGGTCTTGGCTCACTGCAGCCTCCGCCTCCCAGTTCAAGTGAGTCTCCTGCCTCAGCCTCCCGAGTAGCTGGGATTACAGGTGCCCACCACAATGCACGGCTAATTTTTTGTATTTTTAATAGAGATGGGGTTTCAACATGACGGCCAGGCTGGTCTCAAACTCCTGACCTCAGGTGATCTGCCCCCCTCAGCCTCCCAAAGTGCTGGGATGACATGGACATGAGCCACCATGCCTGGCTCTTTTTTTTTTCCAAAAAAAAAAAAAGGGTCTCGTTATGTTGCCCAGGCGGGTCTGGAACTCCTAGGCTCAAGCAATCCTCCCGCCTTGGCCTCCTCCCAGACTACTGGGATTACAGGTGTGAGCCACCATGCTCGGCCAAGTTCTTTCAACTTTTATCTTTGGAAAATATTTTGATTTCGCCTTCATTTTTGAAGGATGTTGCTGGATATATAATATGTAATTTACTTTGCCTCTGAGTGCTTGTAAGATTTTCTCTTTATCACTGGCTTGTAGCTGTTTGATTATGATGTGCCTTGGTGTGGCTTTCTTTGTTTTTATCCTTCTTGGGGGTTATTGATCTTGGATTTGTAGCTCTATTATTTTCGTTTTATTTGGAATCTTTTCCATCACAGTTTCTATTTTTTTTTTTTTGAGACGGAGTTTCACTCTTGTTGCCCAGGCTGGAGTGCAATGGCACGATCTCGGTTCACCGCAACCTTTGCCTCCCAGGTTCAAGCAATTCTCCTGCCTCAGCCTCCCGAGTAGCTGGGATTACAGGCGCCTGCCACCACACCCAGCTAATTTTTTTGTATTTTTAGTAGAGACAGGGTCTTGCCATGTTGGCCAGGCTGGTCTTGAACTCCTGACCTCGGGTGATCCACCCGCCTCGGCCTCCCAAAGTGCTGGGATGACAGGCGTGAGCCACCGCACCCAGCCCACAGTTTCTTACAATGTTTTTCTGCCACCCTCCCACACCAAGAGGAATTCTAATTTTATTTATTTATTTTTGTTTTCATTATTATTTTTTGAAACAGAGTCTCACTCTGTTGCCCATGCTATAGTGTAGTCTCATGATCTCTGCTCACTGCAACCTCCACTTTCCAGATACAAGCAATTCTCCTGTCTCAGCCTCCCGAATAACTGGGACTACAGGTGTCCACCACTACGCCCGGCTAATTTTTGTATTTTTAGTAGAGATGGGGTTTCACCATGTTGGCCAGGCTGGTCTCAAACTTCTGACCTCAGGTGATCCACGCAACTCGGCCTCCCCAAGTGCTGGGATGACAGGCGTGAGCCATCCCTCCTAGCCAGGAATTGCAATTTTAGGTGAAATTTGCTTCCTGTTGCCCTCGGGGCACTGTGGCCCTGTTTGCTGGTGCCTTCCTGCTCCTTCACTCGCCTTCGGGGCGCTGTGGCCCTGTTTGCTGGTGCCTTCCTGCTCCTTCACTCGCCTTCGGGGCGCTGTGGCCCTGTTTGCTGGTGCCTTCCTGCTCCTTCTTCACTTGCCTTCGGGGCACTGTGGGTCTGTTTGCTAGTGCCTTCCTGCCTCTTCGCTCGCCTTCGGGGCACTGTGGCCCTGTTTGCTGCTGCCTTCCTGCTCCTTCACTCGCCTTCGGGCGCTGTGGCCCTGTTTGCTGGTGCCTTCCTGCCCTTCGCTCGCCTTCGGGGCACTGTGGCCCTGTTTGCTGGTGCCTTCCTGCCTCTTCGCTCGCCTTCGGGGCACTGTGGCCCTGTTTGCTGGTGCCTTCCTGCCTCTTCGCTCGCCTTCGGGGCACTGTGGCCCTGTTTGCTGGTGCCTTCCTGCCTCTTCGCTCGCCTTTGGGGCACTGTGGCCCTGTTTGCTGGTGCCTTCCTGCTCCTTCTTCACTTGCCTTCGGGGCACTGTGGCCCTGTTTGCTGGTGCCTTCCTGCCCCTTCGCTCGCCTTCGGGGCACTGTGGGTCTGTTTGCTGGTGCCTTCCTGCCTCTTCGCTCGCCTTCGGGGCACTGTGGCCCTGTTTGCTGGTGCCTTCCTGCTCCTTCTTCACTTGCCTTCGGGGCACTGTGGGTCTGTTTGCTGGTGCCTTCCTGCCTCTTCGCTCGCCTTCGGGGCACTGTGGCCCTGTTTGCTGGTGCCTTCTTGCTCCTTCTTCACTTGCCTTCGGGGCACTGTGGGTCTGTTTGCTGGTGCCTTCCTGCCTCTTCGCTTGCCTTCGGGGCACTGTGGCCCTGTTTGCTGGTGCCTTCCTGCCTCTTCGCTCGCCTTCGGGGCACTGTGGCCCTGTTTGCTGCTGCCTTCCTGCTCCTTCACTCGCCTTCGGGGCGCTGTGGCCCTGTTTGCTGGTGCCTTCCTGCCCCTTCACTCGCCTTCGGGGCACTGTGGCCCTGTTTGCTGGTGCCTTCCTGCCCCTTCGCTCGCCTTCGGGGCGCTGTGGCCCTGTTTGCTGGTGCCTTCCTGCCCCTTCGCTCGCCTTCGGGGCGCTGTGGCCCTGTTTGCTGGTGCCTTCCTGCCTCTTCGCTCGCCTTCGGGGCGCTGTGGCCCTGTTTGCTGGTGCCTTCCTGCCTCTTCGCTCGCCTTCGGGGCACTGTGGCCCTGTTTGCTGGTGCCTTCCTGCCTCTTCGCTTGCCTTCGGGGCACTGTGGCCCTGTTTGCTGGTGCCTTCCTGCCTCTTCGCTTGCCTTCGGGGCACTGTGGCCCTGTTTGCTGGTGCCTTCTTGCTCCTTCTTCGCTTGCCTTCGGGGCACTGTGGCCCTGTTTGCTGGTGCCTTCTTGCTCCTTCTTCACTTGCCTTCGGGGCACTGTGGCCCTGTTTGCTAGTGCCTTCCTGCCTCTTCGCTTGCCTTCGGGGCACTGTGGCCCTGTTTGCTGGTGCCTTCCTGCTCCTTCTTCACTTGCCTTTGGGGCACTGTGGCCCTGTTTGCTGGTGCCTTCCTGCCCCTTCGCTCGCCTTTGGGGCACTGTGGCCCTGTTTGCTGGTGCCTTCCTGCTCCTTCTTCACTTGCCTTTGGGGCACTGTGGCCCTGTTTGCTGGTGCCTTCCTGCCCCTTCGCTCGCCTTCGGGGCACTGTGGCCCTGTTTGCTGGTGCCTTCCTGCCTCTTCGCTCGCCTTCGGGGGCACTGTGGCCCTGTTTGCTGGTGCCTTCCTGCCTCTTCGCTCGCCTTCGGGGGCACTGTGGCCCTGTTTGCTGGTGCCTTCCTGCCTCTTCGCTCGCCTTTGGGGCACTGTGGCCCTGTTTGCTGGTGCCTTCCTGCTCCTTCTTCACTTGCCTTCGGGGCACTGTGGCCCTGTTTGCTGGTGCCTTCCTGCCCCTTCGCTCGCCTTCGGGGCACTGTGGGTCTGTTTGCTGGTGCCTTCTTGCTCCTTCTTCACTTGCCTTCGGGGCACTGTGGGTCTGTTTGCTGGTGCCTTCCTGCCTCTTCGCTTGCCTTCGGGGCACTGTGGCCCTGTTTGCTGGTGCCTTCCTGCCTCTTCGCTCGCCTTCGGGGCACTGTGGCCCTGTTTGCTGGTGCCTTCTTGCTCCTTCTTCACTTGCCTTCGGGGCACTGTGGGTCTGTTTGCTGGTGCCTTCCTGCCCCTTCGCTCGCCTTTGGGGCACTGTGGCCCTGTTTGCTGGTGCCTTCCTGCTCCTTCTTCACTTGCCTTTGGGGCACTGTGGCCCTGTTTGCTGGTGCCTTCCTGCCCCTTCGCTCGCCTTCGGGGCACTGTGGCCCTGTTTGCTGGTGCCTTCCTGCCTCTTCGCTCGCCTTCGGGGCACTGTGGCCCTGTTTGCTGGTGCCTTCCTGCCTCTTCGCTCGCCTTCGGGGCACTGTGGCCCTGTTTGCTGGTGCCTTCCTGCCTCTTCGCTCGCCTTCGGGGCACTGTGGCCCTGTTTGCTGGTGCCTTCTTGCTCCTTCTTCACTTGCCTTCGGGGCACTGTGGGTCTGTTTGCTGGTGCCTTCCTGCCTCTTCGCTTGCCTTCGGGGCACTGTGGCCCTGTTTGCTGGTGCCTTCCTGCCTCTTCGCTCGCCTTCGGGGCACTGTGGCCCTGTTTGCTGGTGCCTTCCTGCCCCTTCCCTCGCTGTGCTGCAATGTGGGCATGTTCTGTGGGTTTGTCTTCAAGTCCATTGACCTTTTCTTTTGCCTTTGAGGTCTTTTTTGTTTGTTTATTTTGTTTTGTTTTTATTTCTAAAAGGTCACCTTAGGTTCAGAAGCCTTTGTGGTCTCATGTTCATTCCACCATTGAACTTTTCATTTCAGATGTAGGTTTTTCAGCTGTAGAAGTTCTACTGGATTCTTCTTTATACCTTTCATTCCTTTCCTCATTACCACGTTTTCCTTTAAACCTGTGAAATTACTCATTTGGCTTTTTAAAAGTTCTTATCTGCTAATTCCACCATCTTTATCATGTCTGGATGTTCTTCAGGGTTTTGTTTTGTTTTGTTTGAGATGGAGTCTCACTCTGTCACCCAGGCTGGAGTGCAGTGGCGCGATCTCAGCTCACTGCAACCTCTGCCTCTCAGGTTCAAGCGATTCTCCTGCCTCAGCCTCCCGAGTAGCTGGGACTACAAATGCACGCCACCACGCCCGGCTAATTTTTGTATTTTTAGTAGAGATGGGGTTTTGTCATGTTGACCAGGCTGGCCTCAAATTCCTGACCTCAAGTGATCTGCACGCCCAGCCTCCCGAAGTGCTGGGATGACAGGCATGAGCCACCACACCCGGCCTGGATGTTCTCCAGCTGATGGATGTTTCTCTTGGCTATGGGTGACATTTTCACCTCTGTGTGTTTAGTAATTTTTTTGATAGATATTGTGAATGTTACATTGTTGAGGGTCTGAAATTTGTCTTCCTTTCAAAATTATTGAATTTTTTTGCAGGCAGCTTAATGACTGTAGATCAGCTTAGTCCTTTGAGGCTTGTTTCTGAGCTTGGCTGAGGCTGGTCTACAGCGGCCTTTACTCCAGGTTAGCCGTGCTCCTGGTAGGGCTGGACCCTTCGCAGTTCTCACTGAGTGCCGCCACTGGGCAGCAAGGCCCACCACTCTGGCTCATCACACTTTGAGCACCTCCCAGGCCTGCAAGCTATTTGGGGATTGTCTGCTGTCAGCTCCCCGTGGCTTGTGGCCTGGCCCCATGGTGTGTGCAGCTTAACGTTCATCCAAACACTCATGGCAGCACTGGGGACTTCCTCTTCATGGGTCCCAGTTTCTTTCTCGTACTGGACCCCATAAATGCGAGCCTTCTGTACCTCCCCAGAGTCCAACCTCTGCCTCCTCAACTTAGTGAGTTGATACCATGCCTGTGTTTCCCCTTCATATGCTGTATTCTAGAAAATGCCACCAGGCAGAGAGCTGGCATCATGGGAGGTGCCCCCCCCATCTCCATCCTCCTGGGCAGGTCACAGCACTGCACCCTCCAACATCTAACAGCAGCTGTTGCATGGATTTTGTCCAGCTTTCTAGTTTAGGGCAGGAGGGCAAGTCCAATACTTGTTAATCATGGCTGGAAGGGGAGGTCACTGTACCATTTTTTATGTAACCGGTAAATATAAATTGGTAAGGAGTTGACAATCCTATTAATTTGGAGTCAGCTACCTGGTGGCTATCAGTCTCATTCTCTCTCCTGCCCACCTTTCCTGCCTGTGTTCCTGGCGTTCTTTTTGAAAGCAGGCTGCAAGCAGTCACATCGTCACCCTGGGGCATTTCCCTGTGCTTTGTGCTGCCTGGAAGAGCTCATAGCCAAGGAAGGGTGAAGACGGCGCGCTGCGGTGTGCGGCTTCTAGGCTGTGGAGCTCTAGTGTTGCCTTTTGGGTTCAGGGACCCACTGGGCCACTGTGAGGTGGGCTGGAGCTGCATTTCACCGACTGCCTTGCTGCAGGAGCCCTGCTCTGACTGGAGGGCCACAGAGCACACCGGGCCCCCCCGTAAGCCAGGTACGAGACTACCCGTCTCCTGCAGCAGGGCTCGGGGACCTCCCCATGGAGCCACAGGCATGGGCTTGGGGAGAGGCCCAGTGGAGAATAGAGGGTGGCACGGGGACCTGGGCCATCCTTGTGCCTTCTGGACCTGCCCAAGCCCAATCTTGGACTCCACTTCCATCTCCCAGTAAACTCCTGACGGCCCCTTGGATGTGCGACTGGTAGCTCCGACAGCACCCAGTCACGATGGGCAGCGCCAGTCTCATAAACACCGTGGCCTCCACGGTCAGGGCCCGAACACTTGCCCGCACCACCTACCAGCTGGTGGAGTCCCCTGAACATGACGGGGCCCTGCGCCGGTGGCCTTGGGCCTGGGCTGCACATCCTGCACTGAGGCTCGTCACGGGCGCCACTCGTGTCTTTGCCACACATGTGAAGCCTGTGGGAACTTCACGGCCACATGACCCACGTGGCAGGACTGCCTGTCACCCAGCCTGGGCCTGCCTCAGCCCCTTCCCTTGCTCCAGACCCCACTCAGAGCCGACGGCTTTCCCTCTCCCCCGCCAAGGGCAGAACATATTGCCTTCAAGCCCAAAGAGGCATCGGGCCTGCCCCAGCACCCTACAGGCCACCGCACCCTGAGAACATTGCTCATGGGGCAGGTCTCTGAAGTGTACGGAGTCTGCCTCCTGCCCTCCACAGCGCCCGTGTTTTTCTGAGGCCATCAGCGCACCTGCTATCTCTGCATGAGTCCAGTGCCCATTAAGGCATCCACTGAATGGGCCAACCTTTGCTCGTGGACCATCCAGTGGGTCAGGCCTTTGGGCCATGTTGGGACGAGGCACCCCACTCGGTTCTGGAGCGACCGTACCTGTGTGCCGCTGTTGGCCCCGCGTGGGCAGGAACTGCTCCGATTCCCCTTCCAAACAGGTTTCGGAAATGATGTGTTTATCAGACCAGTAGCCAAAAACCACATGCACGTGGCCACATCAGTCTCTTCTGGAAAGACCATGTGGATGGCCACAAGCGTGCCTCAGCTACTACTGTTTAAGCCTGTGGTAGTCCACTGCTGTCCACCACGGTCATGCAGCTTCCGCAGGGGTTGGGTTTCCAGATTGTAAGGCGGGTGGGGACAGGCAGATGGGGACAAGGGGGACAAGAACAAGAGGGACAGGGACAAGGGAGTGTATGGGGACAAGGGGAATGGGGATGAGGGGGATGGAACAAGGCGGGTGGGGACAAGAGGGACAGGGATAAGGGGGATGGGGACAAGGAGGGCAGGGTAAAGGGGGATGTGAATTAAGGGGACAGGAACAAGGTGGATAAGGGGACGGGGACAAGAAGGATGAGGACAAGGGGGATGGGGATGAGAGGGATGGGGATAAGGTGGGCGGGGATGAGGGGGACAGAAACAAGGGGGATGGGGATGAGGTGGGTGGGGACAAGGGACAGGAAGAAGGTGGGTGGGGACGAGGGGCACAGGGACTAGGGGCACTGGGACGAGGAGCCTGGGGACGAGGGGGATGGGAGCAAGGCGAGTGCGGATCTTTTACGTCTTCACAGGTGGCCTTAACGCCTGCCATTCTCCACAGAGGGTAGAGTTGCAGGAGCTTCCACTTTGATTTTCCCACTACAAGACTCACTCTGTTGATCAAGGAACCAGTTGAGGTTTTGCCCAGTTGCCAGGTGTGTCCAAAGTGATTTTGTTCCTTTCACAGGACATTCTGCCTCCCTGACAGCGCGGGGGATGCTTCCATGGCCTCCACAAGTTATAAAATACTCCAACACCAGTAGTATGTTAGTTACACCAGGGTGCCATTAAAAATACTGCAGAGTAGGTTACTTAACAACAGAAATTAATTATTCTCTCACAGTTCCGGAAGCCAGAAGAGACTAAAGTGTCCCAGGTTGGGTTTTGCCGGAGGCTCCTCTCCTTGGCTTGCCGATGGCCGCCTTCTTGCTGTGTCCTTGTGTGGCCTCCCTCCCTCCTCCGTGTGCACACACATCCCATGCTGTATCCCTGCGTGGCCTCCCTCCCTCCGTGTGCACACACATCCCATCCTGTGTCCCTGCGTGCCCCTCCCTCCTCTGTGTGCACACACATCCCATGCTGTGTCCATGCGTGGCCTCCCTCTCTCCGTGTGCACACACATCCCATCCTGTGTCCCTGCGTGCCCCTCCCTCCTCTGTGTGCACACACATCCCATCCTGTGTCCCTGCGTGCCCCTCCCTCCTCCGTGTGCACACACATCCCATGCTGTATCCCTGCGTGCCCCTCCCTCCTCTGTGTGCACACACATCCCATCCTGTGTCCCCGCGTGGCCTCCCTCCTCTGTGTGCACACACATCCCATGCTGTGTCCATGCGTGGCCTCCCTCCCTCCGTGTGCACACACATCCCATCCTGTGTCCCTGCGTGCCCCTCCCTCCTCTGTGTGCACACACATCCCATGCTGTGTCCATGCGTGGCCTCCCTCCCTCCGTGTGCACACACATCCCATCCTGTGTCCCCGTGAGGCCTTCCTTCCCTCCATGTGCACACATATCCCATCCTGTGTCCCTACGTGGCCCTCCCTCCTCCGTGTGCATGTACATCCCACGCTGTGTCCATGCGTGGCCCTCCCTCCTTCCTCCATGTGCACATACATCCCATGCTGTGTCCCCTCGAGGCCCTACCTCCCTCCATGTGCACACACATCCCATGCTGTGTCCCCGCAAGGCCCTCCCTCCCTCTGTGCAAACACACATCCCATGTCTCTCTGTGCATCCAAATTTCCTCCTCTTAGAAGGACCCTAGTCAGATCAGGTTAGGGCCCACCCAAAGGCCCCATTTTAACTTTACTACCTCTTTAGAGGCCCTATCTCCAAATCCAATCACATTCTCAGGTACCGGGCATTAGGTTCAGCATTTCAATTTGGGGGGAAACAAATCAACCCATAACAGGTGGATTTCCCAAAGCCTGCATTATTCAATTGTAATCAAACACACATTATTATGTATTTTCCCTGTAAAATAAGAGACAAGATCCAGGCTTGGTGGCTCAGGTCTATAATCCTGGCACTTTGGAAGGCTGAGGCAGGCAGATGCCCAGGAGTTTGACACCAGCCTGGCCAACATGGCAAAATCTCGTGTCCACAAAAAATACAAAAATTAGCCAGACGTGGCGGCATGCACCTGTTGTCTCAGCTACTCAAGCAGCTGAGGTGGGAGGATTTCTTGAGCCCAGGAGGATGAGGTTGCAGTGAGCCAAGATCGCACCACTGCTCTCCAGCCTGAATGACAGAGTGAGACCCTGTCAAAAAAAAAAAAAAGGCAAGGTTTTCTTCCAAGTGGGAAGAAAGATGGTGGATAGGATTTTTACGGAGTGTTGAAAGAGCTACTTGGAGAATCAGAAAGAAGATTAGTTGTTGGGAGGCACAGAGTGAGTACTGAGAAAACCAAGGGCCCAACTGAGGCTTGAAACTGCCAATTCTCCATTTACTGTCTTTCAGCTTCAAATACATACTTCATCGCCTGCTTGGTGAAAATGGAGCTGGGCCCTAAATTGTTTCTCCTTTAAAGCAGGTATGACGTTAAGCTTTGTAAGTAGAGGGCACTGGAGGGACCCTGCAGGAGGAAAGTGCTTCTCTTCCTGTTCTGCACTTTCTTCTGTTTTCTTCTTGTTCCTGCCATGTGGCTGCCAGCACACTCAGTGTTGCTCACCCCCAGCCAACTTCACTTGCAATGCCATGGGTGGATCCCCGTGAGTCTTGCAGATGCTCCACTGGTCAGCATCCAGCCTCAGCCTGCCCCAGAGAGGTGTTTCCTGCTTGCCAGTCCTGGCCAGGCTCCCTACCTGCCACCTTCAACCCCTCTACACCTGCAGGAGTGATTGCCCATTGACTGTGGACCAGCTCTGGCTACGGGAAAACCAGAGAACCTCTCCATCATCCATACTGCACCAAACAGCATCTCTGCAACCACACCTTTTCCAAGATTTGAGCCCCAGCCTTGGGGAGGAGGCCATCTTTCACATTTTCTCCTTCCTTGGGAACTCTCTGTCAGCCCAGAGTATTCTTTTGCATTATCTTTAGCCCTGTACAGATAATTCCATTATAGTAAATAATCCTTTATATTAAACGTTCCTTGCCCAAATGACTGTGCAGTTTCTGTCTGCTGATTGATTGCGCCCTGATGCAGAAAGGTAAAGTAACTTGACATGTTGCACAGCTGGCCCACACAATCACACAGCTGAGACTGCACAAGGACAGCTTCCTCTCAAATGTGTTGGAAATAAGAGCTTGGAGTCGCAAAGAAAATGAGCACTCAAGGCTGGGCGCGGTGGCTCACACCTGTAATCCCAGCACTTTGGGAGACCAAGGTGGGCAGATCACGAGGTCAGGAGATCTAGAGCATCCTGGCAAATATGGTGAGACCCCGTCTCTACTAAAAAAAATACAAAAAATTAGCCGGGCAAGATGGCGGGCACCTGTAGTCCCAGTTACTCGGGAGGCTGAGGCAGGAGAATGGCGTGAACCCAGGAGGCGGAGCTTGCAGTGACCTGAGATTGCACCACTGCACTCCAGCCTGGGCAACAGAGCAAGACTCTGTCTGAAAAAAAAAAAAAAGAAAAGAAAGAAAAAAAAAAAAAGAAAATGAGCACTCAAATACTAAAAACACACACAAAAAATTAGCCAGGGCTGGTGGTAGACACCTGTAATCCCAGCTACTCAGGAGGCTGAGGCAGGAGAATCGCTTGAACCTGGGAGGCAGAGGTTGCAGTGGGCCAAGACTGTGTTACTGCACTCCAGCCTGGGCAACAAGAACAAAACTCCATCTCAAAATACAAACAAAAAAAAACTTCCACTGGCTTTTTTTTGAGTGCTCACAAATTTGCCTTCTCAGCAAGGCAAATTTACTTCTGCAGAAGAGTGCCGCTCTCTCTTCTGGCCACTGGGAGAGCACACCGAACAAAGCAGGGCAGGGGTGTTTATCCCTAAAGCAGTCACGCCCTGCTACTGTGTCCAGTCCCCATTGGCTGGAGTCGCACCACACCATCTAAGCCGATCCCCATTGGCTACTTCAAATGGATCAGGGGCGGCTACAGTGGCCAAATAAGGAACAGATGTGGGTTTTACAGGTTGGGCTGCAGATTGGGAACAGATGTGGGTTTTACAGGTTGGGCTGCAGATTGGGAACAGATGTGGGTTTTACAGGTTGGGCTGCAGATTGGGAACAGATGTGGGTTTTACAGATTGGGCTGCAGATTGGGAACAGATGTGGGTTACAGATTGGGTTATAGATTGGGAGTGGCTGGAAGGTTGTTTGCTGTAAAGTGGAACCTTTGAAGAGGAACTCACTGTATCTAACAAATGTAAATCCAATTATGTCGAGTCTACTTCAAAACTTCCTGCCAGGTGTGGTGGCTCACACCTGTAATCCCAGGAAGTGGGCACGTTTTCCATGGCCAGAGCAGGAGGAGGAGAGGAGTGGGGAGGTGCCACATACTTTTTTTTTTTTAATTCTCCAATTTAAAACTTTTAGTTAAAAAGTAAACTTTAATGTTGAAAATGCAAACTTGGGGCAGGTAGAAAGATTACACACAAGGCTATCACTTCACATTTGGAGGGTTGCACAGCAGCCGGGCAAAGGCGCTCCTCACTTCCTAGACAGTCGGGGGACCCGGGCAGAGACGCTCCTCACTTCCCAGACAGTGGGGGTACCCGGGCAGAGGTGCCCCTCACTTCCCAGACGATGCCGAGGCTGGGGTGCCACATACTTTTAACAGACCAGATCTCAAGAGAACTCACTATCACCAGAAGGGCACCAAGTGGGAAATCCGCCCACATGATCCAATCACCTCCCACCAGACCCCACCTCCAGCATTGAGGATGACAGTTGACATGGGATTTGGGTGGGGACACAGACCCAAACCATATCACTCCTGAAGAGCTAGGACTACAGGAATGCTATACCTGGCTAATTGTTTTTCTTTTTTTCGTTTGTTTGTGTTTTTTTTTTTTTAGATGGAGTCTCACTCTGTTGCCAAGGCTGGAGTGCAGTGGTGTGATCTCAGCTGACTGCAACCTCCCAGGCTGGAATGCAGTGGTACAATCTTTGCTTACTGCAACCTCTGCCTCCCGTGTTCAAGAGATTCTCCTGTCTCAGTTTCCCGAGTAGCTGGGACTACAGGCGCCTGCCACCACGCCCAGCTAATTTTTTATTTTTAGTAGAGACAGGGTTTCACCATATTGGCCAGGCTGGTCTTGAACTCCTGTCCTCAGGTGATCCACCTGCCTCAGCCTCCCAAAGCGCTGGGATTACAGGAGTGAGCCACTGCGCCTGGCCACACCTGGCTAATTTTAAAAAAATTTCTTGTAGAAATGAAGTCTCACTATGTTGACCAGGCAAGTGTCAAACTAACTCCTGGCTTCAAATGATCCTCCTGCCTCAGTCTCCTAAAGCACTAGTATTAAAGCTGTGAGCCATCATGGTTAGCCTGTTTTTATATCTGGGAACTGTTGCTGTACAAAAATCAAATATGGGGTTGGAGTGGTTCACATCTATAATCCCAGCACTTCAGAAGGCTGAGGTGGGATGATTGCTTGAGTCTAGGAGTTTGATACCAGCCTGGACAACAGGAAGTCTAGGCTGCAGTGAGCTGTGTCGGGCTGCTGCACCCCAGCCTGGGCAACAGAGCAAGCCCTTGCCTCAAAAAAAGAAATCAAATATGAAGACTAAGAGTTTTAGGATTTGGTGTTAAGAGGTTTTGTTTTGCGTTGTTTTGAATTTTTGTGGGCACATAGTAGGCGTACGTATTTATGGGGTACATGTTTTTGTTTCTTTTTTTTTTTTTTTTGAGACAGAGTCTCACTCTGTCACCCAGGCCGGAGTGCAGTGGCGTGATTTCAGTCCACTGCAAGCTCCGCCTCTCAGGTTCAAGTGATTCTCCTGCCTCAGCCCCCGAGTAGCTGGGACTACAGACGAGCACCGCCACACTTGGCTAATTTTTGCATTTTTAGTACAGACGGGGTTTCATCATGTTGGCCAGGCTGGTCTCGAACTCCGGGCCTCAAGTGATCCACCTGCCTCAGCCTCCCATGGGGTATACGTTTTGATACAGGCGTGCAAAGTGTAATAGTCACATCATGGATAGTGGGGTATCCATCCCCTCAAGCATTTATCCTTTGCGTTACAAACAATCCGATTATACTCTGTTACTTTAAAATGTACAATTAAATTATTATTGAATATAGTCACCCTGTTGTGCTATCAAATACTAGGTCTTATTCTTTCTAATTTTTTTGTACCCATTAGTTAAGGGTTTTTTTTTTTTTGAGACAGAGTTTCACTCTTGTCACTCAGGCTGGAGTGCAGTGGTGAGATCTCGGCTCACTGCAACCTCTGCCTCCTGGGTTGAAGCGATTCTCCTGCCTCAGCCTCCTGAGTAGCTGTGATTACAGGTGCACGCCACCATGCCCGACGAATTTTTGTATTTTTAGTAGAGACAGGATTTCACCATGTTGGCCAGGGTGGTCTTGAACTCCTGACCTCAGGTGATCCACCCACCTCGGCCTCCTGAACTGCTGGGATTATGAGACTTACGGTTTACCAAAGGGGTGCGATGGGCCTTCTGTGTGGTGTCCGCATCCTCTCCTAGCTGGTTTCGGGAGAGTGCCGGCCCTCTGGGGCCTCTCTCCCTGGCTCGCCCTTTAGAAGGGGTTCACATAGTTAGAACCTTAGCAGTAAAGGTAACCTGTGCCTTGCGCAGGGCGGGGGACCTGGTGGGGACCCCAGAGGCAATGGTGTCAGCCCCGGTTATGGACTGGCGTCACTTGCGGCAGCCAGGTCCCACATGCACCCACCCTAATTTAATTAGACCAGGCAGCTAGGCAGGAACACGTTTATTTATTTTTAATTAAGCTTTTTGTGATAATTTTAGATTTGCATGCAGCTGTAAGGTGTTTTACAGAGAGATGCTGGGCACCCTTTACCTCCCTCAGTGGTAGCACCTGGAACCCTGCAGTGCACACAGCTGGGGTATTGATGTTCACAGAGTCAGGATATGGTCCTCACCCTTCCACAGCCACACCCACTCCCTCCCTCCAACCCTCCTTCAGGGCTGGCAACCATTCATCTGTTCTGTCCATTTCTGTAATTCTTTTTTCTTTTCTTGTCCTTTCCTTTTCTTTTCTTTTTTTCTCCTTCCTTCCTCCCTTCCTTCCTTCCTTCCCTCCCCTCTCTCTTTCTCTCTTTCTTTCTTTTTCTTTTCTTTCTTTTTTTTTGACAGTCTTGTTCTGTTGCCCAGGCTGGAGTGCAGTGGCGCGATCTTAGCTCACTGCAACCTCCACCTTTCAGGTTCAAGAGATTTTCCCAAGCCTCCCAAGTAGCTGGGATTACAGGCATGCACCATGCCTGGCTAATTTTTGTATTCTTAGTAGAGACGAGGTTTCACCATGTTGGCCAGGCTGGTCTGGAACTCCTGACCTCAGGTGATCCGCCTACCTCGCTTAGCCTCCCAAAGTGCTGGGATTACAGGCATGAGCCACAGTGCCTGGCCCATTTCTGTAATTCCATCTTTTCAAGAATGTCCTGTGAATGGAATCATATACAGTATATATGGAATTGTTCTATTGAGGCCCAGTGTCACCAGTACCCATGGATATACAATCTCCTGGTGGGGCCAGGGTGCACCATGGCTCATGCCTGTAATCCCAGCACTTGGGGAGGCCAAGGTTGGAGGATTGCTTGAGGTCAGGAATTTCAGATCAGCCTGGGCACCATATTGAGACCTGTCTCTACAAAAAATTTTGAAAAGTTAGCCAGGTGTGGTGATGCACTCCTGCAGGCCCAGCTACGTGGTGGGCTCAGGCGGGAGGATGGCTTCAGCCCACGAGGTAGAGGTTACAGTGGCTGTTGCTGGGAAAGTGTGATACATGCAAGAGAATGAAGTTGGACCCTCGTCAGTACCACATACAAAAATTAACTAGAAATGGATCATGCTGGGCACCGTGGCTTGCACCGCTTGTACCTGTAATCCCAGCACTTTGGGAGGCTGAGGAGAGTGGATCACCTGAGGTCGGGAGTTCGAGACCAGCCTGGCCAACATGGTGAAACCCTGTCTCTACTAAAAATACAAAAAAAAATTAGCCAGGTGTGGTGGTGCACACCTGAAATCCCAGCTACTTGGGAGACCGAGGTGGGAGAATCCCTTAAACCCGGGAGGCAGAGGTTGCAGTGAGCCGAGATCACGCCACTGCACTCCAGCCTGGGCAACAGAGCAAGACTGTCTCAAAAAAATAAGTAAATAAAGTAAAATAAAAAGTAAAAATGGATCAAAGATCTGGATGCAAGACCTGAAACAGTAAACTCTTGTTAGAAACTGGGAGCAGAAGCTTTTGACACACACTGGGTTTGGCAATGATTCCTTGGACACCAAAGGTACAGGCAACAACAACAAACAGCCAAATGGCTTCGTGAAAATTAAAGCCTTTTGTTCATCAAAGGACACTCCTAAAAGAGTGAAAAGCTGCCCCTTCCCCACAGAACGGGAGAATATCTGCAAATCACGTGTCCGATGAGGGACTCATATCCAAAATATCGAAGGAACTCCTTGTGGAGGCCAAAGCCGCTCCAGCCTGGATGGTGACTATTGTGTGGGCTTTCGACTAACCCGTCCAGGGAAGGCCTCCGACGTTTCCAGGTGATCTGTTGTTCCTTGTGTAAGGGCAGGCACTTGCTATAAACCCTGCCGCAGGGTCAGACGGCCCTGATGCCGCCCATTGTCCTGCACTTCCCTCCCAACCCTCCCCGTGGTACACAAGCCCTGGGCGGGGGCAATGGTGGGATCCAGTATCTCCTCTTGCCGCTGCCAAGACAGACATGGCTTCTTTTTCTAAGTCCCTGTTAAGTGTTTCTTTCTAAGAAACTGGGTTTGTTAGCCTTTTTCTTTGACCTCTCAGCTTCCTCGGACTTTGGAGACAGGTTTACATAGACCTACTTACCATGGAACACTCCAGAAAACGACTCCCCAAAAACAACCTGATTCAAAAATAGGCAAAGGACTAATTAGACCTCTCTCCCAAGAATGGCCCAATAGGCTGGGCGTGGTAGCTCACACCTCTAATCCTAGCACTTTGGGAGGCCAAGGTGGGCGGATCACCTGAGGTTGGGAGTTCGAGACCAGCCTGACCAACATGGATAAACCCTTGTCTCTACTAAAAATACGAAATTAGCGGGGCGTGGTGGTGGGTGCCTGTAATCCCAGCTACTCGGGAGGCTGAGGCAGGAGAATTGCTTGAACCCAGGAGGTGGAAGTTGTAGTGAGCTGAGATCACGCCACTGTACTCCAGCCTGGGCGACAAAGTGAGACTCCGTCTCAAAAAAAAAAAAAAAAAAGTAAAGAAAAGAATGGCCCAATAAGCACATGAGAGGATGTTCACACCACTCATTCTTAGAGAACTGCAAATCAAAGCCACAATGAGATACCACCTCACACCCATTAGGATGGCAAACAATTAAAATAACAAAACAAACACAAAACAGAAACAACTTAAAACAGAAAAATAACAGGTATTGGCAAGGCTGTGGAGAAGCTAGAACCCTGTGTGCTGCTGTTTGGAATGTAAAATAGTACATAGTACACCTCCTAAGGAGAGCAGCATGGCGGGTCCTCGGCGTGTGGTGCCTGGAGTGACGTCGGGTCCTCGGCGTGTGGTGCCTGGAGTGACCGGCGGGTCCTCGGCGTGTGGTGCCTGGAGTGACCTTGTGACCTGGCCATTCCACTTCTGGGCATATTCCCAGAGCTGTGAAAGCAGGCACTCACGCAGACGTTTGCACCCCTACGTTCACAGCAGCACCATTCCCAGCGGCTCAAGAGTCCGTCAATGGACAAATGGATACACCGAATGTGGTATGGACACACAGCAGAATATTAGCCTTAAAGAAGAAGTCAATTCTGACACACGCTTCAAGAGGGATGAACCTTGAGGACATTGTGCTGAGTGAGATAATCAGTCACAAGAGGACCAATACTGTGTGTGATTCCATTTCTACGAGGTATCCACAGTAGCCAGATTCATAGAAACAAAGTAGAACGGTGGTTTCTAGGGCTGCAGAAGAGGGGAATGGAGAATACTAGAGGATCATAGAAGTTAAAGACTTAAAACAAACTTTAACAATTAGGACAGGATACCAAGGTGCAAATGCCTGGTTAAAATGGATCAAATATTCCATCTACACATTAAACAAAAGCAACTGTTACGCTTGTGCACATGGCAGGCCAGAGGCCCAGATTGTCCCCCTCCACTAAGGTGGTCGCCAGTCGACCAGGCGTGGCTGCATAGTAGCTCTTTTCCAGGATTCTACAGCCTGCAGTAACAAGACGTGCCAAGCTCTCTCTGCTATATCCCGAAATCCAGCACCCTGTGGGTCAGCCCGCAAGGGCCATCCAGCTTCTGTCTCCCAACACTAAGTTCACTTCGTGTCTCTCACGACAGGGAGGAAACAGCATTCCTTGGAGACCTGAAGGGATGCGATGAGCTTAAGAATTTTCGAGAGCTTATCAATCAGTCAGCCCTTGTTCATCCCTGTGCGGATGTGTGGTGGTATTGTGGTGGACCTTTACTGGGCACTCTGCTGAATAACTGGAATGGCACTTGTGCTTTAGTCCGTTTGGCTATCCCTTTCACCCTGGCATTTCATCAACCAGAGGGAGAAAAAATAAGACGTCATAAAGCGAGAGAAGCCCCTTATGGGTCTTTCAACTCTCACGTCTATTTGGATGCAGTTGGGGCCCCTCAAGGAACACCAGATCAATTAAAGCTTGAAATCAAATAGCTATAGGATTTACGTCAATATTTTAGTAGGTGACAGTTAATAAAAGTGTAGATTAGATAAACTACATCTATTACAACCAACAGCAACAAGCTTTTCATGAGTTAAAAGAAAAACTCCTGTTGGCCCCAGCCCTGAGTCTACCTGACGTGACAAAACCTTTTACACTCTATGTGTCAGAAAGAGAAAAAATGGCATTTGGAGTTTTAACCTAGACTGTGGGGCCCTGGCTAAGGGCAGTGGCCTATCTCTCTAAACAACTATAGGGGGTTTCCAAAGCCTGGCCCCCGTGTCTAAGGGCCCCGGCAGCAACGGCCCTGTTAGCACAAGAAGCAGATAAACTAACTCTTGGACAAAACCTGAATATAAAGGCCCCCCATGCTGTGGTAACTTTGATGAATCCCAAAGGACATCATTGGCTAACAAATGCTAGATTAACCAAGTACCAAAGCTTGCTGTGTGAAAATCCCCACATAACCACTGCAGTTTGCAACACCCTAAACCCCAGCACCTTGCTCCCGGTATCGGGGAGCCCAGTTGAACATAACTGTGTAGAGGTGTTGGACTCAGTTTATTCTAGCAGGCGCAACCTCCGAGACCATCCTTGAACATCAGTAGACTGTGAGCAGTACGTGGATAGCAGCAGCTTCGCCAACCCCTGCAAAGTGACTCTGAGGAAGACGACAAGCCCTGCTCCAGTCACGCCCAGAAGCTGACTGGTCCATGCACGGCCGAAGCATGAGGAAACTCATCGCAGGACTCGTTTTCCTTAAAATTTGGACTTGTACAGTAAGGACTTCAACTCACCCTCCTCAGACTGAGGACTGTTCCTAGTGTATACATCAAGTCACTGAGGGAGGACAAAATGTTGCTACAGTCCCATTATTTTACGGTTATTATAAGTGTACTGGAACTCTAAAAAGAACTTGTTTGTATAATGTTATTCTATACAAGGTATGTGCCCAGGAAATGACCAACCTGATGTGTGTTATGACCCATCTGAGCCTCCCATGACCACAGTTTTTCAAATAAGATTAAGAATTAAAGACTGGTGGGGGCTCATAAACAATATGAGTAAAGTGTTAGCCAAAAAAAACAAACAAAAAGAGGTGCCCAAACAAGTCACCTTGAAGTGTGATGCCTGTGCTGTCATTAATACTAATAAGTTAGGAATAGGATGTGGTTCTCTTCATTAGGAAAGAGGCTGTATGGCAGAAAATAAGTACATTTATCATGAGTTAGGACTGTGTGGAAATGAATGTAGTTACTGGTCTTGTGTCATTTAGGCTACTTGGATAAAAAATGAAAAAAATTCTGTCCACCTTCAGAAAAGGAAAAGTGGCCCTTCCTATACCAGTGGTCAGTGTAACCCCTTAGAACTAGTAATAACCAACCCCCTTAATCCTCGCTGGAAAAAAAGGAAATGTGTAACCCTAGAATTTTTTTTTTTTTTTGAGATGGAGTCTCGGTCTGTCACCCAGGCTGGAGTGCAGTGGAGCGATCTCGGCTCACTGCGAGCTCTGCCTCCCGGGTTCACGCCATTCTCCTGCCTCAGCCTCCTGAGTAGCTGGGACTACAGGTGCCCGCCACCACACCCGGCTAATTTTTTGTATTTTTAGTAGAGATGGGGTTTCACCGTGTTAGCCAGGATGGTCTCGATCTCCTGACCTCGTGATCCGCCCGCCTCTGCCTCCCAAAGTGCTGGGATTACAGGCGTGAGCTACCGTGCCCGGCCATAACCCTAGAAATTCATGGGGCTGGACTGGATCTTCAAGTAAATATTGTGGTTTGAGGAGAAGTTTATAAACGCTCTCCTGAGCCAGTATTTCAAACCTTCTATGATGAACTGAATGTGCCAGCACCAGAAATTCCAGGAAAAATAAGAAATTTGTTTGCAATTAGCTGACCATGTAGCCCAGTCTCTCAATGTCACTTCATGCTATGTGTGTGGAGGAACTATAATAAAAGACCAATGGCCACGGGAAGCCCAAGAATTAGTACCTACAGACCCAGTTCCTGACGAATTCCTGGCTCAGAAAAATCACCCTGATAACTTCCGGGTCCTAAAAGCCTCAATCACTAGACAATACTGTATAGCAAGAGTAAGGGGCCGGGCGCGGTGGCTCACGCCTGTAATCCCAGCACTTTGGGAGGCCGAGGCGGGCGGATCACAAGGTCAGGAGATGGAGACCATCCTGGCTAACACGGTGAAACCCCGTCTCTACTAAAAATATAAAAAATTAGCCAGGCGTGGTGGCGGGCGCCTGTAGTCCCAGCTGCTCGGGAGGCTGAGGCAGGAGAATGGCGTGAACCCGGGAGGCAGAGCTTGTAGTGAGCTGAGATCACGCCACTGCACTCCAGCCTGGGTGACAGAGCAAGACTCCGTCTCAAAAAAAAAAAAAAAAAAAAAAGAGTAAGGAAGGACTTCACCCTTCCTGTAGGACGACTCAGCTGCCTTAGGCAAAAACTGTATAATGGTACTACAAAAACAGCCACCTAGTGGAGTTCAAACCATACTAAGAAAAATCCATTTAGTAAATTCCCAAAGTTGCAAACCGTGTGGACCCATCCGGAGTCCCACCGAGACTGGACAGCCCCCACTGGATTATACTGAATGTGTGGGCATAGGCCTTACACCAAATTACCCGACCAGTGGGCAGGCAGTTGTGTGATTGGCACTATTAAACCATCTTTCTTCCTACTGCCTATAAAGACAGGTGAACTCCTGGGCTTCCCTATGTTTCCCGCGAAAAGAGAAGCATAGCTATAAAAAAATAAGAAAGATAATAAATGGCCCCCTGAGAGAATGATGGAATATTATAGGCCTGCTACTTGGGCACAAGATGGCTTGTGGGGATACCGGACCCCCATCTACATGCTCAACCAAATCATACGGTTACAAGCTGTCTTAGAAATAATCACTAATAGGACCGGCAGAGCCTTGACTATTCTGGCCCGGCAAGAAACTCAGATGAGAAATGCTATCTATCAAAATAAATTGACTCTCGACTACTTGCTAGCAGCTGAAGGAGAAGTCTGTGGGAAATTGAACCTTACCAATTGCTGCCTGCACATACATGATCGGGGCAAGTAGTTGAAGATACAGTTAAAGACATGACGAAACTGGCACATGTGCCTGTACAAGCGTGGCACGGATTTGATCCTGAGGCCATGTTTGAAAATGGTTCCCAGCGCTAAGAGGATTTAAAACTCTTATAATAAAAATTACAGTAGTAATAAGAACCTGCTTACTGATCCGTTGTTTACTACCTGTACTCCTTCAAATGGTAAAAGGTTTCATCACTACTCTAGTTCACCAGAATGCTTCAGCACAGCCGAGCGCGGTGGCTCACGCCTGTAATCCCAGCTTTTTGGGAGGCTGAGGCAGGCGGATCATGAGGTCAGGAGATCGAGACCATCCTGGCTAACGCGGTGAAACCCCGTCTCTACTAAAAATACAAAAAAAAAAAATTAGCTGGGCATGGTGGCGGGCGCCTGTAGTCCCAGGTACTCAGGAGGCTGAGGCAGGAGAATGGCGTGAACCCGGGAGGCGGAGCTTGCAGTGAGCCGAGATCGCGCCCCTGCACTCCAGCCTGGGCGACAGAGCAAGACTCCGTCTCAAAAAAAAAAAAAAAAAAAAAAAAAAAAAGAATGCTTCAGCACAAGTGTACTTCATGAATCACTATCGCTCTGTCATGCAGGAAGACATAGCTAGTGAGGAAGAAGGTGAGAACTCCCACTAATAAAATGAGTGAGAGTCTCAAAGAGGGGGAATAAGGGAGGAGACTGCCCCTCATATCCTCTTATGCCCAATTTCTGCCTCCAAAGAAAGAAGAAGTAAAAGCTAAAAGGCAGAAATGAAATCTACAGGTAGACAGCCCGGCGCCGCACCCTGGGCCTGGTAGTTAAAGACTGACCCCTGACCTAACCGGTTGTGTTACCTATAGATTCCAGACATTGTAAAAATCCCTGTCCCGTTCTGTTCCGTTCTGATTACCAGTGCATGCAGCCCCCAGTCACGTACCCCCTGCTTGCTCAATTGATCACGACCCTCTCACGCGGACCCCCTTAGAGTTGTGAGCTCTTAAAAGGGACAGGAATTGCTCACTCAGGGAGCTCGGCTCTTGAGACAGGAGTCTTGCCAATGCTCTCGGCCAAATAAACTCCTTCCTTCTTTGACTTGGTGTCTGAGAGTTTTGTCTGCATCTTGTCCTGCTACAAGCTCACGGCAACCTCTGCCTCCTGGGTTCAAGCAATTCTTCTGCCTCAGCCTCCTGAGTAGCTGGGACTATAGGCACGCACCACCACGCCCGGCTATTTTTTGTATTTTTAGTAGAGATGGAGTTTCACCCTGTTGGCCAGACTGGCCTCGAACTCCTGACCTATGATCTGCCCGCCTCGGCCTCCCAAAGTGCTGGGATTATAGGCATGAGCCACCGCACCTGGCCCATACAGCTTTTATAATATTATAGATTTTTTTCTTCCCAATGTTTTAAGAGATGGGGTCTTGGCCGGGCACAGTGGCTCACGTCTGTAATCCCAGCACTTTGGGAGACCAAGGCAGGCAGATCAACTGAGGTCAGGGGTTCGAGACCAGCTTAGCCAACATGGTGAAACCCTGTCTCTACAAAACATACAAAAAATTAGCTGGGCATGGTGGCGGGCCCCTGTAGTCCCAGCTACTCGGGAGGCTGAGGCTGGAGAATCACTTGAACCCAGGAGGTGGAGCTTGCAGTGAGCCGAGATTGCACCACTGCACTCCAGCCTGAGCAACAGAGTCAGACTCCATCCGAAAAAAAAAAACAGTTTTGAAAGTGTTGAGCACCCGATTCTATCGCTGATCGGGGCGCCACTTGTAACCTGCACGGACCTAAGGGGACTGAACAAAGGGGGCGAACTCGGGAATAAAGACAAGAGACAAAAGAGTATATTTGGAAGAGGGCGTCAGGGGGCACCTTGCCTCTAGTGGACAAGGGCCCTGAGCTTTACACAGCCCTCCGTATCTATTAGGCAAAAGAGATAGTGAGAAAAGGGGGGTGATTGTCGGGTAATTGTCAGTCGGCCTTGAACAGGCTGCATCCTTTGGACAATAGAGTATTTCTCAATAGATAACTTCAAGGAGCCCAGAGCCAGGGAGCGAGGCCCTCAGCAAACCTTTTGGTGGCAGGGCAGTGTGAGTTCACCCACATCCTGCATTCATGGTAAACAGTTTGCTGTTTGATCATAGAGCCTCCAGCGGAATGCTGAGTTGGTCACGTCCCACGGGCCTTCGGCTCCCTGCATGAAGCTATGACACAGGTGCCCTCCCTACAGTCTTTCCCAGGCCTGCTGGGTCTCAAGTAGCCATGTGGCACCCAGGGAGGCTGTCAAGGCTGTCTGAGGCCCGAAGTTACATCCTAGGTTAGAGCTCAGGACAGAAGACAGAGCTGTGAAGGCAATGCCTGGAGGATCCAACCTCTCCCAGAATAGCCAGGAGGCAAAACTGGCGAAAGGGGACCACATGGGGCTGGATTCTGCTTGGGAGCTGCTGGTCGAGGCACTGAGAACTTGTCCCCAGACCTCACCATGGCCACCTGTCCAGCCCCGATTCCAGAGGCTCAAAACCAAAAACATAAGTAACAGCAAATCAACAAGTATTAAATTATATGTAACTAACAATTTTGAAGACATTCCTATTGACATAGGATGTTGTTCTCAGTCATTCTGCAAGCCAGGGACCTCCGGCCAGCGACGCCCCGCCAGGGCCTCGCTTGACACACTACCTGCTGCAGGAGACAGCCCGTCAACTCCCCCGAGTTCCCGAATGCTTGTCCACGGCCAAGAAGAATGAGGAGGCTCTGACAATCGAAGAGTGAGCAAGGCGGGGAATTTCACTGGGTGACGGGGCAGCTTTCAGTGGAGAGGGGACATGGCGTGGTCCCCCTACATGAAGGCAGGAAAGTTCCCCATGTTATGGACTCAGAATGGGGAGGGCGTGCTGATTGGTTTGTGAGTAATGCAAAAAAGGTTAAAGCAAAGGCACCACTGAAAGGTGGGCATGACAGTGTAGAAAGCCAATTAGAAAAGGGTAGGTATATGTAAAATAGGTGAAGGGTGGGACCAATCAGAGGAAAGTGCGCCAGACAGGAAGACAGGCTCTCAATCCGGTCTGAGGATTCGACTTGCAGCTTGGCTTTCAGGCTTTAAGCTGTTTTCAGCGTCGAGGTGGAGGTTTCACTGGGGACCTGCCCCCATTTGGCTGGGCATTTGGCTGCCTGCCTCCTGTCGCTATCACTCCTTTACTAGTGAGGACTAAACTGATCTTTTTCTCTCTTGCTCAAGTTCTTATCTAAAGGGCCTGGGGAGTCTGCCCTACAAACCATAAAATGTCATCAGATAGGTTTTATTTAACCCTATATAATTGGCTTAGTTTCCAACCTGACTCTAGCATAACGTCACATGACAGATAAAGGAAATCAAAATATTTTACTCTTTTTTTTTTTTTTTTTTTGAGACGGAGTCTCACTCTGTCGCCCAGGCTGGAATGGAGTGGCGCGATCTCGGCTCACTGCAAGCTCCGCCTCTGGGTTTCACACCGTTCTCCTGCCTCAGCCTCCCGAGTAGCTGGGACTACAGGCGCCCGCCACCATGCCCGGCTAATTTGTTGTATTTTTAGTAGAGACGGGTTTCACCATGTTAGCCAGGATGGTCTCGATCTCCTGACCTCGTGATCCACCCGCCTCGGCCTCCCAAAGTGCTGAGATTACAGGCGGGAGCCACCGTGCCCGGCCTATTTTACTTTTAAATATATTTCTTGGCTATACTTTGGATGCTTTCAGGTCATAGGTGGATTCAAAGATTTTCTGATTGGCAATTGGTTGAATAAGTTAAGTGATTACCTAAGACCTGGAATCTATAGAAAGGCGTGTCTAGGTTTGAACAGTTGGCCACCCTTGTGTGGGTGGAGTATTACATAGGTGCCTAGGCAAGAGACTGAAGGCACAAACTGTTTCAGTATAATAAAGAAAATAGTTAGAATAAGAATAGTCATAATACAAATTAGATATAGAGATGACCATGAACAATTATCAATCATTATTATAAACATTATTAATCATTAGCTTTTACCATTACTCTTTGTTGCATTACTAATATAACCTAGGAATAACCGGCGGATATAGGGTCGGGTGCTGAAGGGACATGGTGAGAAGTGACCTAGAAGGCAAGAGGTGAGCCTTCTGTCACTCCCACATCAGGGCTGCTTGAGGGCTCCTTGGTCAAGCCCTAACGCCAGTGTCTGGGAAGTCACCCGTTGCTTAGTAGACTGCGAAAGGGAGTCTCCTTTCCTTGGAGGAGTCAGGGAACACTCTGCTCCACCAGCTTCTTGTGGGAGGTTGGATATTACCCAGGCCTGGCCGCAGTCATCCGGAGGCCTAAACCCCTCCCTGTGGTGCTTCAATGTTCACGCTCCTTGTCCACTTTCGTGTTCCTCCTGTACTCCTGGTTCCTCTTTGAAGTTCGTAGTCGATAGCGGTAGAAGAAATAGTGAAAGTCTTAAAGTCTTTGATTAATGCTAACTTATGCTGCCTTCTCTCTCTGCTTCCGCTACCTAAGAGGGAAGGGCCCCCTGTCCTGTAATCATGTGACTTGCTTCACCTTGTCAATCACTTAGAAGATTCACCCTCCTTACCCTGGCCCCTTGTCTTGTATGCAATAAATATCAGCGCGCCCAGCCGTTTGGGGCCACTACCGGTCTCTGCGTCTTGATGGTAGTGGTCGCCCGGGCCCAGCTGTTTTCTCTTTATCTCTTTGTCTTGTGTCTTTATTTATTACAATCTCTCATCTCCGCACACGGGGACAACACCCGCTTAGCCCCGCAGGGCTGGACCCTACACCCTTGATTGGCTGGAACTGGGTGACTGGCAGGAGAGCAAGTGACAGTCTGTTCACACCTCCAGTTAGGTTACAGTTCACTTTGTAGGATAAACCTTTAGGCCGACTTTAGGTTATGAGGGCCGGGATCGGTGGTTCACGCCTGTAACCCCAGCACTTTGGGAGGCCAAGTCAGGCGGATCACCTGAGGTCAGGAGTTCAAAACCAGCCTGACCAACATGATGAAACCCCCGTCTCTACTAAAATTACAAAAAAATCAGCCGGGCGTCGTGGCGCTTGGCTGTGACCGGGGCGGGGCCTGCCGGCTGCGGCGGAACCACAAGCGGTGCGGGGCGAGGCGGGCGGCCTGGACGGCCTGGAAGGCCAGCGCGCACCACCGAGACGTGGGCTCCTAGAGGGGCCGGAAGCTTTCGGATAACAACTTCCGCTCGGGAAGTTTGTAAAAGTCTGGGCTACCGGCGCGGCGTAGTGGATGCAGCATCCTAGTGGAGGACGCCCCTGTGGTGAGTGCGCCCGTGTCCCCCGCCGCCCCTCCGTCCCTGGGTCGTGGGCTGTCAAACCTTCTAATTCTGCGGCCGCCCCAGGGCTGTGAGACCCAGCGTCGCGGCTGCTGGGACAGACCGGGGAGGCTGCCCGTGCCCTCGGCTATTCGGGGGCTGTTCTTCAGCTTCTTCCGGCTCGGCCTCCTCTTCTCTCCTCGCTCCTTACACTTGCAGGTTTGTCAGGACCCGGTTGCGTATCCTCTTGAAGCTGGTTTCTTCCTGGCCGACCCCGTCCGCGATCGTGACCTTAGTTATCCCTCATAGACACTTTCCACACCTGTGTCTCCAGCCCTATCGCTCCGATGAGACCCGAGCGCTTAGACTTGATTCATAACACCCAAAGCTCCCCGGCCCCAGGCTGAGCTCCTGCAACCTCCACACCCCACCCTCTGGTCCTCCCAGGCATTCCACCGCGAAGGGGAGGAGGCAGAAACCCGAGATTCGCTTCTTCTCCTTTCCTGCCCACGCCCAGCCACACAGTCACTGGTGCGTTAGCTCCATAACTGAACCATTTGCCTCCTTGCCATTCCCACCCTGTAAGTCCCAATCCTGGCCGTCTTCCTCTCTCACCTGAACGCCTCCCTGTCTTCTCCCCACCCCCATCCTGTTTTGCTGCTTTCTCATTTGTTCATCACAGAGGATCTTTTATAAAATGTAGCTTAGCCAGGCAAGGTGGCTCCCGCCTGTAATCTCAGCTCTTGGGAGGCCGAGGCAGGTGGATCACTTGAGTCCAGGAGTTCTAGACCAGCTTGGTCAGCATGTTGAAACCTTGTCTCTACAAAAAATACAAAAATTAGCCGGGTGTGGTGGTGCACGCCTGTAATCCCAGTTACTCTGGGGAGGCTGAGGCAAGAGAATCGTTTGAACCCAAGAGGCAGAGGTTGCAGTGAGCAGAGATCGCGCCACTGCACTCCAGCCTGGGCGACAGAGCGAGACATCATCTTATTAAAAAAAAAAAAAAAAAAAAGGTAGCTTAGGCCGGATGCTGTGGCTGACGCCTGTAACCCCAGCACTTGGGGAGGCTGAGGCCAGAGGATCTCTTGAGGCCAGGAGTTTGAGATCAGTCTTGGCAACATAGTGAGACCCCGTTTCTGCAAAAAACTTAAAACAATTGCAGGGCATGTTGGCACATGCGCTTTTGGTCCCAGCTACTGGGGAGACTGAGGTGGGAGGATCACTTGAGCCCAGGAGGTCGAGGCTGCAGTGAGCTGTGATTGCACTACTGCATTCCAGCCTGGGTGACAGAGCAAGGACCTGCCTCAGAGAAAAAAAAATCCTGTGTTAATTTGCCTAGGGGAAAAAAAGTAGCTATGACAATATCCTTCTGTTCTCCCGTATTAAACTTTGTTGCATTACACATGAAACCACGGCTCAGGAGGCCTTGAGGAATCTGGCTTTAGCCCCTTTCCTGGCCTATCTCACGGTTCTCCCTGACTCTGCTTTCCAGGCTGGGAAGCCCAGTCCAGGTTGTGCAAACACAGCTGTTGAGCTGAGGGGAGAGGGTGTTTTTTTTTTGTTTTTGTTTTTGTTTTTTTTGAGATCGTCTCGCTCTGTCTCCCAGGCTGAAGTGCAGTGGCATAATCTCGGCTCACTGCAACCTCCGCCTCCCGGGTTCAAGCAGTTCTCCTGCTTCAGCCTCCCAAGTAGCCTGGCTAATTTTTTGCATTTGTAGTAGAGATGGGGTTTCACCATGTTGGCCAGGCTGGTCTCGAACTTCTGACCTCAGGTGATCCACCTGCCTCGGCCTCCCCAAGTGCTGGGATTACAGGCGTGAACCACCGCGAATGGCCGGGAGCTGTTATTTTTATCACTGTGGTCATTGCTACTTGCTAGAGGAACTCAGCAAGGTGTTCTAATTGGAAAACACCACCCATGACCCATGTGCTCAGTGTGCCTTTTCATGTTTTTATAGACCGTTGTATAACTTTGGTTGAAGTGTCTGTTCTAATATTTTGCCCAGTTTAAATTTTATTTCTCTTTTTTATTGATTTGTAGGAGTTACAATTCTTTATATAAGTCCTTTGTCAGATACATGTATTGGGAATATTTTCTCTTAGTCTGTGGCTTACCTTTGTGTCTCTTTTTAGAAAAAAAAATTTAAACAATAGAGACAGAGGTCTCCCTATGTTGCCCAGGCTGGTCTCAAACTCCTGGCCTCAAGCAATCCCCCTGCCTTAGCCTCCCAAAGTGCTGGGATTACAGGCGTGAGCCACTGCACCCCGTCTCCTTTTTTTTTTTTCTTAACTGCCTTGGTAAACAAAAATTTTTAATTCTGATAAATCCAATTTGTGATTTTTTTTTTTTTTTGAGACGGAGCTTTGCTTTTGTTGCCCAGGCTGGAGTGCAATGGCGCGATATCGGCTCGCCGCAACTTCTGCCTCCTGGGTTCAAGTGAATCTCCTGCCCCAGCCTCCTGAGCAGCTGGGATGACAGGCAAGTGCCACCACGCCTGGCTAATTTTGTATTTTTAGTAGAGATGGGGTTTCTCCATGTTGGCCAGGCTGGTCTCAAACTCCGTACCTCAGGTGATCCGCCCACCTCGGCCTCCCAAAGTGCTGGGATTACAGGCGTGAGCCACTGCATCCGGCCTGAATTTGTAATTTTTTAAAAGTGCTTTTAGGGATCCATGAAAGAAATGTTTGTCTACCCCAATGTTGTGAAGATGGTCTCTCTGTGTCACCCAGGCTGGAGTGCAGTGGCACAATCTTGGCTCACTACAACCTCTACCTCCAGTTTGTGTTTTTTGTTTGTTTGTTTTTGTTTTTGTTTTTAAGACGGAGTTTTGCTCTTGTTCCCCAGGCCGGACTGCAGGGGTGCGATCTTGGCTCACAGCAACTTCCACCTCCCGGGTTCAAGCGATTCTCCTGCCTCAGCTTCCCAAGTAGCTGGGATGACAGGTGCCTGCCACCATGCCTGGCTAATTTTTGTATTTTTAGTAGAGACAGGGTTTTGCCATATTGGCCAGACTGGTCTCAAACTCCCCACCTCAGGTGATCCACCCGCCTCAGCCTCCCAAAGTGCTGGGATTCTAGGCATGAGCCACCACGCCCGACCTACTTCTTTCTTTGTAATCTTATGGCTTTATGTGTTTTTTCTACCTCCTTGCACTGACTCAGGCCTCCAATAAGGTGACAGAGAGAAGCAGTGGGCAGACAGCCCTGCTTTTTCCTGGTCTCAGAGGGAAAGAGCTCCGTAGTGGCCCATGAAGCAGGATGTTGGTTGCAGGTCTGCCGGGTTGAAGAAGTTCTCTTCTGTTCCTTGTTTGCTGAGAGTTTTTGTTGGGATTAGGTGTTGAATTTTAACAAATGCCTTTTCTGCAGCTATTGAGATAATAGCTGTTATATGGTTTTCTCCTTTATTCTGTTAATTTGGTTAGTTATATCATTTTCTTTTTTTTTTTTTTTTTTTTGAGATGGAGTCTCACTCTGTTGCCCAGGCTGGAGTACAGTGGCGTGATCTCGGCTCACTGCAAGCTCTGCCTCCCGGGTTCGTGCCATTCTCCTGCCTCAACTTCCCGAGTAGCTGGGACTGCAGGCTCGTGCCACCACGCCCGGCTAATTTTTTGTTTTTTAGTAGAGATGGGGTTTCACCGTGTTAGCCAGGATGGAGTTATGTCATTTTCAAATGACAGCAAATGTTGGGGATTAACATTGTGATTAAAGTTGATGCTATGCTGTTGAAAGAGTGAAAAAAAAATATCAAGTTGAAAAGCATATTCATGAAAACATGTAGCAGTTAATGTAACCACCTGTGAGTGTCAGAAGGAGAAAGGGAATGTCTGTGTACCTGCTGTGCTGGAGGTGGGAGGGACGAGGGGTCAGGGGTGAACGCCGAGGGAGCCGCCCCATGCAGTGAGTGTTGAGTGCAGGTGGTGGAGGGAGCCTCCTGGGCACCAACTGCAGTTAATGGGGATCAAACCAGCTGTGTACTCTTAGGGTCCATGTCACTTGGTCATGACAGAGAATTCTTTTTATAAACTGCTGGATTTGGCTTCCTAATATTTTTTGAGAATTTGTGTTTATGAGAGTTTGGTAGGTAATTTTTTTGTAATATCTTTTTTTTTTTTTTTTTTTTTTTCAGACAGCGTCTCAGTCTAACATCCAGGCTGGAGTGCACTGGCATGATCTCAGCTCACTGCAACCTCCGCCTCCCATATTCAAGCAGTCCCCCCACCTCAGCCTCCTGAGTAGCTGGGACTGCATATGTGCACTGCCACGCCCCGCTAATTATTGTATTGTTTATAGAGACAGGCTGGGCAACTGCTGGGCTCGAACAGTCCTCCTGCCTCAGCCTCCTAGGGTGTTAGGATTACAGGCGTGAGCCACTGTGCTTGGCCCCTTGTAATATCTCTGTCAGGTTTTCGGTTTGGGTTTTGCTGGCCTCATTAAGACAGACTGGATAGCGTCTGCTCTTCCTCTGTTCACTAAATAGCTTCTAAGATCAGTACTGTGCTTCCGTAGGCTTTGGTGGAGTTTACCAGGGAATCCAGCTGGGTGTGGTATTTTCTGTGTGGGAAGGGTTCCAGTTACATTTTCAATTGCCTTATCAGATGGAAGGCTTCCCTTTCTTTTGTCAGTTTCATGATACTGTGTTTTTCATCGAGTTTGTCTGTTTCATCTCAGTTGCTGAACCTGTTTGCATGAGTTGCTCCTGACGGCCCTTTAGGATACTTCCATGTCTGTAGGGTCTAGAGTGACATCTCCTCCCCTCCCCTGACGAGGTAACCAGGCATGGGCTATCTTCCTCCAGCTGGTTCTGTCTCTTCTCAGGGGTGCCTGTGGGGCTGGCCTCTTCTGCATCTTGGGGCTCTGAGCTTTACTCACGAAGGAGGCAGGACCCACTGTGGCAGGAGGGCAGTGGGATGCCAGGGTGGTTCTCTACAGACCTGGGGGTAGAAGCTGGATCTCAGCGGGCTGGGGCCCTAAGGTTTAGGGGATCTTGTGGCTTGATCTGGAGACTCAGTGAACATTATTGGGGTTTCTCGGGGCTGCACCAGGTTTTCACTTGGGGGAAGGCTGCGAGGTGGCCTCCTTGTAGCGTACCCGAGAGCATCCTCCTGGCACAGTGCTGTGGGAACGGGCTGCCCGCCTGTCTCCTGAGGAGGAGCCTCCGCTGCCTCAGTTGCGGTTAGACTCTCCAGTCATGTGTTTGCAGCTAAGCTGTTGGCTTTCAGCCAGCAATGGCTGGCCTGTCCTCCTCTGGTGACAGGCCTGGCTTGCTGTCTGGTATTTCAGAGTTCTTGTTTGTGGAGGTGGCACACTGTACCCAGCTGTCCCTTAAAGATATGTTGGCCCCTCACCACTGCCAAGTTTCCCCACACCTGGTGGCTGTCAGTAGTTACAGAGCAGACCCTGTGTGTGCATCACTCATTTTTCCTGAATTCCCCGTGATTTGCTGAGTGGGGGGGCTCCTGGGGTCAGGTGCGGGGGGCATTCCCAGGCCGGCTATACCCGCTTACATTTCTTGTCTCCCCAGATCTGCCCTCCTTGGCACTGTGCTTCCCCAGAGGGGTGGCCTCGCTGTTCCCATGGACATGGCCCAGGTGAGCCCTGCTGCTGCCGAGCGCAGCCTCCCTTCTGCCCTGCTGGCTGCCTGAGACCCCAGCACACACGCGGGGAGGGTCTGTGGCAGTGGCTTCCCAGGCACTGTGCCCGTGTCTGCCTTTCTGCCTTCTCTCTTAAGGGGTGGGGAAAGAAAAAGAAAATTGGGGCCAGGCGCAATGCCTCACGCCTGTAATCCTAGCACTTTGGGAGGCTGAGGCAGGTGGATCTCGAGGTCAGGAGATCAAGACCATCCTGGCTAACACGGTGAAACCCCATCTCTACTAAAAATACAAAAAATTAGCTGGGCACGCACCTGTAGGCCCAGCTACTCGGGAGGCTGAGGCAGGAGAATTGCTTGAACCTGGGAGGCGGAGGTTGCAGTGAGCCAAGATCGTGCCACCACTCCAGCCTGGTGACAGAGCAAGACTCCGTCTCAAAAAAGAAAAAAAAAAAGAAAAGAAAATTGGATTCATTGACACTAGGAGAGTAGTGGCTGTTGTAGGAAAGTAGACTAGATTCTCTTAGTCCACTAGAGCTACCGTAACCAAACATGACACAGTGGGTGGTTTACACACATGCACTTCCTCTGTTCCAAAGGCTGACGTCCAAGATCAGATGCTGCAGATCTGGTTTCTGGTGGGGGCCACTATTGTGCTGTGTTCACGCGTGTGCGGGGAGGGAGCCGGGGGGCTCTCTGGAGTCTCCTGTGAGGACCAGGTCCATGGGTCAGGGCCCCTCCCTTCTGACCTCACTTAACCTTAATCTCTTCCACAGAGGCCCATCTCCAGACACAGCCACTCGGGGCTCTGGGCTTCAGTGAATGGATTTAGGGGACACAAACAATCAGTCCACCGCAGGGCCACTCCCATTCCCCCTTCCCACCCAGACCTGTGGGCTGAGCCTTCTTTTTCTTGGGAATGGCCTCTTCGGGAGCTGTGTGTGTTGCAGGAGCCAGTGACCTTCAGGGACGTGGCCATCTACTTCTCAAGGGAGGAGTGGGCGTGTCTGGAACCCAGCCAGAGGGCCCTCTACCGGGACGTGATGCTGGACAACTTCAGCAGTGTGGCTGCTCTGGGTGAGCACGGGCTGAGCGCAGCGTGAGCACAGGGTGAGTGCTGGGAGAGCTCTGCCGCTGCCTCTGGGCCCAGCTCGTCCAGGACAGTAGTGGGGCCTCCCAGCTGAGGGGGCTCAGGAGCTAGAAGTTATTGGCTTATGTAGACAGAGGGGCCCACTCAGCGTTTCTCTCGGGCTCCCTGGAGGCAGCCTCATCTTCCTTCCTCTGACCTTGCCAGGGCCTTCCGTGGGCCTTGGTGTCCAGGCCCCTCCCTTCCTGTCATCTCTGCTTTGGGGTGGCTTCTCCAGGGCCTCCCGAGGGCTGGCCTGGCGTCTTAGGCTGATGCACAACTGCTCTGAGCCTCGACCCTCACTTTGTCCTCAGTACAAGTAAAACAGAAACTTTTCTCTCCTTTGAGAAGGATTTTGCAGCCCCAGACCAGACCTCGTCTCTCGCCTGGAACAGTGGGAGGAGCCGTGGGTTGAAGACCGGGAGAGACCTGAGTTCCAGGCAGTGCAGAGGGGACCCCGGCCAGGTGAGTGCTGGGCTGTCTGGGCTCGGCGGGCCCCGTCCCTGTGGCCCACAGCTCCTGGGTAGTGCTCAGCACGCTGCAGTGACCAAGGGTGTGTCCTTCCCATGGGAGAGCAGACACACAGCTGCTCTCTAAATTAGACAGGCATTAGAGACGTAGGGGCAGCCACGCTCCTGCCCTGATGGACACTGGCCGGGGGTGGGGCTCGAAAGGCATAGTGCTGCAGGATGACATACAGCTGCAGCTCGGAGGGGCCTGAGGCTGGAGTGACACTTGAAGCCTGCACCTAGCCACCCAGGTGCTGTCCGGCGGAGGCCATTGGTGTGGGTGTCTGACCTCCCTGTGATGGCCATGTGGGGTCCCAGGCCTGGTACTGACTGCACGTGAGGGTCTCCAGGTATGTGGCTCTGGGTAGGAGTTTGCTCCACGTCCTTGTTTGCAAAACTGGGACAGTGGCCATGCTTCCCTCCATTAGGTGAGGGTTGCTCTTGGGGCAGTTGTCAGCAGGGTTTTGCTTTTTACTTACATTTTCAGAGTGGGATGGAGCAGCTATGTGAACACGAGCCCTGGGAGGTCCCCGGGTATGTGGAGTCCCCGACTGTGGAGTGTCAGGTTCCTAGGTGTGTGGAGCCCCCGACTGTGGAGTGTCAGGTCCCTGGGTGTGTGGAGCCCCTGACTCTGGAGTGTCAGGTCCCCGGGTGTGTGGAGCCCCCGGCTGGGGAGGTGTCGGATCCCCGGGTGTGTGGAGCCCCCGGCTGGGGAGGTGTCGGATCCCCGGGTGTGTGGAGCCCCCGGCTGGGGAGGTGTCGGATCCCCGGGTGTGTGGAGCCCCCGGCTGGGGAGGTGTTGCATCCCCGGGTGTGTGGAGCCCCCGGCTGGGGAGGTGTCGGATCCCCGGGTGTGTGGAGCCCCCGGCTGGGGAGGTGTCGGATCCCCGGGTGTGTGGAGCCCCCGGCTGGGGAGGTGTCGCATCCCCGGGTGTGTGGAGCCCCCGGCTGGGGAGGTGTCGGATCCCCGGGTGTGTGGAGCCCCCGGCTGGGGAGGTGTCGCATCCCCGGGTGTGTGGAGCCCCCGGCTGGGGAGGTGTCGCATCCCCGGGTGTGTGGAGCCCCCGGCTGGGGAGGTGTCGCATCCCCGGGTGTGTGGAGCCCCCGGCTGGGGAGGTGTCGCATCCCCGGGTGTGTGGAGCCCCCGGCTGAAGGGAGCCATGGCTCTGAGGCTGAGTGGTTGAGAATCAGGTGGAGCTACCCGTCTTCTAGACGACATCCTAGCACCACCTCCACCCGCATGAGTGGGGCCTGCTGGCGTGGACAGGGTGAAAGGACATTCTCTTGGCCCAGTTGCTTCTGTTGGTTGGCAGGCATGTGTCGGCTCTCCCTCACGTCAGCAGTGCCGGGTGGCCTGCGTACCACCGGGGCTGGGGAAGCATCTGAGCTCATCTTGGCTTCCGCTGTTGATACCTGTGGCTCATCTGTGTTTCTTTGAACGAGTTTTCCTGATCACTCGTAACCATGTGGAATGAGCTGAGTCAATGGAAGCCAGTCCACGCACACAGCAGGAGGGTCCTCTGGGCTTTTTTTTTTTTTTTGAGACGGAGTCTCGCTCTGTCGCCCAGGCTGGACTGCGGACTGCAGTGGCGCAATCTCGGCTCACTGCAAGCTCCGCTTCCCGGGTTCACGCCATTCTCCTGCCTCAGCCTCCCGAGTAGCTGGGACCACAGGCGCCCGCCACTGCGCCCGGCTAATTTTTTGTATTTTTTTTTTTTTAGTAGAGACGGGGTTTCACCTTGTTAGCCAGGATGGTCTCGATCTCCTGACCTCATGATCCACCCGCCTCGGCCTCCCAAAGTGCTGGGATTACAGGCGTGAGCCACCGCGCCCGGCCTCCTCTGGGCTTTGCTGGAGGCACTGCCTGGCTGTGGGCCACTGGCTCTGTGTAAGGGTGTCTGTTCCTTCCACAGGGGCAAGGAAGTCTGCAGACCCCAAGAGACCTTGTGATCATCCAGCTTGGGCTCACAAGAAAACCCACGTGCGGCGAGAAAGAGCCAGGGAAGGAAGCAGCTTTAGGAAGGGCTTCAGGCTGGACACGGATGACGGGCAGCTTCCCAGAGCTGCTCCAGAAAGGACAGACGCCAAGCCCACGGCTTTCCCGTGTCAGGTGCTCACGCAGCGTTGTGGGCGGCGGCCGGGCCGCAGAGAGCGCCGGAAGCAGCGCGCAGTAGAGCTGTCATTCATCTGCGGCACGTGCGGGAAGGCGCTCAGCTGCCACAGCCGGCTGCTCGCTCACCAGACGGTGCACACGGGAACCAAGGCCTTCGAGTGCCCCGAGTGCGGCCAGACCTTCCGGTGGGCTTCAAACCTGCAGCGCCACCAGAAGAACCACACGCGCGAGAAGCCCTTCTGCTGCGAGGCCTGCGGGCAGGCGTTCAGCCTGAAGGACCGCCTGGCTCAGCACCGCAAGGTCCACACCGAGCACAGGCCCTACTCGTGTGGCGACTGTGGGAAAGCCTTCAAGCAGAAGTCCAACCTTCTCAGACACCAGCTGGTGCACACCGGGGAGCGGCCGTTCTACTGCGCGGACTGCGGCAAAGCCTTCCGGACCAAGGAGAACCTCAGCCACCACCAGAGGGTCCACAGCGGGGAGAAGCCCTACACCTGTGCCGAGTGCGGCAAGTCCTTCCGGTGGCCCAAGGGCTTCAGCATCCACCGGAGGCTGCACCTGACGAAGAGGTTCTACGAGTGCGGCCACTGTGGGAAAGGCTTCCGTCACCTGGGGTTCTTCACGCGGCATCAGAGGACTCACAGGCACGGGGAGGTGTAGGGGCGCCCGAAGAGTGGGGTGCTGCGCCTCTGCGGGAGTACTGGGTCCTGAGGGAGAGCTGCAGTGAGAAGTTGCTCTTCAGCCTGGAAAATCAACCTGAATTCAGAGAAGCCTTCTTAGTCCTCAGAGCTCCCCAGTCCCCCGAGAAGTTTACTGGGAAAACTGCCAGGTGGGAGAAGCAGAGCCATGGGTACGCCGGAGATGGCGGGGGCTCTGGAGATGGCGGGGGCTGCGCCCCGGCGCCGGGCATCCTGGGGATGTGCTGAGAGTGTGCGCGACCCCGGAGCCACGTGCCAGGCCGGGCTCAGAGGCGGAGAAGCCTGCCTGGTGCCCACAGCCGTCTGGCTCAGGGACTCCACCCTGGCCCCGAGTCGCCGTCTGCTGGGCCTTTCCTTCCTGGCTCTGCACCCCATGCTGGCTGCCCGGTCTGGCTTCCCTTCTTGTCTCTGTCTTGGGCGAGGCAGCTGTGAGCATTGCACAGAGGCAAAGACCCTCCTGCAGCCTCTGCGCTGGGCCGTAGAAACAAGAGCCTTTGTAATACTGAACCTCATTCAAGGATTAGGAGTGGTGGTTAGGTCAGGGCCACCCCCAGTGCTGCAGGAACGGCCTCCACCCAGCTCTGTTGGTCAGAGCCTGGGTCATGCACCTGGAGTTGGGAGATCAAGTTGGGTCTCAGGGCAGTGAGGTGGCCATATCCACCACATCGCATTTCGTGGGGGAAGAGGTGACCTCTTTGTTTTAAACTTAAGGTGTCTGCTTATCCAGCCAGAAATAAAAATCTGCCAGTGGTGTTCCCAAGGGAAGACCCCCGTGGGAATGGGTCGGGACACTGCCGTGTTTCAGGTTAGCCAATTATTTTTGCTTTTGCCTGTTTTTCTTTAAGAATTGCAGCCAGGCCAGGCGTGGTGGCTCACGCCTGAAATCCCAGCTACTCGGGAGGCTGAGGCAGGAGAATCGTTTGAATCCGGGAGGTGGAGGTTGTGGTGAGCCAAGGTTGCGCCATTGCACTCCAGCCTGGGCAGTAAGAGTGAAACTCCGTCTCAAAAAAAAAATTCCAGCCAACAGATGCATATGTAATGTTGGAATCAGAAACGAGTTTACAAGAAATAGGGGGATGAGGAGAAGGTTGAACACACCGAGAGGAAGCCCTGAGCCAGATCCGGCTGGAGATGCCACCAGACGGCGACGTTTCTGTGGGAAGACGGGCACGCAGAAAGGCCGAGGGGGCTGTGTGTGACCCTGGTAGGAGCAAACCGAGTGCGAAGTCACTTTTGAGACAATCATGGAAATGTGGGCACGGGCCGTGAGTCGGGTGGGTAGGCCGTGAGTCGGGTGGATGGACTGAGTCGGGTGGGTGGGCCGTGAGTCGGGTGGATGGACTGAGTCGGGTGGGTGGGCCGTGAGTCGGGTGGATGGACTGAGTCGGGTGGGTGGGCCGTGAGTCGGGTGGATGGACTGAGTCGGGTGGGTGGGCCGTGAGTCGGGTGGATGGACTGAGTCGGGTGGGTGGGCCGTGAGTCGGGTGGATGGACTGAGTCGGGTGGGTGGGCCGTGAGTCGGGTGGATGGACTGAGTCGGGTGGGTGGGCCGTGAGTCGGGTGGATGGACTGAGTCGTGTGGGTGGCCGTGAGTCGGGTGGGTGGGCTGTGAGTCGGGTGGGTGGCCGTGAGTTGCGTGGTGGGCCGTGAGTTGCGTGGGTGGGCCGTGAGTCGGGTGGGTGGGCCGTGAGTCGGGTGGGGGTGCGGAATTGGCTGCTAGCGGTGATGGTGACACAGGGTTACGGAGGAATCCTCACTCAGATGCATTTGGACGTCTTTGTGGGGAAATGACGTGGCGCCTGGGATGTACTTTACGATTCTAATAAAGAGGAGAAAGACACAACAGTATTGGCTGAATGTTGACAGCTGTTGAAGCCGGGAGGTTGGTGTGCTTAAAAGTTCCCCAAATCTTTTATTTGCAGCATGAGTATGAGTTTCTTCGTGCTCACGGAAGATTGTAGAGAGCAGCTGTCGGTCATGGAGTCACAGGGCTGCCTTACCAGGACACCACCGGCAGCCCCACAGACAACACAGGTTTATTCTCTCCAGCTCTGCAGGCTGGAAGTCCGAGGTAGAGGTGCCAACAGGGTCCGTTTCCGGCGAGCGCCTCCTGGTTCAGAGGCATCCTCATGTCAGGAGGGGCTTTGGTGTCACCTTTTCCTTGTGAGGGCCCGGATCCCATGACCCCTATCACCCCATCGAAGCCAAATCACCTCCCAGAGACCTCCTCATACCATCACGTCGGGCCTAGGGCTTCCACATGGGAATTTCAGAGTGACCATTCAGCCCGTAGCAGAAGCTCCTCTGGGTCTGTCCTGGCCCACAGACCCTGTGTAGGAAAAGCACTTGCCCCTGCGGGGCAGGCCCTGGCAGAGCCCGGTGAGGCAGTGAGGGCCCTGCAGGATAAGTGGAAATCTCCCCAGGGGGGATATGGGGGTGCCTTTCTCTTACAGAGTCCAGGCTGGTAAAAGCGCATGTGTGTTTCGTGTCTGGTTTGTCCCCTGCCCAGCGGGCGCCGTTGGAAGGGCCTTCAGGTGCTTGAGCACAGGTGGGGACGGAGCAGCTGGTGTCTCGGCAGTAGATGCGGCGGATCATAAGGACTTGGGTTTTGAGCGCCCTGCAGGAAGCCACTGGCCGCGTCCAGGGTCACCTGTGCCTGGTCGTTAGTCCCTCACAATGCTGTCACTTTGTGACGCTCTTGTGCAGGATTAAATGTGAACAGCAGAGACGTGGGTGATGCGCTGCCTCGTCAGATGATGGTCAGTTGTCCAAGCGGGCTGCCTTGCTCTTGGTGGCCTCATCATCCAGGGCTCACACACTGGATGGTTGGGCCACAGTCGCGGTACCCCCCGGGCTGCAGGCTTTCCACCCTGCTTAGCAGGGCTCCAGGGCTCCGGGTAGAGCAGGGGGTCCCTCCCTTGGCACTTCCCCAGGGAGGAGCACGACCGTGCTCAGCTGCGGTCAGGCTGCTGCTCTTAGTTGTCTTTCCTTCTAACACTCAGGCTTCCCTTCCTGCCTCCTGGGTCGCTGAAGAAGGTCAGGTCCACAGAAAAGGCCTGGGGAGAGAATGGTGGTGAGGAGCCCATGGGGGTGTGAGGGGCCGGGAGGCTCTGCATCTTGCCCTGTTGGCCTCCTCACCACCCAGGCGGGGGTGGGGTGACAGAAGGGGCTCACAGCAGGTGTCCCGTAAGGAGCATCTTCCTTCCTGGGGCCAGCAGCCGTCACTCCCTGTGAGCCTGTAGAGCCGAGTTTTCTCTGCATTTATCTTGGGCAGAGAATGCATGAAGCTACTTCGCGGCCAGAATGGGTGCACAGCAGGGTCCGTTGACAGCCATGCCTGTGACCTAGCCTTCCACCCCTCTGTCTCCAGGGGACACTTGCCTGGCCTTTGTGTTAGCGCTCAGCACACATGTGTCCAGTGTAAAGTCCACCAAGATTAGCAGGGCATGGTAGCTGCCGCCTGTAATCCCAGCTTCTCAGGAGTCTGAGGCAGGAGAATTGCTTGAACCTGGGAGGCGGAGGTTGTAGTGAGCCAAGATCGTGCCACTGCACTCCAGCCTGGGCGACAGAGTGAGACTCCATCTCAAAAAAAAAAAAGTCCGTCGAGAGAGCAGGTGGCGGATGCAGCTGAGAGCTCCAGGAATGGGAGGGCCACGTGGTAGCCACTGGCAGCCTTGACTGAAAGATGAAGGAGTCCATGGTGCTAGGAGGAGGAGTTGCATCCCAGCAGGCTCAGCTCCTGGAGCTGCCTCTCTGCACTCTGAAGGGAGGCCCAGTGGCTGCAATATTCTTCTTTGGGAAGTACAATGCCAAGTAAATAAAGATATTTGGGGTCATTCTAGTTACAACGTATCATAAACTCTACTCACTGTTGTTCTGGGTGTTCATGGGGTCCGCCGTGCGTACCAGTCTTACAGGTCCTCAAACCCATTGGGACCCTTCAAACGAAGAGTGTGCGTGTGGAGTTGGCAGAACCTGACCCGGGCCAGGGTGGAGGGACAGCTGCGTCACTGAGTGCATGTCCAGCCCTAATAGCTCGCTTCGTTGTGTTTGTATCTGTGACCTCTTGGGAGCTAAATCACAGGCCCACCAAACGAAACGTTTTGGGGAATGTGAAATGGGTGGGTTTTGAGCTGGTCCCCAGTGTGAGCTTAATGTTGGAGCCATATTGGATTTTAAAACTTCAGAGGCTCCTTTTCCCGGGGCCAACCATCCTATGTAAAATTCGAGGGCCGATGGTGGAAGCCTGGAGTCCGGTTACAGTGGTAACTCCATGAGGGGAGACCAGCTGTCATGCACCTGAGCACCCAGAATCACTCACACTCCCCACTCCTCCCCTCCCCACACGTGCACACTTAGGAAGTGTGGCAGCCTGACTGCAGGAGAGCCATGATACCACACACAATCCAAACAAAGGCAGAGCAGCCCCGCCTTAGGACAGGTGAGCCTGTGGCCTGCACACCCATTGCCACAGCTGGAGGGCTGTGTCCTTTCCACAGAGGGGTCGGCCAGCCTCGTCTTCTGATCACACTACTTCAAAGGTGCTCAGTCCACTCACCCCACCTCCAGCTGCAGTGTCTCCACCGGGGACCACGACCACCATGTCCATGTTCAAGCAATTCTCTGCCTCAGCCTCCCAAGTAGCTGGGATTACAGGCACCCGCCACCACGCCCAGCTGATTTTTGTGTTTTCAGTAGAGACGGGGTTTCACCATCTTGGCCAGGCTGGTCTTGAACTCCTGACCTCGTGATCCACCCGTCTCGGCCTCCCAAAGTGCTGGAATTACAGGGATGAGCCACTGTGCCCAGCCACCTCAGGGCCTTTTTGCAACTCCGGATGTGGGAGATGACAAAACCACCATGCAAAGAGGGGAAAGGGCGGAAACAATTTATTTGAAAAGGAATAAGGAAAGTGAGTGACTAGTTAAAATTTCAGTATTTGGACACTGCTGAACAGATGTCGGGTGGATCCAGCAGCCGGGGAGCTGTGGTGGGCTGTACGGCGGCCGCCGAGCAGTAGGACACGGTCTCCATCGCCCATCACCTTCCTTGGGGTTTACTCAGCAACTCGGCTGGCCGCGGCCCTGGAGCCGCATGCCTGAGCATCTAAGGATTTCCTAAAGGGGCCTGAGGTCTGTCACCTGGACACGTGGCGAGAGACAGGGAGTGACCCTCTCAGATGACTTACAGGTTGGGAGAGGAGAGATGTCTGAAGGGAAATACACCAAGTCTTTTGTGGCAACTCAACGAAACTGATGGCTTCTGCCTTGTTCTTCAGGGCAGGTCCTCCTGGCCAAATCTGTTCAGCGTGCAGATGCAGACCTAGTCCTACTCTCTTCCTGATTCCATCTCTCCCTTTAATCCCATAGATAAAATCCAGCCCTAGGCTGGGCGCGGTGGCTCACGCCTGTAATCCCAGCACTTTGGGAGGCTGAGGCAAGCGGATCACTTGAGGTCAGGAGCTTGAGACCAGCCTAGCAAACATGGTAAAACCCCATCTCTACTAAAAATACAAAAGTTAGCCAGGGGTGGTGGTGGACGCCTGTTGTCCCAGCTACTCGGGAGGCTGAAAATGCACTTCTCCAATCCCCCTTCGGCTGCCCTTCCTGGTAGGTGCTGAGTGTTGCTGGCCACAGCCCTCAGGGGCCGCCACCTTTGCTTTGACCTTCGCTGACGCAGATGTCTGTTCCAAGGTTATGCCCCTTCCTGGGGCCACATCCAGGAACTAGTAGATGGAGGGGTGCTAACGCCTGGCCCCGTGGCTCCTCTCTCAAGGACCATCCAGCTGCAGACCCCCACACAAGCCCTGCCACGCCTGCATGGAACTCGCCTCTCTCTGCACAAGCTCCCCACAGCAAACCCCCTGCTGAGTGGCCCGGGGTTGGCCCTGGGTGTCTGGCCCCACAGCACAGCGGATCAGACCTTCCACTTGGGGCCCAGAACACCCAGGCTCACGTCCTCTTCCTTGCTCGAGTACTGCCCTGTCCTGTCCATACACAGCCAAATCCCCTCGCCGTGGATCCCCGGGGTTCTGATTGGTCTGATGTGAAGAGAGATGTTCTCTTGCCAGAAGGGGTGGAATGCAGTTGGGGTTCCCTTGGCCAATACATCAGGCAACTTTTGTCTACAAAAGAGAGCTAAGTGCACGTTATTTTAGTGAAGTTTATTCCGAGTTACAATTCACACAGGCCTTCTGCTCTCCAGGAAATACAGCACAAAGGGTAAAGCCCCCTTACTGCCCCTACTCCTGTGGAATGAGCTTTCCTGATGGTGGAGTGTGTCCACTGTGAAAGCTGCCGCTACCAACATGGAGTCGGGGTAGCCCTGAAGTCCTCAGATACAGAGGCCTGTGACAGGACGCAGCCCAAGACACTCCTGCACGGAGACGGTTCCAGGACCCACAGGGCGCCCTCAGGGTTGCCTACCCCAGACGGACGCTTGCCCAGCAGTGACTGTCTCAGCCCACGCACTAATTCCAGCTCCTGTAACAGACTCCTGTAAAAGACCCTTGGCTTTGAAAACAGCTTATGTGGGCTTCTTTTTTGTTCTTGTTTTTGTTGTTGTTGTTTTTGAGATGGAGTCTCGCTCTGTCTCCCAGGCTGGAGTGCAGTGGTGCAATCTCGGCTCACTGCAACTTCCGCCTCCTGAGTTCAAGCGATTCTCTTGCCCCAGCCTCCCAAGTACCTGGGATTACGGGCGCAAGCCACCACACCCAGCTAATTTTTGTATTTTTAGTAGTGACTGGGTTTCTCCATGTTGGCCAGGCTGGTCTTGAACTCCTGACCTCAGGTGATCCACCCGCCTCGGCCTCCCAAAGTGCTAGGATTACAGGCGTGAGCCACTGCGCCTGGCCCTTTTTGTTTTTAAGATTCCCCTTTTCCCCAACTCCCCTGGATACACCTATAGCCTGCCAAATACCCCGAATTGCAATTCTCTGCAATTCTCAAATCAACTCGCTTATTTGGAGAGCTTGTCTCTTGAGTTTCTTTTTAGGTTGACACAACAAATACTTGTCCAACACCTGTGTAGGCACAAACCTGCGTGTGTGTGCTCCTCATCGTGTGGAGTCGTCCTGTGCGCCCCGCATGTGCTTCTTCATTCCGTCTGTGTGCGCTCTTTCCAGCAACCGCATGCTGTCCCATGAATGTGTCCTGTGGAAGGACACAGCCTGCAATCCCAGCGTTTTGGTGCTGTGAATTCCGCCGCAGTGAATGTCTTTGCTCTTACATCTGTGTGCACACGTGCCTGTATCCCCGCTCTTGCGTCTGTGTGCACCTGGGCCTTGCCAGGTTCCTGCAGCTGCTGTAACAGGACACCCCAGACCAGGTGGCTTCAGACAACAGAAATGAATTCTCTCAGTTCTGGGGGCCTGATGTCCACAATCCAGGCATCAGCAGGGCTGTGCTCCCTCTGAAACCTGTAGGGGAAGGATCCTCCCTTGCTTCTTCCAGTTTTGAGTGTTGCCAGCAGTTCCTGGCAGTTCTTGGCATGTAGAAAATCACTCCAATCTCTGCCTCTGTTGGCACACGCGTTCTCCCTGTGTCTCTGTCTTCATGTGACCAGCTTCTCATAAGGACACCAGTTACATTGGATTAGGGCCTACCCGCATGACCCCAGCTAATGACATCTGCAACAACCTCATCTCCAAATACAGTCATGTTCTGAGGTACTGGGGGTTAGGGCTTGAACGTAAATTTTTCAGGGGACTCTGCAACCCACAACAAAGGTACACAATGGATTCCTAGAGGTCGATCTGCTGAGTCAAAGAGCAGGGCTGTTTTAGATTTAATAGCAGCAGCCAGCCAACAAAATCAGGAGCGTTCCACACTCCCAGGCTCTGCAATGACACAGGTGCCCTCCACAGCCCCTTACTCTGGGTCTTCCTCATCCTGGCACTGGCTTGACTTGCCCCTCCCCGTTTCCTGGGCAGCATGGCTGTCTTCAGACACGCATCGGCATTTGTACTTCTTTGGTGTTCGAGTCGTTTCCTGTGTCTTCTGGTTGGTTGTTGGGTCTTTGGTGTTCAAGTCGTTCGCCTGTGTCTTCTGGTTGGTTGTTGGGTCTTTGGTGTTCAAGTCGTTCGCCTGTGTCTTCTGGTTGGTTGTTGGGTCTTTGGTGTTCAAGTCGTTCGCCTGTGTCTTCTGGTTGGTTGTTGGGTCTTTGGTGTTCGAGTTGTTTGCCTGTGTTTTCTGGTTGGTTGTTGGGGACATGCATCGGCATTTGTACTTCTTTAGTGTTCAAGTCATTGCCTGTGTTTTCTGGTTGGTTGTTGGGTCTTTGGTGTTCGAGTCATTTCTTGTGTTTTCTGGTTGGTTGTTGGGTCTTTGGTGTTCGAGTCGTTTCCTGTGTTTTCTGGTTGGTTGTTGGGTCTTTGGTGTTCGAGTCATTTCTTGTGTTTTCTGGTTGGTTGTTGGGTCTTTGGTGTTCAAGTCGTTTCCTGTGTTTTCTGGTTGGTTGGTGGGTCTTTGGTGTTCAAGTCGTTTCCTGTGTTTTCTGGTTGGTTGGTGGGTCTTTGGTGTTCGAGTCATTTGCCTGTGTTTTCTGGTTAGCTGTTGGGTCTTTGGTGTTCGAGTTGTTTCCTGTGTTTTCTGGTTGGTTGTTGGGTCTTTGGTGTTTGAGTCATTTCCTGTGTTTTCTGGTTGGTTGTTGGGTCTTTTCTTATAGCTCCATATAGAGTTGTCCTTCGTCTGTTTTATTTGTTGTAAATATTTTTGCCAAGATTGTCATTTGTCTTCCAATTTATGGTGTAGTTTACTGTAAGTTTTTCACACTGATTTCCTGTCTTCACAGAAAATCTTTTATGCCCCTGAGTTTTCTTTTCTTTTCTATTTTTTAATTTTATTTTATTTTGAGACAGAGTCTCACTCTGTCTCCCAGGCTGGAGTACAGTGGTGCGATCTTGGCTCACTGCAAGCTCCACCTCCTGGGTTCAAGTGATTCTCCTGTCTCAGCCTCCCAATTACAGCTGGGATTACAGGCATGTGCCACCACGCCCAGCTAACATTTTTGTTTTTTTTTAAATAGAGATGGGGTTTTGCCATGTTTGCCAGGCTGGTCTTGAACTCCTGGCCTCAAGTAATCCACCCTCCTTGGCCTCCCAAAGTGCTGGGATTACAGGCGTGAGCCACCACGCCTGGCCTTGGGTTTTCTTTTTTAAAAAATGCTTTCCACGTCTTCAAATTATTTCCAAATTTACTTCCAATACTTAATGTTTTTACTTTTAAAAAAAGTTAACAGACTATATCTTTAGGGCAGTTTTAGGTTTACTGAAAAATTGATCATAGAGTACAGAGATCCCATAATACCCCTTCACAGGCACTTTCCATTATTATTATTTATTATTATTATTATTATTATTATTATTATTTTGAGACGTAGTCTCACTCTGTTACCCAGGCTGGAGGGCAGTGGTGCGATCTTGGCTCATTGCAACCTCCACCTCCAGCTTCAAGCAGTTCTCCTGCCTCTGCCTCCCGAGTACCTGAAATTACAGGTGCCCACCACCACGCCAGGCTAATTTTTGTATTTTTAATAGAGATGGGGTTTCACCATGTTGGCCAGACTAGTCTTGAACTCCTGACCTCAGGTGATCCGCCCACCTCGGCCTCCCGAAGTGCTGGGATTACAGGCGTGAGCCACCGCACCCGGCCACTTTCCCCTATTATTAACATCTTGCCTTAGTGTGGCTCGTCTTCTGTGACTGACAGGCAATATTGATATGTGACTTTTAACTAACACCCATGGTTCACATTAGGGCTTCACTCTTGGTGTTGTAGATCCCATGGTTTGGAAAAACCATGTTTGCACAATTGTAGTATTGTATGGGGTAGTTCCACTGCCCTAAAAATACTCCTTCTTCACCTTTTCGCCCCATCCTCCCCCAACCCCTGGCAACCACTGGTCCTTATTATTGTCCCCCCCCCCCGTTTTGCCTTTTCCAGAATGTTGCAGTTGGAATCATACAGCGTGCTGCCTTTTCAGACCAGCTTCTTTCACTTAGCAATGTGCACTTAAATTTTCTCTGTGTCTTTTTATGGCTTGACAGCTGGTTTCTTTTCAGTACCGAATAATATTCCATTGTCTGGATGGACCAGAGTTCATCCATTCACCTATTGAAGGACATCCTGGCCGCTTGAGTTTTGGCCATTATTAATAAAGCTTCTATAAACATCCATGTGTGGGATATTTGTTTGTTTGTTTGGAGATAGAGTCTTGCTCTGTTGCCCAGGCTGGAGTGTAGTGGCAGATGTCAGCTCACTGCAACCTCCGCTTCCCGGATTCAAGCAATTCTTGTGCCTCAGCCTCCCTAGTAGCTGGGATTACAGGTGTGCACCACCACACCCAGCTAACTCCATATGTGGGTTTTTATATGGACACAAATGTTCAACTCCTTTCGGCGAATGCCAAGGAGCACTGTTGTGGATGGTACAGTGAGAGTACGTTTAGAACCTGCCAAACTGTCTTCCCCAGTGGCTGTGCCATTTTGCCTTCCCACCAGCAATGAATGGGAGCTCCTGTTGCTCATACTTAGAGGCTTTTGGTGTCGTCAGTGTCCTAGATTTATCCACTTACAGGTGTGTTTTTAACGTTTGGATCTTTATTCACAAAGAACCAACCTTCCAGACTGGCTGAGTGAGTGGGCTCCCTATACTTTTTCTAGGGCCCAGCTGTCCCCCTCCCCAACACAGTTCTTGCCCCAGGGCCAGACACCCTTGCTCCAAAAAGCTACACACACAGCGACAACCCAGCTACACAGACCCTGTGTGTAGGGAGGTGCACGGGGCCCTGCAAGCCGGAGAAGCTGCCCGCCTCGCAGCAGCTGCACCCACCTCCCTGCCCGCCCGCCTCGGGCGCAGAGCCCCAGCGTTGGCAGCTCCTCGTGAGGGGACAGAGATGGCTCAGGTGGGCCCACCCTGGTCCCTGGGGGTCCTCAAGCTCCTGGGAGGAGCACCAGGGCCAGGCCCCGGGAGGTGCTGGGGGGGACTGGGGGCACCCACTTGAGACCCCAACAAGGGAACTCAGGGCCCCGGGGAGAGGGAAGCCCGGGCTGAGCGCCACAGACCTGCTCAGAGGGAGGAGCCGGCCCGCGGGACAAGGGGCAAAGGAGGCCACCACCAACCCGCAGAGCCGCAGCCGCCTCCACGCACCCCCGGAATCCACGCCTCCCGAACCGGAAGCGCGGCGCCGCTCTAGCCCTGGGCACTCGCTGGTCGCGTCGCGGCCACGAGGAAGGTTGAGCGCGAGCTGGGCGGGCGTCCCGCGCAGCCCGGAGAGCTGACCCTCCACGGAGGGGCATTTTAATAACCGCCTGTACACATCCAGACGCGACAACTAAATGCAACACGTGACCCTGGAAGATGGGGACAGCCACAGAAACACTTGGGACGGGTGACAAAGTTGTGATGTGAGCGACGATGGGGATAATATTCCTCCACAGTAAATGTCCTGGTTCTGATCACTGCACTAAAGCATCGTAGGAGAACATCCCTCTGTTCAGGAAATACACACGAAAGTACTTCGGGGCTCCGGGGCCAGCGTCTCCAACCGCATCTCAAACGGTTCCGAAGCAACGCTCGTGCACAGCGATACACACGGACCAAATTCACGGGCAGCGTCAGCGGCCGGGCATCCGGATAAAGGGTCCATGGCGGTCCCTGTGCTATTTTTGCAACTTTCTCTAAGTTGGAAAGTATATCAAAGTTTTAAAATTACTGAAAAACTCCCAGTAGGTTGAACATAAGACATCCCCTTGGCGCGGAGAACAAAGTCTACGCTTTTCCCCCGGGCCTCACCGTAGCGGCCCAGCTGCCAGCTGCCGCTTCGTCGCACGTCCGCGCCCGCCAGTGCCCGGGCTTGCTCTGAGCCTGCCGGCTCGCGGTAGGGCCCCACTGAGGGCAGGGATGCGGGGTCCCAAAGGGCATTCAGGGAAAGCAGGCGCTGAGCTCTCTTGCAGCTTGGAAATTGGACGCACGAATGAGTGGCCGGCCGGAAATGCTAGAGCATGCACGCGGGTGTCAGAGCCGCCTGGGGGCCACGCCTTTATTAACCATTGCATTATCCCCGTAAGCGCCCTGCGCGCCTGACTCGCCCACACTAGGGCCTCCTGGGCCTCACTCTCTGCAGGTTCAGGCTCTACCCGGGGAGGCTTCTGCCGCAGCTTCAGCGTTCACGCTGTCCTCCGACTGTGGGGGGAGAAGAGCCGGATCCCGATCCCGGGACAGGCCAGAGAGAAGCTTGGGGCCAGACTTCGTGGAGCGGAGAGTGTCCTGTGAGGACACCCTCGGTGAGGACCCCGAAGAGATCCCAGAGCCCTCGAGTGACTGCACCAGCGACAGGGCCCGGGAGCCTGCGCGCGAAGCGGTCAGGGATGGCATCCGGGATCCCACCTTTGAAGTGGCCAGCGATGGGACCCTGGAGTCCATGCTCGATAGCACCAACGAGGGGACCCGGGAAGCCTCGCGCGACGGGACCACGGACGAGGCCCGGGGGGCCGCGCGCGACGGTACCACAGACGGGGTCTGGGAGGCCGCGCGCGACGGGCTTATGGGGGCGGCTAATGACCCGGGGCGCGAGGTGGGCTGGGAGAAGGCCGGCCGCTCCCAGAGCGGCGGGCCTCCGGGGCCCCTGCGCAGCCAGCCGTGCACACGCGCCAGGTCCCGCGTGTCCTCGTGCTCGCGGTGCAGTTGCTCGCGCTGTTCCAGCAGCTGGCGCCGCGTGTGGTGCAGCAGCTGGGTCCGGCGGAGCAGCAGCAGCAGCTCCTGCCGCAGGCGTCCGTTGTCCGCTTTGATGGCCTGCGTGTGCGCCACAAGCGCGCGCACCGCCTCCCGCTCCGCGCGCCGCGCCAGTGACTGCACGCGCTGACGCGCCTCGCGCTCGAAGGCCGCCTTGTCCTCCAGGAAGCGCCGCTTCACGCGGTGGAGCAGCTGCGTGTGCTCCACGCGCATATGCAGCAGCTCGCGCTCCAGCGCCCGGATCCGGGCCAGCTGCTCCAGCTGCAGCACCTGCGGCGGGGGCGCCGTCAGCTCACCCCCACCCCGCCCCCGGCCCGGCCACCAGCCCCGCCCCGCCTCACCCCGGCCGCGGGCGGGCTCACTGGCCTTGTAGGGCTGCAGCTCTTGCACCTGCTGTGCCATCTGTGCCGCGCGCGCCTCCATCTCCAACAGCTGCGCGCGCACCCCGTCCTCGCGCCCGTGGTAGAGCGAGGCCAGTTCCGCCCGCTGCCAGTGGATCTGCGCTAGGTCCACGCGGTTCTGCTCGTCCAGCCGGACGATGGCTTTGGCGCAGCGCTGGGCGCGCGCGCTCACGTAGCTGGCGTAGAGCCGGTTCTCCTCGCGCAGGCGCAGCGCCTCGCGGTCCAGGAAGGCGTTCTCTCGCAGCACCTGGTCAACGCTCTCCTCGCAGGTGTCCAGCTGCTCCGAGAGCAGCGCGTGTTCGCGTTGCAGGTACTGCGCGCGCTCCGATAGCGGCTGCTCGGCACCCGCGGCCGCCGCACCACCTGGCTGGCTCCCTGCGCTCGGCCCGCGCTTTTTCTTGGGCGCCATGGGTTGGTGCCTGGACCACCAGGACTGGTGAGGGCAGCGACCCCGGCCCCTTCCCCAATTTAGCCCTTCCTCTTACCTGGCCTAAATATTCTAGGCGCCAGGCCCAGAGGTGGGACGCGCCTCGGGGTCACGAGGCTTTTGGGGAGGCAGATCGGGGCTTTGGGTCGCGGGTCAGGGCAGCTTTGCCAACCTTCACTCGTGGGCTCCCGCTGGACCTTCGCTGTCCGTCTGGGTGCGCCTAACATTAGTAATGTTGCTGCTCGGCGGGCACGGTCTCTATGGAGACAGAACTTACTCGTCCTCTCCCACCCCCACCCCGTTACTCTGGCGATGGCCGACTCCTTCATTCCGCACAACTCTCTCATCTTGAGTCGCCCGTGACTGCTTGTGAATGTGCCCCCAGAGATAGGGCCTGAGCTGACAAAACTGGGCTTCAGACGGACTCCGGACGTGCTTCTGAATCTCACAGACCCCAGAAGCGCCCTTCGCCTTCGGTTCAGCAACGGGCCTTCTCCCGGGTTGTCCCCCACTTGAAGAGGAGCTTCACCACGTTCCCCCCCGTTTCCCGAGTGAAATCTCTGTGTTGTCAGGAGGGAGCGCTTCCCTGGAGCATTCGCCTCTTCAGGGACCCTTGCTTTCCCTGAGCATTTCGTGATTCCTTCGGTGAGGCCCCCGTGGGAATTGGGGTTCCTGAAGTATGGAGTCCACTGGGCGCCTAGAGAGCGTTTCTCTCTGAAGGTCCTAAGCGCGCGCGTGCGGCACCCGCTCAGCTCATCCGCGGCTCTGCAGCTGGGTAGCTTCCCTTCCCCGTGTGCCCGGATGGCTGGAGGACATAGGGATCCAAAAAGGGCTGGCTTTTTCTCCTTTTCTGTTGACTTTGTGGACACAACATCATTATTGAAACCATTCCTATAGACTTTATTAATCAGGGAAGAAGGGAGGCGAGAAAGGAAAACAAACCCAGCTTGCAGCTCGCTCAGCATTCATTGTGAGGTCAGCCTGCCTCCCAACTCCTTCCTCAGAGCTGTTTGGTGCCTGTGGCCCCAGAATCACACAGACCCTGTCACAAGATGAGAGGTCCCCATAACTGCTCTATAGGTAACAACTTAAACATAGTAAAATGTGAGGTTTTCTATTTGACAGGTCCTGCACACCCATGAAGCGACTGACCCAGCTGGTCTGAAGCACCCCACGAGGAGGTAATGTGCCAAAGAACGCAGGGTACACATCCTGAGGACTTCATCCCCTTTCCCCGGCCAATTGATGACCCCATTTTACAGTCCGTCACCCGCCACAATCCCTTTAAAAACCCCAGCCCAGAACTCAGGGAGATGGATTTGAAGGTCCCTCCCATCTCCTTGCTCGGTGTCCGGGGATCATGACACTTTCTCTGCTGCAAACTCTGCTGTCTTGATGTATTGGTCATTACTGCACAGCAGGCATCACCACCTGTTGGTCCTGTAAGATTTGCCTCCGTCTAGACCAGCGGTCCCCAGCTCCCGTTCTGTTAGATGCCTCAGGAACAGTGTGTCCAGCAGCCTTTGACACACAACTTAAATCGACCCCTATTTTGTGTTCTGTCATCATAGAGTTGAGTTTCTGCCCAGTTTGTCCACATTTGCTGGGATGTGGGCAGATTTGAGGATCTTTGTGAGGGACACAGTTTAGAAAACCACATTTGCACAGAGGTTTGTGGTGGAGGTCGTCTGGTGGCTCATGGACATGGCTGGGCTTGCTCTGATCAGCCAACCTGCCTGAAAGGTGCAGCAGAGCCTTTTAAAATTAAGAACACGATTGAGGCATTTTACTCCTTGTAAAAAAATGTATTTTAGGCTGGGCGCAGTGGCTCACACCTGTAATCCCAGCACTTTGGGAGGCTGAGGCAGGCAGATCACGTCAGGAGATCCAGACCATCCTGGCCAACATGATGAAACCCTGTCTCTACTAAAAATACAAAAAATTAGCCAGGCGTGGTGGCAGGTGCCTGTAGTCCCAGCTACTTGGGAGGCTGAGGCAGGAGAACGGCGTGAACCCGAGAGGCGGAGCTTGCAGTGAGCCGAGGTTGCGCCACTGCACTCCAGCCTGGGCGACAGAGCGAGACTCTGTCTCAAAAAAAAAAAAGTATTTTATAAGTAAAAATAAGAGGACACAAACTACCAAACAAAGCATTAACATTGTAAGAGGACATTGACTTATAAACTAAACTGCATCTGAATGTTGGCTTTAATATATGGGCTTTTAATATGAAAATGGTGCCTCTCCTGTCACAGAAAATTGGGAAAAGACCACATAGAATCATGAGAAAAACATGACCCTGCATCCCTGCATCCCTGCAGCAGGGGCTCAACTGCAGCAGGGACTCATCTGGGGTGGGGGGCAGGCTCATGTGTAGGGGTGCTTAATGCCCAGCGTTGCCTCTTCTGGTTCCTTGCCATGGCCACACCCCAGTGCTCTCCACCCTGCTACCCTCAGGCCTTGTGTGGGGTCACTGTCCCCATTTGACAGATTGAGAAACTGAGGCAGCAATAGGCAGAGGCCTGCTCACATGGGCCAGTCGGGTGCCCCACAGTCTCAGACCCTGTACCATCCCAGGCCACGCCACGTCCAGGGTCTGGACTGCTCTTTCCCCTACTCCCAGCCCCACTGCACCCGCGCATCTGCCACTGGAGGGTCTCGGTTGCTCTTGGCCTTTAAATCCCTGGTGAGGTAAGGTTTTTAAGTTTTAAGTCATCCCTGCCTGTGGGTTTCTTGATTTTTCTTTGCTTTAAATCTCACCAATGCCTCCTCACAGAGAGATCTGGGAGCCTCCTGCTCTCCTCTGTCGAGGCGTCCTGGAGGCTTTCTTCTTCCCAATTCTGCAATTCCCACTTCTGCAACCCCTGCCTCACCCACCAACTCCATGGAATAGTTGGGGGAGCCCCGACCGCAGCCCTAGTCTAGTGCGGACACTCCTGTCCCTGCAACCACACCCCCACCCCCCCAGGCCTCTGCCCAGCCCAGCGCTTTAACTTCTGCCCTGACCCGGGTCTGGCTGCCAGCTGCCCAGCTGTGCCTCTGACCAACAGGGATGAGGGGCAGGAGGAGACCTGGTTTCTGCTGGGGGGCCACGCTGCATGGGGCGATTCTTTGCGGGGAAGTGGGGAGAGCCTGGCCTTGGGGGCGGGCTCAGATGCCTCCCCAGGATCCCCCAGGCTTTTCTCTCATTGTGTTAGGAAGGCAGGCGGTCTCTGGGGTTCACCAGGTCCTGCACCATCCATGGGGACAGAACTCACTTCCTGTGACACACCTCCCACCCTCGGGGGTCTTCCCCCGAGGCCATGCAGGCCTCCTCAAGTGGCATGGTGGTCTTTGTCCCCCCAGGACCTGCAGTCTCACCCCCCTCAGATACAGGCTGGCAAACTGGAAAGGCCCTGGGAAGAGGGGCACTGTCTGCTCCCTGTGAGGCCCTCCCCGTCCACAGCTGGGCCAGCCTCCCTCCTTTCACCGCCCTCCCCACAGCCCCGAAGCCGGGCCAGCTTCCGTCCTCCCCACCACAGCTGGGCCAGCCTCCCTCGTTTCACCGCCTGCCCCACCGCCCCAAAGCCGGGCCAGCCTCCCTCCTCCCCACCACAGCTGGGCCAGCCTCCTCCGGACCCTCACCACAGCCAGGCCAGCCTCCCTTCCCACCCCTCCGCAGCCAGGCCAGCCTCCCTCCTGCCCCCCAGCCCCTTATGCTGGGCCCTGCTGGGGACCCTGAAGGCTGCAGCACAGGGCCACCTTGGGTCTGCTCCTGGGGCTTGTGGGCTCCCACAGGCTCCCCAGGTGGCCCCGCCCACCGTGCCCCTGTCTTCCCGCCCCTACTGCTTTGCATGTCCTGCCTGATTCATCTCCTGAGACTGGGGTGAGCCCTGCACTGAGCGTAGCCACGGGGGTGGGGCTGTGTGCCTGGCACACCGAGTGTAGCCCTCCCAGCAGCCTCTGTTCCCATTTCACAGATGGAGAAACCGAGGCAAGGTGAGTTGTCCAAAGCCCCCTGGAACTGCTGGGGCTGTGACTTGGACCTGTGAGGGGTTCCTCCCACTTCTCTGCACTCCCTCTGGTGGGGTCCCCTCCCCCAAGCTGCCCTGTGCCCCGGGACCAGGACATGGCCAGTGCATGTGCCAGGGCTGCCCGCCCACCCGGCAAGGCCAGCTCCACCTGTGGAGTTGAGGATGGGCTGAGCCCACTTGCAAGCCCAGGACCCATGGGGCAGCTCCACCCTGTGCACCTTGTCCCTTGTGCAGCAGCTCAGAGCTGGTGGTGACAGCCAAGGGGGCAAAGGGGACGACTGACCACAAGTGAGGCCCAGTGGAGCTGCCCACCCCGTGTATCCTTTGGTTGGGGTCAGGTGCTGGGGCCCCAGTCCTCTTTGTTTCAGCACCCTGGGCCCAACCTGAACCTGTCCTCTGCCCCATATCCCTGGCAGGCCTCCCTGCACCCCCACCCACTGGGGCTGGCTTAGGCAAGGGTGTTTGAGACAAAGACCCTGCCCCCATGGCCAGGTACCTCAGAACCCAGGCCAGATCCACACAAGGCTCTCGGTCAGTCCCAGATGGAAGCTCCAGTCCCAGGCCGTGACATGCATCAGCTCCCACACCCAGGATTGTCCCAGAGAAAGCGCTCTGCCCTCCCCGTCCACAGCACCACGAGGGCCATAACTGCACTGCCACACCTCTCCAGGTATGAGCATGAGGCCCGATCCAGCAGGCCCTGACCAGGTCATTCCTGATCATCCCTAACCAGGGCAGTGGGGGGCTGGGGTGTGGTCCAGGTGGGCCTGCATGGGGCCCCTTGGGAGTCACCTACCTCTGTGAGGAAGAGGATGGCCAAAGGAGGGTGTCCAGGGTCCAGAGCCCCTACACAGGCTTCAGTGATGACACCTGCACCCAGTTCCAGAGACATCCCTGAGAGGCAGCCATCAGGGGTGCCCAGCTGAGGACACGCCTCCTTGGGGACCCTCATTCCTGAGTCCATGCCTCCAGATTCACGATCTCAGAGACAACCACATCCGCAACTGGCACGTGTCCCCACCGAAGGGGCTCAAGTAAGTGACTGGAGTGACCAGGGTGGATGGGCCTGGAGTACCTGGGTCTATAGCCCACGCCCGGAGCAGGAAATGGGGGAGACCTGGGGTACCTGGGTCTGTAGCCCACACCCAGAGCAGGAAATAGGGGAGACCTGGGGTACCTGAGTCTGTAGCCCACATCCAGAGCAGGAGAGAGGGGAGACCTGGAGTACCTGTACCTGTACCTCAGCTACAGTATCTGAGTCTGTAGCCCACATCTGAAGCAGGAGAGAGGAGAGGGCCATTTTGGAGTCCACCAGGTAGCCCCAGTAGGACAGGGAGAGGCTGTGTATGAGATGGGATGGGTGGTGGGCCATGGCTGTGACACTGGAGGGGACAGGGCGGGGATACCTTCTCAGACTATGACACTCAGAGGCAAGGTAGGATCTCGGCCCACACAACAGCACACGGATGGTGCCCTTATGGGAGAGAGCGGGGCCATGCATGGGGCCTGTGACAGCTTGGGAGGTGGGGGCCAGGGGAGTTTGGTTTCCTGGGTTACGGAATGCTGGGTGTGTGTGAAGTAGGAGGCACCAGCCACACTGTTTCACCAGGGGCTGTGATCTGGGCCCCACCCTTGTGACTCTGGGGCTTCTGGATGATGACCTCTCCCCAGACCTCACCCATGATTTCCCCGTGGATTGGTTAAAAATTCAATGCAAGGTCCAGGTCAATAATGCACCCAAAATAAAGCTGAAAGTTACAACCGCATGCAACAAAACTTATTGTGACTTAGCCCCGGCGCAGTGGCTCACGCCTGTAATCCCAGCACTTTGGGAGGCCGAGGCAGGTGGATCACATGAGGTCAGGAGTTCGAGACCAGCCTGGCCAACATGGTGAAACCCCGTCTCTACTGAAAATACAAAAATTAGCAGGATGTGATGGCAGGCGCTTGTAATCTCAGCTACTCAGGAGGCTGAGGCAGGAGAATCACTTGAACCCAGGAGGCAGAGGTTGCAGTGAGCTGAGATTGTATCACTGCACTCCAGCCTGGGTGACAGAGCAAGACTCCATCTCAATAAATAGATAAATAAATAAAATAATAAAAAAAAACATTGTGGCTTATTGTCAAATATATTTGACCAACAAATGATGAGAAAAAAATAATCTTGACAAAATTTATATCGGCAAGAATATTTGGACAAGGGAAAGTTGGACTTGGTTGAAATAGTGCCCAGGCCGGGGTGGGTGGATCACGAGGCCAGGAAATCGAGACCATCCTGGCTAACACGGTGAAACCCCGTCTCTACTAAAAATACAAAAAATTAGCCAGGCGTGGTGGCGGGCACCTGTAGTCCCAGCTACTTGGGAGGCTGAGACAGGAGAATGGCGTGAACCTGGGAGGCGGAGCTGGCAGTGAGCTGAGATGGCGCCACTGCACTCTACCCTGGGTGACAGAGCGAGACTCTGTCTCAAAAAAAAAAAGGGATGGGGCGCGGTGGCTCACTCCTGTAATCCCAGCACTTTGGCTGCCCATCGTCTGGGAAGTGAGGAGCGCCTCTGCCCGGCCGCTGTGCAACCTTCCAAGTGTGAAGTGACAGCCTTGTGTGTGATCTTTTCTGTCTTCCCCAAGTTTGCATTTTCGACATTAAAGTTTACTTTTTAGTTAAAGAAAAATGGTAAGTTTTACGTCAGCCATCTTGCTTTTTGCTTTTTTTTTTTTTTTTTTTTTTTTTTTAGACGGAGTCTCAGTCTGTCACCCAGGCTGGAGTGCAGTGGTGCAATCTCGGCTCACTGCAACCTCTGCATCCTGGGTTCAAGCGATTCTCCTGCCTCAGCCTCCCTAGTAGCTGGAATTACAGGTGCACGCCACCATGCCCAGCTAATTTTTGTATTTTTAGTAGAAACAAGGTTTCACCATATTGGCCAGGCTAGTCTCAAACTTCCAACTTCAGGTGATCCACCTGCCTCGGCCTCCCAAAGTGCTGGGATTATAGGCGTGCGCCATCACGCCCAGCCTTTTTTTTTTTTTTTTTTTTTTTCTGAGGAGTCTTGCTCTTGTTGCCAGGCTGGAGTTCAGTGGCGCGATCTCAGCTCACTGCAACCTCCACCTCCTGGGTTCAAGTGATTCTCCTGCCTCAGCCTCCCAAGTAGCTGGGACTATAGGCGCCCACCACGGCGCCCACCACCACACCCAGCTAATTTTTTTGTATTTTTAATAGAGACGGGGTTTCACCATGTTGGCCAGGATGGTCTCGATCTCCTGATCTCGTGATCCACCCGCCTCGGCCTCCCAAAGTGCTGGGATTACAGGTGTGAGCCACTGCGCCCAGCCCTGCTATTTGTTTTCTACTGGTCTTATCTTTTCTTTGTTCCTTTTCCTTCTTTTTTTGAATTCTTTTTGAGCAAGTAGTTTGTGTTGTGGTTGTTGTTTGAGACAGGGTCTGGCTCTGTCACCCAGGCTGGAGTGCAGTGGCGCAATCCAGGCTCACTGCAACCTCTGCCTCCCGGCTCAAGCGATCCTCCTACCTCAGCCTCCCAAGTAGCTGGGACAACAGGCTCATGTCACCACACCCAGCTAATTTTCCTATTTTTTTTTTTTAATAGAAATGAGGTTTTATGTTGCCGAAGCTGGTCTCCAATTCCTGAGTCATTAGCCACGCCCGGCTAATTTTTGTATTTTTAGTGGAGACGGGGTTTCACCACGTTGGCCAGGCTGGTCTTGAACCCTTGACCTCGGGTGATCCACCCGCCTCGGCCTCCCAGAGTGTTGGGATTACAGGCGTGAACCACCGTGTCCCGCCCAAATAATAATATACTATTAATACTTCACATGTAACTTAAGAACCTTACAATACATATTCTCATGTTATTTTGTAATAGTATAAATGTGTATTTCCATTATCCCCCTTCACTTTTTGCTATTGGTGTCATGCATTTTACTTCTACAAGTTATAGAGTCCACAACAGATAGTTCTTGTTTCTACTTTAGTCAGCTGGGCTGGGCGTGGTCCTGCGAGGAGGTGGGCGGGGCGCACTGTGGGGCGGGGCCGGTGGGGACGTGGGCGGGGCGCATTGAGGGGAGGGGCCTGCGGGGAGGTGGGGTGGGCCCACTGTGGGGCGGAGCCGGGGCCTGCCGGGGGCGGGGGGTGTTGGGAGGGGCGCCCCGAGGGGCGGGGCCGGGCCGCCGTCGGTTCCCACGGCAACCGACTCAACAGTAAGGCCCCGCGGGCGTCCTGGCCGCCATGTGCACCGTAGTGGACCCTCGCATTGTCCGGAGATACCTACTCAGGCGGCAGCTCGGGCAGGGGGTGAGTGCCTGGGGGTGCGTCCGCGCGCCGAGGGGCGCGGCAGATCTGCGGAGAGAGGACCTGCGGGGCGCGGCCGGTCCCCTCGGAGGCCTGTTCCGTCACACACTGGCGTCCTGCCTCCTCCGTAGGCGGGAGAGGTGGTCTGGAGCCCCTTCGTGCCTCAGTTTCCTCATGGGGTAACACGATCCTGACTCCCAGGAACCTGGCTCCTGGAGGCAGGTGACAGCCAGGGCCGCCAGAGGCCTCAGGCAGAGGGATCCTGGCGCCCCACTCCCCACGCGTCCACAGTCGCCCGCTTCCCGGGTGCACACGACGCTCTGGGGAGGCTGGGCCCGCGCCCGGGTCACTGAGAGGAAGGGCGGACCCCAGGCTCAGGAGCACAGGGGCGAGGCCCGAGAAGGGCCTGAGCGGTTATGGGGTGGGCGCAGAGTGAAGGGCAGAGCCTTGTGTATCTGTGTGTGTGTGTGAGCATGTAAGCCTGTGTGTGTGTGCGTGGGTGTGTGGGGGGGTGTTCGAGGGTGCCATGGGGGAGGGGAGGAAGAGCCTTCCAGGCAGTGCAGACGGTAAGTGCGTAGGCCCAGTGCAGGGTTGTGTATGTGCAACTGGATAGGAGATGGAGAGAGACAGGTGAGTGGTGAGGGTCCGATCGTGTGGGAGCTTTGGGGAACTTCCAAGACTTTGGTTTTTACTGTTGCTGAGGCTGGGAGCTGTAGCAGCTGCTGGTGTCACTTTACAAGGCCCACCCCTGTGCTGAGGACCTACCGTGGGTGTGCACGGGAGCGGCAGACGGAGATGAGTTAAGGGGTTAGCGTAGCCACGCAGCGAGAGATGCCAGAGGCTGGGACCAGGGTGGGGGCAGAAGAGACCGTGGCAGGGGCTAGATTCTGGAGGAATCTGAAGGTAGGGCCAATGGGATTGGGGGTGGATGGGGTGTGAGAGAAAGGGAGGGAGAGTGCCTGGGCAGCTGGAAGGATGATAGGGCATCCCCGAGCTTCATTTCCTGCCCAGACGCTCCCCTCTGTGGCCTCCTTTCCTCCAGGGCCTCGCCAGCTCTCACCCTCCCTTCCCTCTACCTCCCCTCCTCTGGAAGATGTCGGAGTCTAGGGCAGCCTGCAGTTGCGGGAGCCCACACTCCCATCCCCTCTCGGGACCCAGGATGGGAAGGAGGAGCCTCATGTCTGTAGGGACAATCTGGGTGGGCAGGGGATGGGGGGAAGGGGCTGGCCCTGTGTGACGGCACTCCTTCCCAGGCCTATGGCATTGTGTGGAAGGCAGTGGACCGGAGGACTGGTGAGGTCGTGGCCATCAAGAAAATCTTTGATGCTTTTAGGGATAAGACAGATGCCCAGGTGAGTGTGTGGGGAGAAGCGTGGGAGAGGATGGGGGCAGGGAGGGGCAGCCCCTTGCCCTGGTGCCTGGAAGCTCAGGTGGGAGCTGGAGCCCAGTCATAGCAGATGTTCTGGCCTGTCTCGGAACACTGCCCCCTTGCCACGCCTGGTCTGGTGGGTATTGGGTGACAGACATCAGCTCCTTTGGGTCCTCTCAGGACATGGGCTTCCTTCTTGCTCCACCCACCCACACACCTGTGTTTCTGTCTCTTCAGAGAACATTCCGGGAAATCACGCTCCTCCAGGTGAGTGGCCTGGGCCCTCCAGTCCAATCCCCTTGCCCAGGTACAGATCTCTCCAGACAGGAGAGAAACTGGCCTTCTTGGGCCCCAGAGCACAGCCCCTCCTGGCCTTCCAGCCGCCTCCGACTCTCTCCCCAGGAGTTTGGGGACCATCCCAACATCATCAGCCTCCTTGACGTGATCCGGGCAGAGAACGACAGGGACATTTACCTGGTGTTTGAGTTTATGGGTGAGTGAGGCCCCGGCCAGCGCCCCAGCCCCACCTCTGTTCTGTCCTGACGCCGTCTGCGGGTCCCTCTGCGTGTCCCCCTGCGTGTCCCTCTGCAGCTGGCCCACAGTGGCTTGCTCCCTCACCATGTACCCTGGACTCAGGGACAGACAGCTGACTAGTGTCAGCCTCCAGAGCCAGCAGCGACCCCTTTCGTCCCACCTGCCCCAGGCTCCTGCTCTGACCACAGTTTGCAGTTGCGTTCTCCTTTTTCTTCTCATTTTATGAAACAAAGGCAACATGAAATAAAGTGTTAAAACTCCTGCAGACCTCACCGCTGTGCCCACAGGCAGTGCACAGGATGGAGGAGCGGGGCGGCCAGGCCGTGGGCTGGTTCAAAGTGGGACAGACCTGCCAGGTGCCCCTCTCCCACTCCCCCCAGGTTGCCCCCCCAGCCCCCCACCCCCGACTGCAGTGCGCACCCTCTCTGCAGACACTGACCTGAACGCAGTCATCCGGAAGGGCGGCCTGCTGCAGGACGTCCACGTGCGCTCCATCTTCTACCAGCTCCTGCGGGCCACCCGGTTCCTCCACTCGGGGCACGTTGTGCACCGGGACCAGAAGGTGCGGTTCCCCCGCCCCCGCTATGCCACGTGGCCCGGCTCCCGGCCCCACCCAGCCCCGGGGCCTCAGCCTGCCTCCTCTCTGCAGCCGTCCAATGTGCTCCTGGATGCCAACTGCACAGTGAAGCTGTGTGACTTTGGCCTGGCCCGCTCCCTGGGCGACCTCCCCGAGGGGCCTGAGGACCAGGCCGTGACAGAGTACGTGGCCACACGCTGGTACCGAGCACCGGAGGTGCTGCTCTCTTCGCACCGGTAATAGCGAGACATCCCCAACCCCCCCTCCACCTCCCTGCTGCCCTCCTGCCCAGCCAGGGCTCCCAGGCCTCCCGTACTCCGACCCTGCCTTGGTCCACAAGTGTTCCCCCATTCACCCCCCAGCAACCCCACCCCCACCTCTGCCTCTGGGTCTCTCCATGCCTACACCGCTTCCTGCCCCAGATACACCCTTGGGGTGGACATGTGGAGTCTGGGCTGTATCCTGGGGGAGATGCTGCGGGGGAGACCCCTGTTCCCCGGCACGTCCACCCTCCACCAGCTGGAGCTGATCCTGGAGACCATCCCACCGCCATCTGAGGAGGGTGAGCCAGGCTGCTGGGGCTGGGCACCGGGAATGCTGCAGGTCAGACAGCACAGCTGTGGGGAGACAGCAGCTGACAGGCTAGGACTGTGCTGAGAGGAGGGACGGGGACAGGGAGGATCCAGAGGATGGGGCAGGAGCCCCAGGAAGACCGACTGGTGATGGGGGCCCAGGAGGAGCTGCTGGGGGTGGGTGTGGGCAAGGCAGCACCTGGCACAGTCACCATGAGAGCCAAGCAGTGACCGTGAAGGGGCCAGCAGGCTGGACAAGGTCCCCAAGGGATTCGGGTAGCAGGGGCAGGGACTGTCACTGTGCCGGGAGCTGGGGTGTGCAGAGACAGCTGGGCAGGAGAGATTCAGGTGCTGAGGGAAGAGGTGGAGGAAGGCAGTGGTAGAGGGGCCATGGGGGTCACTCTTGAGGGCGGGGGCAAGAGGGAGCTGCACCGCCAGGCATAGCTGCTTGTCTGGGTGGAGCCTCCTGGGCCGTGGAGGTGGGCGCCAGCATCCACTTCTGTGAGCACACCCCAGGGCCAGGTGCCCGAGTGTGGAGCAGGGGTCATGTGCGGGTGCTCCCGTGCACAGGCTGGGTGGCACGCCCTGGTGATGGGGTGTTTGAGCCCCGCCAGACAGCAGAAACCCTGTAGAGAGGCTGTGCTCCCTGGGGCTGGAAGAGATGACTGGCCCCAGATGCCCTGAGCCGCCCCAGCCGACCAGGCCTGCCTGGGTCACACCACCTTCTGCTGCCCCAGACCTCCTGGCTCTCGGCTCAGGCTGCCGTGCCTCTGTGCTGCACCAGCTGGGGTCCCGGTGAGTGGGGGCACTTCGGTGAGGGTGACAGGGTGGCCTATCTCAAGGGAGCAGGGCCACCTTCCTGCAAGTTTACTGGGGCCAGTTTGTACCAGTTCAGATTCTGCCTGTTTTCAAGATGGCAGTCCCAAACCCAACAACTGTTGGCCACACTGAAAGCAGGAGCCCCTCTGGTGCTCCTAGAGGGTGGCCCAGAGGAGCTGTGCCAGGGCGTGGAGAGGAGGGCACCAGGGGGCCGCAGGGGTCTCTCCACCCTGCAGGGGCCCAGACTGCCTGCAGGTCAGGCACAGGGGCATCTACCTAGACAGGACAGCAGGGTGGACCCCAGTTTGGAAGCTGAGCCCCCAGCCACGAACATGGATCTGAGGAGGGGCCCTTGGGTCGGGCCCTGGAGACGACACACGGCAGCCCACAGGCCACGACAGACGCTGGATGCCCTCCTACCGCCAGACACCTCCCCAGAGGCCTTGGACCTCCTTAGGCGACTCCTGGTGTTCGCCCCGGACAAGCGGTTAAGCGCGACCCAGGCACTGCAGCACCCCTACGTGCAGAGGTGGGGGTGGGAGAGAGTCCCCCAAGTGCGGGGGGACAGAGGTGGGGGCAGGAGAGAGCCAGCCCATGAGGGACAGCCCCCACAGCAGGGACCCTGCTGTGACGGCTTGAGGGGCTCCCTTGGCCGCAGCCCGGGCCCCACCTCCCTGGCTCCCTGCAGGTTCCACTGCCCCAGCGACGAGTGGGCACGAGAGGCAGATGTGCGGCCCCGGGCACACGAAGGGGTCCAGCTCTCTGTGCCTGAGTACCGCAGCCGCGTCTATCAGGTGCTCCGGCTCTCGACCCCTATCATCCCCTGTCTACTGCACCCTGGAGGCTGCCTCCTATGTCAGAGACCCCCAAACGCCCCATGCCCAGGCTGTGACCTCTGAGCACCCTTCCCCTCCCGCAGATGATCCTGGAGTGTGGAGGCAGCAGCGGCACCTCGAGAGAGAAGGGCCCGGAGGGTGTCTCCCCAAGCCAGGCACACCTGCACAAACCCAGAGCCGACCCTCAGCTGCCTTCTAGGACACCTGTGCAGGGTCCCAGACCCAGGCCCCAGAGCAGCCCAGGCCATGACCCTGCCGAGCACGGTGTGTGATCTTTGCTGGCCGCCCACGCGGAGCACGGCCCGGGCCCCTTCTGCCTGTGCTGCCAACTATGCGCAGCATTCGGTTCCTGACCCTGGGGTTGACCCACTGACCCCGGGGTTGACCCACTGACCCCACAGAGTCCCCCCGTGCAGCCAAGAACGTTCCCAGGCAGAACTCCGCTCCCCTGCTCCAAACTGCTCTCCTAGGGAATGGGGAAAGGCCCCCTGGGGCGAAGGAAGCGCCCCCCTTGACACTCTCGCTGGTAAGTCATGGTGGGGCGGGCACAGGAGGGACCCCTCCTCTGCACCTTTCAGTGACCCTGTGACATGGCCCTTCCCAGGTGAAGCCAAGCGGGAGGGGAGCTGCGCCCTCCCTGACCTCCCAGGCTGCGGCTCAGGTGGCCAACCAGGCCCTGATCCGGGGTGACTGGAACCGGGGCGGTGGGGTGAGGGTGGCCAGCGTACAACAGGTAAGCCCGGCCCAGTCTGCCCCCGTCCCCTCATCCTCCTTTCCCCTTTCCCCTTCCCCCCTGCTTTTCCCTCCCTTCCCCATGCTTCCCATTGCCCCTCCAATGTCCAGTTCAAATCTCTCGAGGACCTCAAGGCCTCCCCTCCACTGCACCCCCTCTGATGGCCCCTTTATGTGACCCTCAACTGTACACAGGTCCCTCCCCGGCTTCCTCCGGAGGCCCGGCCCGGCCGGAGGATGTTCAGCACCTCTGCCTTGCAGGGTGCCCAGGGGGGTGCCAGGGCTTTGCTTGGAGGCTACTCCCAAGCCTACGGGACTGTCTGCCACTCGGCACTGGGCCACCTGCCCCTGCTGGAGGGGCACCATGTGTGAGCCGCCCTACTCCCTTCACCTGGCCCTCTGTTCCTGCCCCAGCCCCTTCCCCAGACCCCTCTCCAGTCTCCTGCACCCCTTAGCCCTCCCTGCTTTGCCTGGCCCGTTGAAGTTCCAGGGAGCTTGCCCGGGTCTCCTCGGGGGAGCAGATGAGGGCCCTGCCCCCGCCCCACTGACTTCCTCCAATAAAGTCATGTCTGCCCCCAACCTAAGCAGCCATCGTTCCTCCCCTCCCCTCTGAGGTCACAGCATCCACTAGCTGGGGGCCCCGGCCCCTTTCCTGAAGCCTCCACTCCTCTGAGGACCCCACCCCACCCCCGTCCTGAAACCTCCACCCCAGAGCCCAGTGCCGCCCCCTAGAGGCCCTGCCCACTGCACATCCAGCACTGGGCTTTTCCCTCCAGGTTTGCCTGGGGCAGCTTCTTGTTCTTTGTCCATCATTTCCTTACCTGCTGTGGCTTCAGGGTCCAGGCTGCCCCCCAGGGTGGTCCTGTGGGGTAGGGATGTAGGGTCACCCCCTGGCCATGTTTGTGACTCTGAGCCAGAGGAGAGAAGGGGAGAGAGAAGGGGGACACCCCTCCCCCTGCTGTCAGGGACTGCAGCCTGCGCCCCCTAGTATGGCCACTGCACCTGATCTGTCTTCAGGTCTCCGTAGGTGAGGGTGGGAGACAGACATCTCGCGAGGTCAGGGTTACCTCCTCTTGTCACCCCCAGGCAAGGTCCCTGGTGTGAGTTCAGGCCAGGGCTGTGCAGGGCTGCAAAGATCAAAGGGGCCCTGTGGGCACAGACCTGTGTCCTAGGGTGCCAGGTGTCCTCAGCTGCACCTGCCCATGGGTTGGGGTTGGAACACAAGGAGGCAGCTGGAAAGCTCACAGGCTGGAGGAGCTCACAGTCTAAAGGGCGCGGCCTGTGCTGTCGGTGGCGGAGTTGGGCTGCCAGGCTCACAGTCTGGGAAGCTCATAGGCCGGAGGAGCTCACAGTTTGAAGGGTGCGGCCTGTGCTGTGGTCGGTGTTGGGCTGCCAGGAGAGGGGCGCTGCTGGGTTGTGGAAGCCATTGCCACCATGGGGGAGGGCGGGGAAGGACAAGATGTGGGTGGGGGAGCTGAGCAGAAGGTGAGAGCTGGCGCTGCCCTGGTGCTGGACCAGGCACCTGCAAGAGACTCAGAAAGGGAGGCTGGGTTTGGGAGAAGGTTGGAGGAGGCGGAGGAGGGATCGGGAGGGCCCGAGGAAGCGGTGAGCCAGTCAGAGACCCAGCCCAGGGGCTGTTTCCTGAGGGGGCTGCCGAGGGAGGTGCTTGTTGAGCTTCAAAAGCCCAAGGCGCAGGCCCAGGGTGCTGAACAAGCAGGACAGAGAGGCTGTGGGAGAGGAAGCTGCAGAGAGGCCACGGGGCTGCAGGGTTGGAGGCTTGGCCTCAGGCTGGGCAGTGTGTGGTGGGGCTGCTGAGTGGGGAATCGCAGGTGGGCACCCAGGAGTGTGCCTGCACAGGGGGCATCGGGGACAGGGACAGGAGAGCAGCGTGAAGTTGGGGAGGCCAAGGTGGGCCTTGGAAGTGGAGCTGGGGGGTCTTTAGTGCCCCCCACAGGGGTGGGTGGTGGGTCCACAGGGGAAATCTGGGAGGCCACGTGGTTAAAGGCTGCAGGATGTAACTGGGCGATTATACACACTGGGGAACATGCTAGAATACTTTGTGTGTTGTGTTTTATTAACACCAAAATGTGCCACATCATGGTTTAGAAGAGGTGGAGGGTGCAGGCAGGAGGCTCCGAAGGCCCAGGCAGGGCCGCCAGCCTCTGGCCTCTCCATGGACTCCAGCTGGAGAGCCTGTCCGCTCAGCAACACCCCAGGCAGCACCAAGAATAACATGCCCACAAGAACATCATGGCCAAGAGACGCACAGGCGCATCCCGCTTCCAGGCACCTTTCCCACCTGGCCAGAAGTCCCTGCTGTCATCCCGACTTGCACGGTGGTTTTGGTAACCAGTGGGCTGTGCAGGAGTGAAAGTGGGGTCACTTTCCTTCCTTTCCCAGCTGCTGGAGTCGGAACTGCTGCCTTTGTTTGGCGGCCTTGTTTCTTAAATCAGTTCCCTCTTAGGATTTATTACACTAAAAAAAAAATTAGTTTTTGAAAAGAAATAGGAGAATACAGAAACATGAATTTCACGAGGCTATCATCTAACAGTGGGGGCTTTCTACACACGTGGTGCCAAAATGTGTCATTCTGAGTCAATTGCAATTCCTCTCTAGGAGTGAAAAGAGATAAAAGATAAGCCAAGAACCCTGGACAGATTCTTGGTGTTGGTGACAAAGAGGAAAGGACCTGAGAATGGGGCTGGTGGGGAGAGGGGGGTGTCTGCTGGATACCAGGAGGACAAGGACCACTCCCACCTGCAGGGGTGCCCAGGACCTAGTTGGGCTCGGCCTCAGCTGCACCTTGTCCCCTGCCCTCACCTGGCCCCATACCTGTCAAGGATAAGCACTCCACAACCAGCCCTTCTAGCGCCTGGCTTGGGCCGGGCCTGTGCAGGGGGTGCTCATGAGGCCGGGGCCACAGGTTGTCTGGACCATGTTTTACTGTGCTGCAAAGGCCAATGCCCCCTCCCCACTCTCACCCAGTGCTGGCCAGAGCCTCGCTGGAGGAGATGGCAGACCTGGCCAAGGCGCCCCTTCGGGCTTCCCTGTGTCCCGTCCCCAGAGGCCTGCCCTGTCCAGCTTCCTTGCCACTCCAAGGGGCATCTTCTGGTCCAGCTCCCCCCCCCCTGCCCCACCCACCCCTTGCAAACTGCCCGCAGCCAGCCCAGTCTTCCCCACAGCAAGAGACGGGCCTCCAAAAAAGATGCTGGGAGGCAGCGAGCAGGAGAATCCAAGTAGGAAAGGAAGTGAAGCCCAGGCGGGGGAGGGGGGAGACGGGGGGGGGGGGGGGGGAGGGAAGGAGGAGACCTTGAGAGAGGGAGGGAGCGGGGAGGGGGGAGGCCCTGAGAACAGGAGGCCCTGAGGAGGAGAAGGGCCCAGAGAATGAGGAATTGAGGCACAGAGGCGAGACCCTTGCAAGAGGATAGGGGACTTAGCGGGGTGCAAGGCTCACGCCTGTAATCCCCCCACTTTGGGAGGCTGAAGCGGGCTGATCATTTGAGGCCAGGAGTTGGAGACCAGCCTGGCCAACATAGTGAAACCCTGTCTCTACTAAAAATACAAAAACTACCTGGGCGTGGTAGCATACATCTGTAATCCCAGCTACTCAGGAGGCTGAGGCAGGAGAATCGCTGGAACCCGGGAGGCAGAGGTTGCAGTGAGCCCAGACCGCTCAACTGCACTCCAGCCCTAGGTCTCAAAAAAATAAAGGGGGCGGGGGGGACTGAGGCACAAAGAGATGGCGGAGCCAGACGCTGCGCCACGCAAGGCTGACGGTGCAGAGATGAAGGTGCTGAGGGGAGAAAGGCACTGGTGGCGAGGGGTGCAGCCCCAGCGTTGGGGAGGCCAGGGGGCAGAGACGGCAGCTGCCAGGTGAGCCTCCAGTGGAGCCGAGGTCTGGCGCACTCAGCCAAGCCCCAAGCGGCCGTGGCCTGACAGCCGCTGCTCAAGCAGATGAGCAGGGCTCTCTGTTCCGCGGGGCTTCTGGATGACCGGGGCAGCGATGCGGGCACCCTGGCCTGGGTTGCCAGGCCAGAAGACTCACTTCTTGCTTTTGAACGTGCCCAGGATCTTGGGCACGAACTTGCCCACCTTGCTGTCCCTGGTGCCCTCCTCCGCGGGGCCTTCCCCTGCCCCAGGGCTGCTGGCCTCCTCTTTCTTGCAGAAGACCTCGAAGCGGCTGTACACGCGCTTCTCCTTGCGCATGCTCTCCATGCGGCGCAGCAGCCGATCGCGCTCCTCCGCGCTGGCTGGCAGCGTGCGGCTCAGCCGGCCCTGGGTCCCCAAGCTGTCCGAGCGGAAGATGGCTGAACACTTGTCCTTGTCGGACATATCTGGGGCCAGGACGCCAGCAGCCGGTGGACGGCCTAGCTCGGGGCTGTTGTGGGTCGGGCCGGGGCTCGGGGCAGGGACCGCACGGTGCTTCTGGCCGTGGGCACTGATCTGCTCCAGAATGGCCTTCGTGTCATCCCGAAGGTTGCTGCTGTACAAGGCGTTGGCCGTGGCTGAGGACAGGCGCGCCCGCGGACCCCGCTCTTCTGTGGCAGCCTCCGTGCTGTCACCCTGGCCCAGTGACAGACGCCGCGGGCTCTCGGGTTGGCCGTTCTCCTGCGGCACTGGGAAGCCACCCTCATCCTCCATGCGCCGCTCGCCCTTGGGGCTCAGCAGCTGCCTAAGACGCAAGGAGCCTTTGCGCAGGACTTCCATGGGGCCGCTCGGCCCCTCCTCCGCGGGCCCGGCCTTCGGGGACTCCCCGGAGATGGTAAGGGTGAGGCTGCCCCTGCGCTCCGGCACGGGGGGCACCGGACTGCTCCTGCGCTCCGGCACGGGGGGCACCGGACTACCCCTGCGCTCGGGGTAGGCTGAGGTGGGGCTCCCCTTCTGCTCGATAAATCCTGTAGTTGGACTTCCTCTTCGAGTGGAAAACCCAGGCGTGGGGCTCCCCTTCCGCTCAGGGTAAGCCGAGGTGGGGCTCCCTTTTGACTCATTATGGAGCACCTGGTGCGCTCCGGACCCTTCCAGCGGCAGAGGGCTGTCCAGCCCTTGCGGGGACGTTGAGTGGCTCTGGGCAGAGAGGAAGCGGGAAGGCAGGCGGTCGGAGCCGCTCCGGCCCAGTGTGTCGAGCAGCTGCGCCGCGGTGAGCGACGCGGCTCCCGGCTGCCGCTCCGCCTCCTGGTGCAGCTGCTGTGCAAAGGAGTCGCGCAGGTCCAGCAGGCAGCTCTCGAGGCTGCGGCGCTCGCCCCCCACGGCACCTGGGGCCGCCACCTCTTCCCGCCACGCCTGGGACACGACGGCCTTGCTGTGGCTGGCAACGGTGATGGCGCCCGCGCCGCCGCCGGGATCACGGGCTGGGCCCTTGTACTTCTCCAGCAGCTCCGCCACCTTGGTGGAAGCCGCGGAGCGCACGGCCTCTCCGCCGGGCCCCAGCGTCTCGCTGACCGTCTGCTCCTTGTGCAGCAGCTGCACCTTCTCAGTGGCCGCCGCAGCCCCGGCCGCGCCCTCGGCCTGTGACGTGCTGAAGATGAGCGAGGAGCGCAGCCTGGAGCTGCGCTGGACCAGGGGGTTCAGGCGCGAGCGGAATGAGTCCTGCTTGGCCAGGCCAGGCTCCTCCGGGCCCTCGCGCTCTGGGCCGTTGCCGCCGCTGCCCGGGCCTGGCACCGGGACCTTGGTGGGGAAGGCTGCTGGGACGCGGAAGGCCGAGGGGAGCAGGTCGCCGGCAGGTGCCCGGCCCCCGGGAGCCAGCACGTCGTCTTCGTAAGCCTCCGCTTCCATGGGCGCCGGTAGGCCGTCGTCGCCCCCATCCTCGCCGTGGCAGCCGCTCAAGTAGGAGGCCAAACGCCAGCGCCGCAGCCCTGCCCGCCCCTCGGGCCCGCCCCTGCGCTCCGGCTCCGCCTCGGGAGCGGGGTCTGGGCCCGGCCTCGCCGCGGCCTGGCATGGGAAGCGCTGGGTCAGGTTGGGGCGCGGGGCTCCGCTGGGCTCCAGGCCGCGGGGTCCGGGCGCGAAGGCGGGGTCCGAGCCGTGGCGCACCTCGCGGGACGCGCTGGACGGCACGTAGTCCAGCCGCTGGTGCCCGTCGGGTCCGAGCTCCGGGAAGCGGGGCCCGGCGCCCAGGGTGAAGTCATCCGGGTCCGCGAAACCCGCGCGGCCCCCGCGAAGCTTCTCGAACAGGCCTTGCGGGCGCGCCGGCGTGAGCTGCGGGTCCCACTGGTACTGCTGCTGGTAGAGCTGGTCACGGTGGAAGTGGCTGGTCTGGAAGCGGAAGTCGTCGCCGTGGCTGAGGAACGTCTGCCGCGACACCTGCCGCGCGGCCGCGAAGTTCTCCACGGCGCCCGCGCCCTCGGTCGCGAAGCTGTGCCGCTTGAAGGCGTCCATCTCCAGGTGCCGCGCCTGGAAGAAGCCCCGCGCGCCCGCGAGCTCCCCAGCCGGCCCGGCCTCGGCCTCCAGGCGCCGCGAGAGCGGCCGCAGCCCCGCGTGCGGTTCCAGCGCGCCCCCCGGCATCCGCGGCGGCTCCTCCCGGCGGAAGGCCGACAGGAAGTGGCGGTCCGGGTCGAGGAAGGAGGGGAAGCCCAGGCCCTCTTCCCGGGGTGGCGGGAACAGGAGGTGCGCTCGTTTAGGGAAGGAGAAGGGGGTTGGCGCCCCGACCCCAGGGACGCCCACGAGAGGCCCGGCCCCGGCATACGGAGCCAGGGCATAGGCGTCCATGCGGGCCAGGGCCGCGGCCGAGGGCACAAGCGGCTCGGACTGCGCGAAGAGGATGCGGAACTCCTCGTCGAAGCTGGAGACCAGCTCTCCTTGGAACACGTGCGCCAGGCTGCGGTGGATCTTCTCAAAGGACCACATGAAGCTGTGGGGGGGTCAGGGCCAGAGTCAAACCGAGCTGGAGCGAGGGCACTGCAGCCCCGTGGGCAGCGGGTGGGGCGCGGAGGACGCAGGGATGTGAGGTCTGCAAGGACCTGGGCCCGGCTAGGCTGTGCAGGGGTCTACAGGACAAGGGCTCCTGGCGAGGAGGGCCCTGGTGTGGAAAGGGGGTGCTGGGGTTACAGGAGGAGGCCCCAGAGAAGGGGGTGAGGGAGCCCCGCGGGCGCACCTGTAGCTCCCACTCATCACCACGGCACAGTCCACCAGCAGGAACTTCTCCTTGACGTGGCCCTTGAAGGACTTCCCAGTGCGGCAGTAGTAGGTGGGGCCCGCCACAGTCCGTACGCGCAGGAACTGGGGAGGGAGGGGAGTCAGATCTCTCCCACGGGTCCTCCCCAATCTCCCACTCCCGGGAACTCACATCCACGTGCTGCAGGTTGACACGGCACTTGTCGGCCATGTCCAGGAAGTGCTGCGCGTTCATCTCATCCAGCAGGATGTAGACTGGGACCCGACGGGCCGCGGCCTCCAGCACTTCGCTGAGCAGGTCCACATCAGTGAACATGTCCATCACCACGGCCACCACCTGCAGGGGCGGGTCAGGACGGAGAGGAGAGGCCCCTGCTGTCCCCACACCATTGTCCAGCCTCCCCTCCACACCCGGGAGGTGTCTGGATCACCCACGACCACTGTGAAACAAGCTAGTCCATCCTAGGGAGTTGGCGCCACATCTGGGAAGATGGGCAGGAAGAAGGGACCAAACAGAAGAGGTGTGGAACGGCTGGCCATAAGGGGGAAACCGAGGCAGGTGCAGGGCAGAGAACCCTGGATGAGGGTGGGCCAGGTTGGGGCACGGCAAGGGCCCCTCAATCCCCTCCACCCTACAGACGGCTGAGCTGCCCCCATTCCAGGGCAGCTGTCAGGGCCAAGTGCCAGGCTCCAGTTCTGCCCTGGGACGGGGTTGTTGCCCTGGGCAGGGGAGAAAGTCACAAGCCTTTAGCGTCTGGACCTCATGCCTCAGTCGCTATGGTTTAACAGCACCTTCCGCCGTCTGCTAGCTGTTTGGTGATGGTTAGAAGCCCTCAGCTGGCCAAGGGCCACCGGGCAGGATGAGAGGTAATTATCTGAACAATGAACCCAGGCTGGTGGGGTGCCCACCCATCCCCAGAGCCCCCGAGTTTCTGGGCACTGGCCATGACCACAGGCAAGCAGACCTGTGCAGAGCCTGCAGCCCCTGATGACCGAGACCTGGCAGCCCTGAAGATCTTTGCCAGGGACCCCCACTCCAGCTGGAGCTCAGGCTCACCCCTCAAGCTGATCATGCTCATGCATCTCCTCCACCCCCGTGCCTCTAGCCCAGGCCCCTCCCCCACTACCCTCAAGCCCAAGATGGCGCACCTGCTGGGCGGAACGGATCATCCTGCGGGCCTCATCCTTGATACTGGGGCTGTCGGGGGGCGGTGGCTGCACCAAGGTGGTCACCTCGGTGCCCTGGAAGCCGAAGGTCAGAGGCCAGCCCAAATCAAGCTCAGGCACGGCCTGGTCTGAGTTCACTGGCCAGTATGTACCCGAGGAGCCATCCATGTCCACGTCGAGAAGGCTGCCTTCAGGTGGCTCTCGGGTAACATACTGCGGAGGCCGAAGGTGTCGGCTCACATGTTCCAGCTCTTCAGGGCACAGGAAGTCTGGTGCCCCCTCGGTAGCGAGGAAGCGGCTGTAGGCCTCCGAGCCACCCTCGGCCAGTGCATCCACCGCCAGGCGGTAGTACTCTTTGTAGTGAGGCGGCAGGTACCCGGGTGCCAGTGGGTTGTCCCCCTGCGAGGAGCTCTGAGAGCGACGGGCCATGTTGGGGCCAGGGGCCTGGAGGGGCAGGGAGACACATGACTAGGGGTGGGGGCACTGGGACCACTCCTACCCTCGAGCATGGACACACTGTGGAAAGGGCCGTCAGTGACTTGGGTAGGCTGGAGTTTAGCCCATGCCCAGGAGGCCTTCCAGGGCACCAGCCGAACCAGGCTCACAGAGAGCAACCCAGACCCTAGGATGCCCCTAGCTGAGGGGACACTGGCAGAGGGCTGGGGCACAGGTATCCCAGCCCTGTCTCTCCTTTCTCTGGGAGGCTGAGGCAGGAGGACTGCTTGAAGCCAGGAGTTTGAAACCAGCCTGGGCAACACAGCAAGACCCCATCTCTACAAAAAATTTTAAACATTAGGCAGGCATGGTGGCGTGCACACATAGTCCCAGGCACTTGGGAAGCTGAGACAGAAGGATTGTTTGAGCCCAGGAGTTGGAGGCTGCTGTGAATTATGATTGTGACACTGCACTCCTGCCTGGGTGACAGAGTGAGACCACATCACTACAAAAAATAAAAATAAAACGAACCCCCCCCCCCAAATATTTCATGACTGTTGGCTTAAAGACAAACAATCCAGGCTGCATTCATCATTATAATATTCACTTTTTTCTTATTTTAAGACATTCACGGACCCCTGGCACTGTGCCTACTGGACAAGCTGGTGCCGCCCATGCTGCCCATGTGTCCGTCTCTGACTGCCTGGGAGACTGTGGGTAGGTCACTGCACCTCTCTGGCCTACCTCTACTGCACAACACAGCTGAGGGTCCACATGACACCACGCCTAGCCCAAGGTGAGCGCAGCAAACAGGGCTGTGACTACCCTCCTCCTGGAATGGCAACCTTAAGCCCCACACATAGTCCCGGGCCACACCTCCTCCCCATCCTCAGGGTTTCACAATTGGGCTCCCACAGCCCATTCTATGACCGCCCAGTCCTGGAACACTGATCCCTAGACTCCGTCCCTGTCTCCCAGCACCCCCTCCTTCCCTTGGCCTACCTTTGACCTCTTTCTTGTCACTGTCCCTCTCAGATAAAACCTCCCTGGGCCACAGCCCCTTGGTGCCCACAGGGCCCTGCAGGGCCTGCACTCCACATCGCCCAAATCTGGCTCTCCACTTGCTCAGAGTCCTGTCCCCACCAGCCCCCATCCAGGGCAGCAGGGACCTTTCCAGGTCCTGGGCTCGCCACCACCATCCATGCTTGGCTGCCCCACAGCCCACTCTGTTCTCCAAAGGGTCCCTGCGGGGGCCTGGCCTCTCCAGAAAGGTGTCAGATGGGGAGCGCCCAGGGCCCACGCACACAGGGTCACTGAGCTACCTGGGTACCTCTCCCTGGAAGGAGAGCCCTAGGGACTGCTCAGTCCATCCCACTGCTCCTCGGGTTGGGGAGGGAGGCAGGACACCTGTCCCCGCCTAGCACACAGGTTCCTGAATGTTGGCCCTGGCTAGGAAGGTGCCCAGAGGAGCGTGCCCCTGGGCGCTGACAGGATGGATGCCGGCCAGCTGGACTACATGGGTGCTAGCCGGAGCCACTTGGCTGAGAATGTTGGGGTCAGGAGGCAGCCGTCCTGCCTGGTGCCCCTGGGGGTGACATGGAGTTGAGACATGGGAAATACCTGGTGCCACTCAACAGCCCTAGATGCCAACCGGCTTGGGAGAAGCTGTCCCAACATTTCTTTGTTGGGGCACCGTCCTCATGGTTGACATATGGGGCTGGTTAGGGCACACCGCTCTGGTTGTGCCAGGGGCAGATCGAGGCCAACCACATGGGGGTGAGGTGTAGGCCTGTCTGGCTGGGCCGAGGAGCCCACTCACCATTGCCAGCCTGTCTGTAGGGGCGGTGTCTGACCATACAGGGCAGGGGGAACAACCCTGCTGATGTTGTTTGAGGGTACTTCCCGACACTGGGGGGACACTCTAGAAAGGACCCCCACTGTCCCTTTGGATTTCAGTGTCCAGGCTCCAGGCTGTGTGTAATGGGGGCAGGGACCATCCAGACAGTGGAAGCCCCCGTGGCCAGGAGCCCTCCCAGCAGACATGCCTCGTCCTCACAGGGTGATGCCCAGACCTCCAACTGCTTCATTCCTCACGTCGTCTCCTTTCATGGGTACGTGTCTCCTGGGCTATGGACGGGGCTGCAGCCACTCCCGAGCCCAAGATGGAGCACCCCAGTGGCCTGCATGCCCACACATTTGCCTACCAAACGTCTGCCCAAGGGAGGGAGGGCGCGGAACCCACCCATGGGCAATGACTCAGCACGAATCCACTCTTCTGCTTGCTGACCCCTGACCTCTGACTCGAAGTCAGGGCCCTCAGCTGGCCTTCAAGGACCCCATCCTCTCCACCCTGGCAGGAAGTGGGGTTCCTGAGTATCTGGAAGGAGGACCCCATGGAAGGATCTGGAGTTCCTACACAAAGTGGGGTGAACCTGTGCCAAGTTCCGATGGGCGCAGGAGGGCGCGGAGGCTCTAGGCGGCGGAAAGGTGGGGTGCGGAGGACGGGGCTCACAGACCGGAAGTCGCTCAGTGATAACTTGCGGAGTGGGCACCCCAGCCCCCAACGGGGTCAGTGCACCCTACGAGCTCGCGGCTGCGGCCGCTGGGTGCCCTATCCGCCCACCCCAGCCCAGGAACGTGGGCGCGAGGGGCAGCACTCCCATCACTCGCCCTGCTCGCCACGCGGGGATCCAGGCCGCACCCTGGCCACCCCAGTCCACGGCGGCCCGGGCGGATGTCCCCAGGGAAGGGTCCAGGCCGTGCCCAGCACCCAGACTCCAGCTAGGCCGCGAGGGCGGGAGCGAGTCGGGACGGCCGGGCAGGCTCGACCCGGATCCCGGGCCCCTTCCCCCTCGGCTCTTTTCGGGCCGGCGTCGTGCGGGGGCGCTCGCGTCCATATCCGCACAGCGGCGCCCCCTGTCCGAGCAGCCCCGCCACCCCGGCCCCGCGCACGCGGCCGCGCTCCACTCCCACCGCCCCTCTCTGGGTCGCGCGGCCCCGGCCCAGGTGTGGGCGCAAGGGTAGCCCAAGTGGGACCGCGCCAAGGGGCGCCCGCCCCCCGCCTCGCCCCGCCCCGCTCGGGCCGGGGGAGGGGGGCCCTACCTGGCCAGGTGCGCGGGGTCTCGGCACAGGGGCAGCAGGAGCCGACCGCCGCCCAGCGGCCTCGCGGTCCGGTCGGTCCGGCAGCCACTCCCTGCCGCGGCCCGCCCGGCCTGATTCACGCGCCCGCCCCCGCCCCGCCCGTCGCTCCTGCCTCCTGCCTGCCCGGGCAGCACCTGGGGGCGGGGCAGCCCCACCCGCGGCGCGCCCGCATTCCTGCGCCCCGCGCCCGCCGCCAGCCCCAGCCCGCGCCCCCGGCCCGCGCCCCGACCCGCCCGTGCCCTGCGGCCGCGCGCCCGGAGACCCCGGCCCAGCGCCGCCGGAGACCGTGAGGCCCGCACTTCAAAGACCCCGACCCCCGGGAGCCCAACTGTTGACCCAAGGCTCAAAGTTCCCAGCCTGACCCCTGACCCTCGCCCCGGAAGTCGGGGTGACTCGGAAGTTCCGGCTCAGTCGCTAGGAAACGAGCGAGCCCGACGCCAGGGGCGGAGCTCTGGCCTCCTCGCCGAGTTGGGGGAGGCAGGTGCGACAGGTGAGGACGGTGGGGCGGCGTCGAGCCCCGGGCGGGGCCGGGTCTGGGAGCCCCGAGAGCACAGGGGATCCCCTCACCACACACCGGTCTCCCACCGCACCAGCGCCCCACACGTAGACGAGGACCCCGCCCACACAGAGGACCCCCAGACCCCAACCCCCACCACACACACTGATGCCCACAAGTACCTGGGGTCCCCCATCTTTCTCCCTCACCCCCTCACACCGATGCCCACACTTGTAGGGGACTCTGCCGCAGTGACCCCCCCATGCACATGCGGACCCCGAATGACCTGTGCCTCATGTACACCAACCCCCAAGCACAGGAGACTCCTCAGGAAGACAGAAGCCACAAGCACACCGAGTCCTGCCCATGCCAGTCACCCACGAACACGCTGACATCCGCACACCTAGGGAACCCCACCTGCATATGAGATTTCTCAGACACCAACCCCACACACAAACAGGGGATGCCATATTCACACTGACTCTGAGAGCACAGGGGACCTCCCTCACATACGGAACCCTGTGTACACACAGGGACTCTGCAAAAACCAAGCCCCAACGGACAAGGGACCCAGTGTGCACACCAAGCCTCATACCAGACGCCCCCCCATGTACACAGCAACCCCCACACACCACCCCGAGCTGCCCCTGGGTGCTCCAGTCCCCCAGGTCCCCCTCAGGCCCTCACTTAGGGCCCCTCCCCCTCTTAGGCCCTGCCCTACACTGGATCATCTGTCCAAACCACCACCCCTCGCCCCTGCCACTCCCACCCCAAGGACTGGCCCTGCCTCAACCCTTTCTGATGGTCATCAGTCGCCTTTCTCTTTGTTCCTCTTGCCATGTGATCCTATTTTCTGTTTTCAGGGTCAGTCCCAGTTTCATTTGTTCTTTCCCCAAACACTCAGTGCCACCCCACTGGTACCAGCATGCTGGAAACATGGGTGGGGGGTCAGACCAGTGCCCAGGCAACTGTGCTGCAGCGGGTGAGGGGCATGGGGCACCGGGGAGGACCCGGACAGGCTGGGGCAGGCAGGAGGAGCCTCCCAGGGAAATGAACTTGGGGGTCAGCTGTGTGGACTAGGGAGAGGGGTGTTGCTCCAGGGCCTGACACCACCATCTGCCAGAGCCGGGACCACATAAGGTCTGAGGGTGTGGAGGGGTGAGTGCCTTGGGTGGGCTGGGGAGCAGGCTCAGGGGTGGGCTGGCTTCCCAGGGCAGTGGAGAGGCATGGAGGCTTCAGCAGAGAGGGCCATGCTCATGATTACGGTGAGAACAAAGACCGGCCCACTGGCAACCCAGCAGCTTGGGGCAGGGAGAAGAGTGCTAGACTCCAGATCCTGCGCCCGGCAGGATGGGCTGAGCCTGGGGCGGAGGGGCAGGCAAGCCACGGCCAGGGGGACGGGAGGTGGCCAAGTGCTCTTGCCAGGCATCCCGGCTCAAGCTTCTGGGCACACACCCGGGGCGGGCAGGCAGACAGGACACCAGCTGGGAAGCCTCAGGGGAGCCCATGTTCCTGCTGTCATCCACTCAGGCGCCCATGGTGTGCCCTGTTCCCCACTGCCACTGCCCCTGCCCTCTGCCACTCTGAGCACCCTCTCCCTGGTCCTTCCCTACCCACCCCCCAGGAGAATGGACAGTAAGAAGGGGAGACCCAAAGCTGCAGCTGGGAAGTGGCAGACGCTCCACCCTGGGCCCAAGACAAGAGCTGCTGCTGGTAAGTGCACCCTCTGACCTCCAGAGCACTGTCACCCAGACACTGACCTGTGAGACCTTCTATGTAGCCACCGAGAGACACCCCCTCTGAGGAGAGCCCTTCTTCCAAGAGTGGCTTTTAGGGGACCTCTGAGTTGGGATTAGGTGTGATTGACTGAGGGTTCAGAGCCCATTCATTCATCTCAGACCTTGAGCCTGAATCTATTTTTTTTTTTTTTTTTGAGACGGAGTCTCGCTCTTGTCACCCAGTCGAGTGCAATGGCGCAATCCCTCCTCACTGCAACCTCCGCCTCCTGGGTCCAAGTGAGTCTTGTGCTTCAGCCTCCCGAGTAGCTGGGATTATGGACGTGCGCCACCACGCCCTGCTGATTTTTGTATTTTTGTTTTAGTAGAGACGGGGTTTCGCCACATTGACCAGGCTGGTCTTGAATTCCTGACCTCAGGTGATCCGCCCGCCTCGGCCTCTCAAAGTGCTGGGATTACAGGCTTGAGCCACATGCCCGGCCAAGCCTGAATCTTATACCCCTGGGGTTGGGGTGGGGGCCTAGGGGTAGCACTCAGAGAAGCCCAGCTTTGGAACACATGGAGGTGGGAAGGGGGCAGGAGCCAGTGGGAGGCGCCTAGATGGCCAAAAATGGGTTTTGAAACAGGAGGGTTTGAGTCCAAGTTGGGGATTCTCAGTCTAAGCATGTGTTCTCTGACTCTCTGCTCCATCTGGGCCATCCTGTGCTGCCCTCTGCCTGCGGCTTTGCTCCCAGTCACCTTCTCCATAGTCACTTCCAGGTTGGATGGTGACAGCTCACCTGGGCTGGGTTTTCCTGTGGGTCAGGAAGGAGACTTCCCCCAGTACCCTCCCCCACCCCAGCCCCGCCTTCACTGTTGTCACTCCCTTGCTCCAGCTCCCATTTATTCTCTATGCTGGCTGTGAACACATTCCAGGTTGCAAATCTGGGGTCCTTCAGCACCCAGGCCTGCACTGGGGTCTGTGCTTGCTAAGAGAGCACCCCATCCTGCTCCCCAGACTGCCCCTCTGCTTAGAGTGGGCCTGGCCTAACACCCCTGGTTGCCAGAGAGCTCCCAGATTCACAGGAGCAGGTGGGATGATGGTGACCGCTCCTCCACGCCAGGCTGGGGTTAGATCCTAGTTCCCCAAAATAGCCCCAGCTGCGTCTGAGGCCAGCCGCCCTCCTGGAATGAGGATAATGGGCACAGGTGCCGCATGCTGCTTCCGCAATCTCTAGCCCTGAGTACACTGCACTCCAATAAACGGGGGGCAGGGCAGGTGGACCAGCAAGGCAGCCAGGAAACTGGGTTGCAGGGGTGGGGGCTGTGCTCTTCAGTTCTGCTACCTACTGACTGCACACCCAGGCCTTCGCCCTGCACCGCAGCCCATACACTGCCCTGGACGGCTCTGGCCCAGCATGCCTGGGTCTGCTGCAGGGACACCTCTGTCCCTGAACAAGTATCTGCCCTCAGTGCCCATTTCCACCAAGCATTGGGCCAGCCTGGGCAGGCTTGCTGTCCCTTGGTCTTGCAGTGCCCTGTGTGGCGGGCACCGGCTTCACTTGGCAGATGTGAAGATGGGCCCACAGATACCCTGCATCCAGCCTGGCTTCCTGGGCCTCCACAGGCATCCCTAGGTTGCTGCAGTGGCCACCGCACCAACACAACAGTCCGGGACCCCTCCCGCCACCCCATCCAGGCCTTACCTGGCCTTGGGTCTGCAGTGCTTCGAAGCCCTCACTCCGGAGCTGCTCCAGGGCCACGGCCAGCTGCAGCCCCTCCACGTGTACCCAGGCCTGCTCCTCCTGTAGCTGCTGCAGCCACAGCTGCTCCTCCTGTAGCTGCTGCAGCCATAGCTGCTCCTCCCGCCACAGCTGCATCTGCAGCTGGACCTGCCGCCACCGGTCCTCCAGCAGCAGCTGCTCCTGGGCCAGGCACAGCTGGACCTCATGGAGCCTCAGCAGTTCGGGGCCCAGGGCCGGCATGGGGTCCCCTGCTCCACAGCCTTCCATGTGCCCAGCAAGGACCAGCACCAGCTCAGACCCCGGAGCAGTGGCCGGCACCGGTCTCGAGGCTGCCTGTGGCTGCTCTGGCCTGGCCACCCTGGGGTGTCCCTGAGGTGCTGGCTCGATGCTGGTCACGTGCCCTGTAGGGGCCACCCCCGCTTCACCCTGAGGGCCCCCTGGGGTGGGGGGCGGGGGCTCGACCTCAGGGCCCTGCTGCCCAGCTGCCGGCTGGGCCCTGCCTGCCCTCCTGGCCCGGGGTTTGCGAACTCGACTTCGTTTCCCAGACATGGCCCTGGATCCAGCGCCTCCTTCACCAGGTGTCTGCTCCCCAGGGGCCCTGGCTCATGGACCAGCCGGCCTCAGGCCAGCTCAGAGGGCGTCCCTGGAGGCTACAGTGGCCGTGTGCTCCCACGCCAGGCTTGGCCCCCTGTTCCAGGTCCTGCCCCTTGCTGGAGCCCGCAGCACCGCAGCTCGGGACTCTGGCTCTGCCTATGGGCCTCACTGACCCCACTCGGTGGGGCCAGGCCACGCCAGGGAGTTTATAGGGACTCCACGGCGCGGTGGCTCGCCTGGGCTGAGAGGCTGACTAACGCGCTGACACGGCGGCACGGGGCTTTACAGGCCACGGGCCCTGCCGGCGAGACTGGGAGGGAGGCTGAGAAGCTGGAGGAGGCAGCGCAGCAGCCAGAGTGCCTGCTGTGCGCAGCAACGGGCGTGCCTGGTCCTGCCCTGGGCGGCACCAATGCCCCCCGCCCCCGCCCCATCCCGGCTCCCCCGGTCCCACAGCTGGTCGAGGGAAACTCAAACTGCAGGCCACAGGGCCAGGAGCTGCATCCTGGTCGCACTGACCCTCAGGGCCCAGACCCTCCCTGGCCACAGACAACCTGAGCCCAGCTGGCCATGGGAACCCGCAGCCCATGCACTCTGGAGGGCTCCAGGGCAGCTAGCACGCCCACAGGAGCCCCGCTGGGGTTTGGTGGAGACAAAGGACCCAGGGACCCGGTGGGAGCTAGGGCAGGGTTCGGGCCACTGCACTGCGGCTGGCTGGAGAGACTGGGCCCTCAAAGCCCTGCGTGGCACTTTGTGAACTGATGTGGGGCCCCGAGGAAAGTCCTGGCGGTCATGGAGGTGGGGCGGGGGCTCTTGGTGCCATCCTGGCTGGGGGCTGGCTGTCCTGCACTGCACTGCAACAAGGGCCTGACTGGATCAGAGCTGCCTTTGGGTCTCCAGGCTGGAGGTGGGGGTGCAGGGCTAGCCCCAAATGCCGGCGTCCTCTGGGCTTCTTGTTGGGAGGGTGGGCTCCAGGTGGCCTCCTCCCTAGCGTTTCCCCAGCCCGGGGCTGCTGACTCACGCCCACGCCCAGGGCCCCATCCCAGCCGGCTCAGCCACACTGGCCGGACTGGTTTGCCTGGCGCAACCCTGCCTGAAGCAGTGCTCCTGCTCCTGTTCAGTCCTAGTCCCAGAAGCTCAGGAGCAGAGGGACAGCCACCTGCCAGGGGAGTGCCGAATTGGACACACAGAGACCGGAAAGGGCCTGGGGGAGGGACGTGGCACAAGGTGGGGGACAGTGTCAGGGGTGGGGCAGGGCCAGCAGGCGGCACTGCCAGCCCACAGGGTCCTTCTAGCAGAGGCACCACCTGCCCATCCTTGGGCCCACAAGAGCCCAGGTGCCTTCCTGCGGGCTGGCTCTCGCCTGTGCCTCCCTGAGGCCCCCTGTGCAGTGGAGTATGTGCTGCTGGAGGAGCCCGTGCTCCTTAAGGTTGTCCGTGTGCTTCCCTCGGGAGGAGGCCCGGGTGGGGGGCTCCCTGTCTGCCAGGACGCACGGCCCTTTCGGTGCCCCATAAGTGTCTCTTGAGGCTAATGGGGATGGGGGTCTCTCATCCCAAGCTCACTGACGGTCGTTTTCCCTTAGGGAAGCCCGGGGAGAACCGCCCGCCGCAGAGGAAAGCGGGCTGGCAGGCGAGGGAGCCCGCGTCGGCTGAGAGCCCACAGGCCCCCACAGGTGAGAGCCCGCACGTCCCGCGCCGCTGTGGGTGACCGGGTGAGCTGTTGGCAGGGGGGTGCCCTGGCCCGGGACACGCTCAGTGTGGGCGCGCGCTTGCGTGTCATGTACACATGTGCTTGTGCGCGCACGTGTGGGAGTGCGCGTGTACGCGCACCTGTGAGCGCTCGGCGCAGGCCCGCGACACGCCCGAGCCCCTCCCGCCGCGCCCCGCTCTCGCCCACCTCCTGGTGCTCCACCTCCCCGCCGCCCGGGTGCGTGGCCTCTCGGGAAGACCCTACCCTGCGCCACTCGCCCTCGCGGGGGTCGGGGCCGCCTCCATCCCGGGTCCGCCGCGTCGTGCCCGCCCCGCGCGCGCCGCCCTCAGGTGGCAGGAAACGGGGCCCTGCGCGTCGCCTTGGGCCCGGATCGCCTTCTCAGGCTCTGCAGCTCCGACCCTGCGCTGTTCCCGACCGGTGTCGGCCGCTCAAACCTTCCTCCGGGCCCGATACCGCCCTGAGGCTCAGCAGCGCCTCCCAACGCGAACTCGTCGTCGGTCTCCACGCACCCGCTGCCTCCCTCACTGCTCATTCTGTCCTCGCCGCTGCCTGCCCTCCTGCTTCTGCGCTGGTGCCGCGGGACTGCCTCACCCACGGTTCCGCCTGCTCTTCCCTGGGCTCCTCTCCGCGGAGCCGACGGGGCCTCGCGGCCACATCAGGTCTGACCCTGGTGCGCCCCTGCTGGGCATGGGCCATGCTGGCCGCAGCCTCCAGATGCAGGCCTGGCACCGGCAGCCACCTGTCCTCCCCAGCCCAGGCCCGGCACCGCCCATCGCCTGATCGCCTGTGTACCCCACCACCCCGCCCCAGGTGTCAGGATAAGGAGCCTGACCCTGTCCTGAGGACGGGAGTAGTGGCAGTTGTTTGATAAGAGCCTCAGGGGTGCGGGAGCACCTCCGCGGAAGGCCCCGTGGTATGTCAGTGGTGGAGCGTGTCCAGTAGCTGGGGATTTGGCCTTGGCAAGAGGCAGCTATGAGAGGAAGCACGGAACACAAGCAAGGCCAGACTCTAGGGAACTCTGGGGAGGATGTCCCTTCTGTCACTGAAGGCCAGCACCGAGGCTCTGCCCGGGACCGTCTCCAATCATTCCTGTGTCTGGGTGTCACTTTTTCCAGGTGCAGGCTCCTGGTGGGAAACCAAGAGGCCGCTCTTCTGCTCTCAGTGTCAGGGAAAGGCAGGGACGCCCCCATTTTGCTTTCTGTAGTTTGAGGTGGACTCCTAGCCTTCCTCCAGGACAGCCCCGCCTCACTGGCTAGGCGTCTGGGGGCCTCAGCCGCTCTGCGGGGTGTGGGGCAGACAGGACCAGGGAGCTCCATCTTGTCGAGGGAAACTCAAACTGCAGGCCACAGAGCCAGGAGCTGCATCCTGGCCACACTGACCCTCAGGCCTTCCCATCAGGAGCCTGTACCTGGAGAAGGTGACACCAAGACACAGGGAGCCCCATGACCCCTGCCATGGTGCCTCTTTTTGCTACAAAGTGGGTTTCCAGCTCAGAAGCAGGGCTGCCGGGGGTGCTAGGACCGCACAGGTGGGGTTGGCAGGGGGGATTCTACACATGTGCCTGGGAGTCTATTTCAGGCAGAACAGACTGTGTCCCTTGAGAGCAGCAGGTGTGAAGTGAAACTGCCCTGCCTCCAGACGGCGGGCTCAGGGCGAGGCACTTAGCGTGGAGGGCGTGCTAGGCTCCAGCCCACAGCGGTGGCCACCCAGCTGACATGCCTTCGGAGGAGTCCATGCCGCTGACTCAGCGCTTTCTGTGCCGCAGGGACACCTGGTCGCCATCACATGGACACGCTATTTTTGCACTCGAGGCTATTCCAGGAAGTCCATCCAGACAGAGCACGCCTTCCCCAGCCTCCTCTTATTGGCCTGCAGCCCTGCTCTCCCCACGTCTGGTGATCTGTAAAGAGGGCTTGTTCTGCGTGGGTGGGACCTGCTCTAGATCCATCTTGGAAAATGAGCTCATGCCGTTGGTGTAACCACCATTCCTGCCCCCATGCCACTCTGCCCCGGGGCCTGCTGGCTGACGTCCATGGTGCAGTCGTGATGTCCACGAGCCTGTCTGTGCCCTCGCTGCGGCCGACTCTCTCTAGGAGCGTCCCCACAGGATGCAGAACCTCCCTTTGAGCTCGGTGTTCCCTGCTCCTCACAGAGCCACCCCCAAGCCTTTCCCAGCTGTCCGCATCACCACTGTCCCGGGCTCGTTCACTTCAGGCCCTGGAGAGCCAGCCCAGCCCTCACTGGTGTCCGGAGTCAGTGATACACAGCGCTCAAGTGACTCTTCCCACCCACAGGAAGTGGGTGATGAGGTGCCCCCCGGGGGCTTCCCTTGCTGCTGCCCGCCAGGATCTCCCTGCTTGGGACTACAGCATGCGGGGGAGGTCAGGCTGGAGTTGGTGTGGGAGCCTTTCCCAGCCTTTCCTCTGCATTGGTGCCCTCCCCAGGAGGCATCTGAGCTGCAAAAGGGGCGAATGCGATGTAGACACTTGGGCCCCGGGACTCGCCTGTGTCATCTGGGCTGGGCCCCACAAACACCACAAACACCTTTTCCACCACGCAATAGATGGCTGCTGGGCTGCCCAGGGGTGTGATGTGGAGCTGGGAAACCCAGCCTGGGAAGGCAGCATTCCAGGAGCTGCTTTCCAAAAGAAGAATAGCCTCCACCAGGAAGGTGTGGCTGAGCCCCAGAGCCCCAGAAACCTGCGGGAAGCTCCAAAGGGGGGCCTGCCAGAGGATACACAACCACCCTACCTCCTGCACACGGGATCCTCCAACCAGACAGTGTGGCCCAAGCAGCCTGGCTACTTTCACCTTAGCCAGCAGCCCTGGGCCACACTGGGGATGGTCCCAAACATGGCCTGTGCTGCTGTCACGGTGCTAAGGGGCCTGGCAAGCACGGGGTCTTTCTTGCTGGACGGAGGCACAGGTGCCAGAATCTATCTTTTGCCCTACAGTGTCCCGGCACAGCCTAGATCTATGGACCCCTTCACCGGGTGCTTTATCCCCCACCCCCCAGAACTCCTGGGACCATTGAGATGCCCAGGAGATGGGGGGGCCCTGTGCCTGTGTCCCGTTGCTGCTATAGCAGCCACCACATCTACCAGCTCTGCAGGGTAGCCACCGGGCACGGCCTTGCCAGGCTGACGTCGAGGAAAGCCAGCCGTGCTGTGGGTTTCCTTCCCTCTGGCTCTCCACTTCTGCCTCCCTCTTCCACTGTTTTTGGTTTGGGTTTTTGTTTTGTTCCGTTTTGTTTTTTTTTGAGACAGGGTCAGCTGTCTTGCCCAGGCTGGAGTTCAGGGGCTATTCCCAGGTGTAACCCTAGCTCACTGCAACCTCCAACTGCTGGGCTTAAGTGATCCTCCTGCCTCAGCCTGAGTAGCTGGGACTACAGGTGTGTGCTCCCACGTCTGGCAAGCCTCTTTCAGTATAACTGTATGGGTTTTTCTCCATCTTTTTTTCGTCTTTACAATTTTTGTTCTCAAGGACTTGGGCTGTTTGACTTGAGTCTTCCAGTCTGGATTTTGCTGATAAGATGGAACACCTCGAGAGTGCATCTTTGTTAACATTTAGACATGCGTCCCCTCCTCGCTTGCTCAGTGGAATTACGATTGCACTTGGAAATGTATCGTGTTGGGTGTGTTCCTTAAGCTGAACTTCCGTAGATCTGGCAGGACATTTAACACCAGAACACGAAGCCTGCTTCAGAAGTGACTGAAACGGCATCTGCCTCACAGTGCATATTTAAAAAATGATTTTGTTGTGTGAATAATTATGCTGCCATCTACAGATAAGTGAGATCAGAAACATTAGTTTCATATATTGTAGTTTTTAGTTTCTGAATACTTATTGGATTCTTTTTCTTTTTTTTTTGAGATGGAGTTTCGCTCTGTTGCCAGGCTGGAGTGCACTGGGGCTTGGCTCACTGCTACCTCCGCCTCCCAGGTTCAGGCAATTCTCCTGCCTCAGCCTCCTGAGTAGCTGGGACTACAGGCACCCACCACCACACCCAGCTAGTTTTTGTGTTTTTAGTAGAGACAGGGTTTCACCATGTTGGCCAGGATGGTCTCGATCTCTTGACCTTGTGATCCGCCCGTCTCAGCCTCCCAAAGTGCTGGGATTACAGGCGTGAGCCACCAGGCCTGGCTCCTTTTCCACTTTCATGGACCCTCGTGATTGCATTGGATCTCCCCGGGTAATCTGGGATGTTCTTCCTGGCCTAAGGTCAGCTGATTAGCAACCTTAGTTCATCTGCAGTCTCCATTCTCTTTTTGCTGAATCACGTCAAGTATTCACAAGTTCCAGGGGGCAGGAGGTGGACATCTTTGGGGGACATTATTCCGCCCACCAGAAAACCCAGGAGCAGCCACAGCCCCAAGACGAGGCAGGGAAGGAGTGCTGCTGTCTGCCGGTGAAGATGAACTGCTTCTGACCCTCCCGAGCGAGGATATTGAGAAGAAAGAATTTGCCAAGATGCTAGTCACACACCAAGTACAGAGGCTATGTTGGTCGGCTGCAGCAAAAAGACCACTCGCGGCGTGGCAGCTCTCACTGGCCCTGCTGCCTCTTCAAGTTGACTGCAGTCCATCACCCACGGTCATTATTAATTTGTTTTTGCAAAGGCCAGGCAGGTGAATCTAATGGAGATGGAAACCACCACACCTGCTTCCCTGGTCTCTGATGTTGGTGTTAACCTCTGCAATTCCTCAAGCAAAGCACTCCTTCTATCAGGCTCACTGTCTTGCTGGAGGGAGGAAGTTCCACAGGCTCTCACTTGGTTCTTTCTGCCGTAACAACCCTTACTCCTCCGGCCAAGGAGCCAATGTGAGCATTCAGCTGGCAGCTAAGAATGTGTATCCCAATAAACAGGGCAGACCTACAGACCCACTGGACCCACTAGAGATGGACTTGGGCCACAGTGCCTTCCATGACTTCAGTAAACAGAGGGGTGTGGTGATCTTGTCAAAGTCCTGGCGTCAATGTCAGTGTCCGGCTACACACCATGTTCCCGTCCTCGAAAAGCCTCTCTGTACCCCTCTATGTTGGTGACACAACCCTGGCAAATGGCCACAGACTCCTTTGGGGACAGAGTAGGAGCGTAACTGGTGGGAGTGGTTGGCATGCTTTGTATTGGGAGAGCCGCACGCCCTAGGGCTTCCAGCCTCCTCTTCAGTTTGGCAGCTGTGAGTCTGAATTTCACTCAAATCTGGAAACTGGGTGAGAGACTGTGGCAGCTGCTGTCCGGCTGGCAGAGCCTGACGTGTCTCTGATCATACTCACTGGGTCAGCAACACCCTACTGACCTTGTCCAGAATCCCACATCCCAGTTGATATCAGGGCAATCAGTTTCCTGGCTGTTTTCCCCAATATCAACCCGGGCTTACAGAAGACAGTCACCACAGAGCTCCTGCCAGGAGTTCACTCATTCGTGCATTTCTTCCTTTTTTTTTTCTTTTTGAGATGGAGTCTCGCTCTGTCGCCCAGGCTGGAGTGCAGTGGAGCGATCTCGGCTCATTGCAACCTCCGCCTCCTGGGTTCAAGCGATTCTCTTGCCTCAGCCTCCCAGGTAGCTGGGATAGCAGGTGTGTGCCACCATGCCCAGCTAATTTTTGTATTTTTAGTAGAGATGGGGTTTCATCATGTTGCCCAGGCTGGTCTCAAATTCCTGACCTCAGGTGATCTGCCCTCAGCCTCCCAAAGTGCTGGGATTACAGGCTTCAGCCACCACACCCAGCCTCATTCATACATTTCTTATTGTTGTTGTTTGAGACAGGGTCTTTCTCTGTCACCCAGGATGGAGTGCAGTGTTGTGATCATGCCTCAGTGCAGCGATCATGGCTCAGTGCAGCCTCAAACTCTTGGGCTCAAGCAGTGCTCCAACCTCAGCCTCCTGAGTAGCTAGGACTATAGGCACACAGCACCATGCCCCGGCTATTTTTTTATTTTGTAGAGATGGGGTCTCACTATGTTGCCCAGGCTAGTATTGAACTCCTGGCCTCAAGCAATCCTCCCACCTCGGCCTCCCAAAGTGCTGGGATTAAAGGCGTGAGCCACCGTACCTTGCCCTTGGTGGAATCTTTAGGGTTTTCTATTCATACATATAAAATCATATCATTGGCAAACAGAGATAATTTTACTTCCTCCTTTCCAATTTGGATGCCTTAGATTTCTTTTCCTTGCCTAACTGCTCTGTCTAGAACTCCCAGCACTATGCTGAATAGAGTGGCAAGAGCAGGCATTTGCCTTGTTCCTAACCTTAGAGAAAAATCCTTCAGCCTTTTACCATTGAGGATGATGTTTGCTGTTAGTTTTTCATAAATGATCTATATCAGGCTGAATAAATTTCTATTTCTAGTTTGTTGAGTGTTCCTTGTTTATTTTGGTTTTGGTTTCTCTCACTCTCTTCTTTTTGAGCAGGGGACAGGGGCACAGTCTGTCACCCAGGCTGGAGTGCAGTGGTGTAATCCCAGCTCACTGCAGCCTCGACCTCTGGAGCTCAAGCCATCCTCCCATCTCAGCCTCCCAAGTAGCTGGGACTACAGGTGTGTGCCATCATGTCTGGCTAAATTTTTAATTTTTTGTAGAGATGGGTTCTCACTATGTTGTCCAGACTGCTCTTGAACTCCTAGGCTCAGGTGATCCTCCCACCTTGGTTTCCCAAAGTGTTGAGATGACAGGTGTGAGCCACCATGCCCAGGCTTTGTTTGGAGATGTTTGATTACTGATTTAATCTCCTTGCTAGTTATATGTCTATTCAGATTTCCTATTTCTTCATGATTTAGTCTTGATAAGTTTTGTGTTTTTAGGAATTTGTCCACTTCATCTAGGTCACTCAATTTGTTGGCATATAATTGTTCAGAGTACTCTCTTATGATATTTTTTATTTATTTATTTTATTTTATTTATCTATTTATGAGATGGAGTCTTGCTCTGTTGCCCAGGCTGGAGTGCAGTGGCACTATCTCAGCTCACTGCAAGCTCCGCCTCCTGGGTTCACGCCATTCTCCTGCCTCAGCCTCCCAAGTAGCTGGGATTACAGGTGCCCACCACCACGCCCGGCTAATTTTTTGTATTTTTAGTAGAGACTGGGTTTCACCCTGTTAGCCAGGATGGTCTCGATCTCCTGACCTCGTGATCCACCCGCCTTGGCCTCCCAAAGTGTTGGGATTACAGGAGTGAGCCACCGCGCCCGGCCTATATTTTTTATTTCTATAGAATCAGTAGTAATGTTCCCACTTTTATTTCTGGTCTTGTAAATTTTAACCTTCTCTCTTTTTTCGTTAGTCCATCTAGCTAAAAGTTTGTCAATTTTGTTGATCCTTCCAAAGAACCAACTTTTAGTTTCATTTGTGTTCTCCATGTTTTTATATTCTCTATTTTGTCTATCTCTAATCTTTATTATTTCCTTCCTTCTGCTAGCTTTGGCTTTAGTTTGGTCTTCTTTGTGTATTTCCTTAAGTTATAAAGTTAGGTAGGTTATTGATTTGAAATCTTATGTATTAGTTTCAGCGTTTATGGCTGTAAGTTTCCCCCTTAGCACTGCTTTTGCTGCATCTCCTAAGGTTGGTATGTTGTGTCTTTGCTTCCATTTGTTCCTAAGTATTTCCTAATTTTCTTTGTGATTTCTTTTTTGATCCATTGACTGTTGAAGGGTGTTTTTTTTTAAAAAAGAGTATATTGTTTAATTCCACCATTTTGTGAATTTTCCACTTTTACTTCTGTTATTGATTTCTAACCTCATCCCACTGTGGTCAGAGAAGAAACTTTGCGCAGCGTGATTTTAAAAAATCTATTGAGAGTTAATTTGTGGCCTAACATATGGTCTACCCTTGAAAATATCCCATGTACACTTGAGAAGAATGTATATGCTATTATTGGCTAGAGTGTTCTGTATGTCTGTTAGATCTAGTTGGTTGATTGTGTTAAGTCCTTTCCTTTCCTTTCCTTTCCTTTCCTTTCCTTTCCTTTCCTTTCCTTTCCTTTCCTTTCCCTTTCCTTTCCCTTTCCTTTCTTTTCCTTTCTTTTCTTTTCTTAGGGTTTCACTCCTGTCACCCAGGCTGGAGTGCAACAGCACAATCTCGGCTCACTGCAACCTCTGCCTCCCGGGCTCAAGCGATTCTCCTGTCTCAGCCTCCCAAGTAGCTGGGACTACAGGCATACACCACTGCGCCTGGCTAATTTTTGTATTTTTTATACAGACAGGGCTTTACCGTGTTGCCCAGAGTGGTCTTGAACTCCTAAGCTCAAGTGATCTACCCGACTTGGCTTCCCAAAGTGCTGGCATTACAGGTGTGAGCCACCATGCCCAGCAAGTCCTTTATTTCTTTACTTATCTTCTTATCTTCTGCCTGGTGGTTCTATCCATATGGGGGCGGGTATTATCTCCAACTATTATTGTAAAACTATTTCTCCCTTCAGTCCATTGTGTTGGCTTTTGCTTCATATATGTATATATAAATATATATATCATATATAAATATACATGATATATAATATATAAATATAGATGATATATATGATATATAATATATAAATATAGATGATATATATGATATATAATATATAAATATAGATATATATATCATATATAATATATAAATATAGATATGATATATATCATATATAATATATAAATATATAATATATCATATATAAATATATAAATATATATCAATCATATATAAATATATAAATATATATCATATATATCATATATAAATATATAAATATATATCATATATATCATATATAAATATATAAATATATATCATATAAATATATATAATATATAAATATATCATATATAAATATATAAATATATATCATATAAATATATAAATATATATTTCATATATAAATATATAAATATATATATCATATATAAATATATAAATATATATATCATAAATACTTAAAAATATACATATATATCTATATATAAATATATAAAAATATATACATATATCTATATATAAATATATATCATATATAAATATATCATATATAAATATATATCATAAATATATATCATATATAAAATATAAAAATATAAATATATATCATATATTAAATATAAATATATATCATATATGATATAAATGTATATAAATATATAGCATATATGATATAAACGTATATATAGCATATATGATATATATCATACATGATATAAATGTATATATCAATATATATAATATATAAATATATATCATATATAAATATATCATATATATCATATATAAATATATACCTATATATCATATATGTTATATATGATATAAATGTATATATAAATATATATAAAAATATATAATATATAAAAATATAAAAATATATATAAAAATATATAAAATATATAAAAACATAAATATATAAAAATATATAAATATATATAAATATGTGAATATATAATTATATATCATATCATATATAATATATACATATATCTCATATATAATTATATATTATATATCATATATAATATATAAATATATGTATAAATATATAAATATATATCATATAAATATATAAAAATATATATCACATAAAAATATATGATATATATGATATATATCATATATATCAATCATATATATATATTTTATTTATTTATTTATTTTTTTTTTTTTTGAGACGGAATCTCACTCTGTTGCCCAGGCTGGAGTGCAGTGGCATGATCTCGGCTCACTGCAATCTCCACCTCCTGGTACCTGGGATTATAGGTGCCTGCCACCATGCCTGGCTAATTTTTGTGTTTTTTGTGGAGATGGTGTTTCGCCCTGTTGGCCGGGGTGGTCTCAAACTCCTGACCTCAGGTGATCTGCCCACCTGAGCCTCTCAAAATGCTGGGATTACAGATGTAAGCTACCATGCTTGGCCTGCTTCATATATTTTGATGATCAGACATTAGGTACATACATATTTATAGTTATTATATATTCTTGCTATATTGAACTTTTTTTGATATATAATGTCCTTCTTTGTCTCTTGTGAACTTTTTTTTAAATTTTATTTTTATTTTTATTTTTTATTTTTTTTGAGGTGGAGTTTCGCTCTTGTTGCCCAGGCTGGAGTGCAATGGCACGTTCTCGGCTCACTGCAACCTCTGCCTCCTGGGTTCAAGCAATTCTCCTGCCTCTCAAGTAGCTGGGATTACAGGCATGCGCCACCACGCCCAGCTAATTTTGTATTTTTAGTAGAGACGAGGTTTCTCCATGTTGGTCAGGGTGGTCTCGAACCCCCGACCTCAGGTGATCCGCCCGCCTCAGCCTCCCAAAGTGCTGAGATTACAGGTGTGAGTCACCGTCCCTGACCTCCCTTGTGAACTTTTTTGATTTAAAAATGTATTTTGTCTGATACTAGTACAGTCATTCCTCCTCTTTTGGTTTCTATTTGCATGGAATATCTTTTTCTATGTTTTCATTTTCAATGTTTGTGTTTTTCAATCTAAAGTGAATCTTTTGTAGACAGCATATACTTGGATCAGGGGTTTTTATTCATCCTGCCAATCTCTGTCTTTTGATTGGAGAGTTTAATCCATTTACATTTAAAGTAATTAGTGATAAGGAGAGACTGGGCACAGTGGTTCATGCCTGTAATCTCAGTGCTTTGGGAGGCTGAGATGAGAGGGTTGCTTGAGGCCTGGAGTTGGAGACCAGCCTGGGCCACATTCTACAGAAAATTAGCCAGGCATGGTGGCATGTGCCTATAGTGCTAGCTACTTGGAAGGCTGAGATGGGAGGATCACTTGAACCCAGGAGTTTGAGGTTACAGTGAGCTATGATTGCACCACTGCACTCCAGCTTCGGTGACAGAGCAAGAACCCACCTCTAAAAAACAAAAAATAAAATAAAATTAATAATTACTGACAAGAAAGGACCTACGTCTGTCATTTTGCTATGTGTTTTATATATGCCATATAACTTTTTTTGTCCCTCATTTCCTGAATTACTGTCTTCTTTTGTGTGTGTGTGTGTGTGTGTGTTTTTTTGTAGTGAAATGTTTCAATTTCTTCCTCAATTCCTTTGGTATATATTCTATAGGTTTTCTTTGTGGTTACTATGGGGTTTACATTTAACACCCTAAAGTTCTAACTCTCCAATTTGAATTTATACCAGCTTAACTTCAACGACATAAAAAACTCTGTTCCTTTACAGCTTTGTCTCCACTCCTTTCAGTTGCTGATGTCACAAAATTACATCTTTATACATTGTGTACTCCAAAACATAAATAATTCTTATAAATGCACTGGTCTCTTAAATTATCTAGGAAAAAAGTGGAGTTACAAACCAAAATTATAGTAATAGTAGCTTTTAAATAATTTAAAAATAATAATTTAAAAATATGGGCTGGGCATGGTGGCTCAGGCCTGTAATCCCAGCACTTTGGGAGGCCAAGATCGGTGGATTACCTGAGGTCAGGAGTTCAAGACCAACCTGGCCAATATGGTGAAACCCCGTCTCTACTAAAAATACAAAAATTAGTCGGGTGTGGTGGCAGGTGCCTGTAATCCCATCTACTTGGGAGGCTGAGGCAGGAGAATCACTTGAACCTGGGAGGCAGAGGTGGCAGTGAGCCAAGATCATGCCATTTCACTCCAGCCTGGGCAACAGAGCGAGACTTCATCTCAAAAAAAAAAAAAAGTGTGTGTGTGTGTGTGTGTGTGTGTGTGTGTGTGTGTGTATATATATATATAAAATCCTATACAAAACAGACATAGACTTAGAAGTTACCCACATGTTTATCTTTATTGAGATCTTTATTTCTTCTTAACAGCTTTGAGTTACCATCTAGTGTCCTTTCAACCTGCAGGACCTCCTTGAGCATTCCTTGCAGGGCAGGTCTAGTGGTAACAAACTCCTTCAGCTTTTGTTTATCTGGGAATGTCTTATTTTCTTCCTCACATGTGAAGGATAGTTTTGCTGGATATAGGATTCTTTTTTGCCAGTTTTTTTTTTCTTTTAGCACTTTATTTATTATTCTTATTATTTTTTTATTTTTGAGAGAGAGACTTGCTCTGTTGCCCAGGCTGGAGTGCAATGGCACAATCTTGGCTCACCGCAACCTCTGCCTCCCAGGTTCAAGCGATTCTCCTGGCTCAGCCTCCCGAGTAGCTGGGATTATAGGCGCCTGCCACCAGGCCCAGCTAATTTTTGTATTTTTAGTAGAGACAGGGTTTCACCATGTTGGCCAGGCTGGTCTCAAACTCCTGACCTCAGGTGATCTGCCCACCTTGGCCCCCCAAAGTGCTGGGATTACAGGCGTGAGCCACCACACCCAGCCTTTCTTTTAGTGCTTTAAATATATTGGCCCTCTGCCTTCTGGCCTCCAAGTTTCTGATGAAAAATCTGCTTGTCATTTTATTGAGGATCCCTTGTATGTGACAAGTTTCTTCCCTCTTGCTACTTTCAGGATTCTAACTTTGCATTTCAAAAGTTAGACTATAATGTGTCTCAGTGTGGGTCTCTTTGAGTTCATTTTACTTGGAGTTACTTGAGCTGCTTGGATGTTTATATGCATGTCTTTCATCAAATTTGGGAAGTTTTCAGCCATTATTTCTTCAAACATAGTCATAAGCTGCATAATGACATTTTGGTCATCAATGAACTGCATATATGATGGTGGTCCTCAAAGATTATAATACTGTATTTTTACTGTACTTTTTATGTTTATATGTACTTAGATACACAAATACTTACCATTGTGTTATAATTGCCTAAGTATTAAATACAGTAACATGCTGTACATATTTGTAGCCTTGGAGCAATAAGTTATATACCATATAGTTTAGGTATACAGTAGCTATACCATGTAGGCTTGTATAAGTACTCTCTACGATGTTCACACAATGTTGAAATCACATGAGGATGTATTTCTCAGAACATATTTTTGTTGTTAAGTGATGCATGACTGTATTCTCTCTGCCCCTTTCTCTTTCTTCTCTTTCTGAGGTACCTAAAATGTATATGTTGGCCCGTTTGATGGTGTCCCACAGGTCCCTTACTCTCTGTTCGTTTTTTTTTTTTTTTTTTTTTTTTTGAGACAGGGTCTCACTCTGTCACCTGGGCTGGAGTGCAGTGGCACAGTCACATCTCACTGCAACCTTGACCTCCTGGGCTTAAGCAATCCTCCCTCCTCAGCCTCCTGAGTAGCTGGGACTATAGGTGTGTGCCACCATGCCTGGCTAATTTTTGTTTTTGTTTTTATTTCTTGTAGAGACAGGGTTTTGCTATGTTGCCCAGGCTGGTCTTCAACTCCTGGGGTCAAGTGGCCCACCTGCCTCAGCCTCCCAAGGTGCTGGGATTACAGGTGTGAGCCACCGCACCTGGCCTTTTTGTTAATATTTCCATTTCATTCATACATTATTTTCTTGACTTCTTCCATGTCTTCCTTTAGTGCTTGAGTTCTTTAAGATAATTGTTTTAAAGTCTTTGTCTAGTAGCCATGCCATCAAGGTTATTTTTAGGGAAAGTTTCTTTTTTTTTTTTTTTTTGAGACGGAGTCTCGCTGTCTCAGGCTGGAGTGCAGTGGCATGATCTCGGCTCACTGCAACCTCTGCCTCCCGGTTTCAAGTGATTCTCCTGCCTCAACCTCCCAAGTAGCTGAGATTACAGGTACCCTCCACCATACCTGGCTAATTTTTGTATTTTTAGTAGAGATGGGAGTTTCACCGTGTTGGCCAGGCTGTTCTCGAACTCCTGACCTCAGGTGACCTGCCTGCCTCGGCCTCCCAAAATGTTGCGATTATAGGTGTGAGCCACCACGCCCAGCTTTTCAGAGATAGTTTCTGTTGATTTATTTTTGTTTTCCTTTGAATTGGCCATACTTTCCTGTTTCTTTGTATGCCTTGTGAACTTCTGTTGAAAACTGGACATTTGAATCTAATAATGTGGTAACTCTGGAAATCAGACTCTCCTCCTTCCCCAGGGTTTGCTGGGTTTTGTTTGTTTTTTTTTCTTTTCTACTGTTGTAGGCTGTCTCTTTCCAAGGCTCAGCTGGGGTATAAACTTACGGTCTTCTTGGGACTCTTCTGAGCCTTTCTTTGGCATTTATGGTCACTTTCTAATTTCCCCAGTATATACAGTTGTTTTGAATGTCCTAGCCTTTCATGTTTGGCTCCTAAGAAGAGAAAAAGAGAAAAATCAAGAGGGAAAAAAAGGCACCAGCTCTTTAAAGCCCTGGAAGTCACTTCAGCCAGAGGGGGAGGGGCTTGCAGCAATGTGGGGAGGGGCCATGACAATGGCTGCTGCTGCTTTGTCTGCCCCTCAGGAGCCATTGCTGCTTAACAAGTGGTTACAGACTTCGTGACTATGTTATCATTCGGCCGTATCCGTGGGTCAGGAGTCCGGGCACAGGCTAAATGGGTCCTCTGGCTGAGCACCTCTCCCAGGGCTAACGCCAAGGTGTTTCAGCCAGGGCTGCATTCTCATCTCAAGGATCGACTGGGGAAGGATGCGCCTGCAAGCTCCCATGCTTGTTGATGAAATTCAGTTCCTTGTGGGCAGTTGGGCTGAGGGGCCCCCATGTAGCTCAGTTTTGCTACATGAGCCTCTGCCTAGGACATCTTGCAACATGGCGCTGAATTCATCAAAGCCTGCAAGGGAGAGAGTCTGCCATCAAGACAAAGGTAGCAATCTTATTTTTATTATTATTTTTTTTTTGAGATGGAGTCTCTCTCTGTTGCCCAGGCTGGAGTGCAGTGGCCTGATCTCAGCTCACTGCAAGCTCCGCCTTCTGGGTTCACGACATTCTCCTGCCTCAGCCTCCTGAGCAGCTGGGACTACAGGTGCCAACCACCACGCCCGGCTAATTTTTTTGTATTTTTAGTAGAGACGGGGTTTCACTGCATTAGCCAGGATGGTCTCGATCTCTTGACTTCATGATCCGCCCACCTCGGCCTCCCAAAGTGCTGGGATTACAGGCGTGAGCCACCGCGCCCAGCCAGGTAGCAATCTTCTGTAACGTAACTACAGGAATGATGGACATCACATCCCATTACCTTCACTGTGTTCTCTTGGTTAGAAGCAAGTCACAGGTCCCACCCACACTCAAGGGGAAGGAATTACACAAGGCATGAATACCAGGAGAAAGGATAGCCAGGGCCATTATAGAGCTTCCCCCACAGCACCATAAATCAGTCACTGATTCAAAGCATATACTGCATCCCATAAGATACAGTGATATATTCTCAGGATACAATCTCCCAACTGGCACTGCAACCAGGTCTTAAGGCCACTAAACATTCTATCACGCCAGCTCCTCTTGAGCCAGGACACCTAGCAAGACCAGTGCATTCCATGGGAAAGAAGTTAGCTGGAAAATAAGTTCCTTAGTCCGCATCAATGTTGTGTATGTTACCATGATGTGGAATAAATATTTTATTTCATTTATTTATTTATTAAGACGGAGTCTTGCTCTGTCCCCAGGCTGGAGTACAATGACGTGATCTTAGCTCACTGCAACCTCCGCCTCCCAGGTTCAAGCAATTCTTGTGCCTCAGCCTCCTAAGTAGCTGGGATTACAGGCGCCTGCCACCATGCCAGGCTAATTTTTGTATTTTTAGTAGAGATGGGGTTTCATCATGTTGGCCAGGCTGGTCTCAAACTCCTTACCTCAAGTGATCCTCCCGCCTTGGCCTCCCAAAGTGCTGGGATTACAGGTGTGAGCCACTGTGCCTGGCCAGAATAAATATTTTATAAACTCATGGTGGCACGGGCAACATCATTGCAGTCAAGAACAAATTCATATCTAGAATCCATTCCTCCAGTGAGGACACGCAGTGCCCCTTCATGATGGAAAGGGTTCAGTGTGGTCAGCCTGCTGGCAGGTGGCTGAGCCCCTGGAAGTGGAGCCATGCTGGGGGCTCAGTGTCCATCTCTGCTGCTGGAAGGTTCAGCATTCAGTGGTGGCAGCCTTGGGGGGAGGAAGATCTAATCTATGTTGTAGAGCCCATGCAAAGCCCCCATCTCTGCTGCTGCTCATTGATAAAGCATGAAGGTGGCTGGAAAGCATGACTGCCATCCACAGTGCATGGTTTCAACCTCCTGATGATCCCTCTTGGTACATCTCCCCAAAATGCATGACTCTGGTGGACATTTGCAAAGGTGCACAACATCTTCACATTCTGTGCTGTCCACCCACATCCTCTTTCCCAGATATGCTTCTTACCAGTCTCCCAAGCCTGCTCTTTTTGGTATCTAGCCAAAGCATTAACTACCACCAGGAACTAAGTCAATATTTTCTTCCACGGATCTCTTAGTCCCGACAAAGTGGACAACACAATTCACAGCTCAAAGTGCTTCTCATTGCCAGGCACACTCCTGACTTAAGGCTGGAGCTCAGTACACCACGAGGGACTGTCTGAGAACCAGGGCTGCTTTTCTTTCCTTGTCAGGTGACCATGAGGAGCTTCCCAGGATGCCATTGGTGTGGATCAATAGGGAGGAGGTGATGGAGGAGCACCCCGTGTCACAGGCATCTGAGCCGCCAGGACCTTCGCACACCCAGTTTCTTATGTTTCATCTTCATTCATGGTACTCGGTGTACCATGAATTGCTGGTACACACGCCCAACCTCGTGGCTTGGTGGGTCTGGTGCCATCGGTTCATGATGACTATCCCAAATGGTGTAGTTATTGGGTGTCTTGTGATTAGGCATCAGTGCTTGCCAGGGCCCCATAGCAAACCAGAGTTTTTTTCTCAAAAGAATAGCTTAGGCTCACGTCTGTAATCCCAGCACTTTGGGAAGCTGAGGCAGGAGGATTGCTTGAGCCCAGGAGTTTCAGACCAGCCTGGGCAACACAGTGAAACAGTGTCTCTACTAAAAAAATTAAAAAAAAAAAAAAAAGTAGCTGGGTGTGGTGGTGCACACTTTTAGTCCTAGCCACTTGGGAGGCTGAGGCAAGAGGACTGCTTGAGTCTTGGGAGGTCAAGCTGCAGTGAGCTGTGATCGCGCCACTGCACTCCAGCCTGGGTGACAGAATAGGACCCTGTCTAAAAAAAAAAAAGTCTTATGCAGAAAAGAGCATGACTTTGCTCTAAAACGCTAGGGTTCTGTGCTGTGATTTTCTTACTGGGTTTCTCCAGAAGCTTCAAACAATATTCATATGTGCAACTGACAGTCAGAGTGTCACTGATCTATTGGGACACAAGGCTTAAGTGGTGAAGCAGGTGGCATTGAATGCTGGTCTTAACTGCAGAGGCTCTTCTTGCCCAGGGGCCAACTCAAAGCCACCAGACCATGAACTAATTGATGAATGGGTTGCAGGGCTCCAGGGTCGCCTTTGAAAAAGCACATAGGCCTGCAGATACGCCCGGTTTATAGTGGCAGGTAGTGTAAGGTACATAATGTGTCTTTCTTTTTTTTTTTTTTTGAGACGGAGTCTCACTCTGTCACCCAGGCTGGAGTGCAGTGGTGCGAGCTTGGCTCACTGCAAGCTCCGCCTCCCGGGTTCATGCCATTCTTCTGCCTCAGCCTCCCAAGTAGCTGAGACTATAGGCGCCCGCCACCACGCCCAGCTAATTTTTTGTATTTTTAGTAGAGAAGGGGTTTTCACCATGTTAGCCAGGATGGTCTCGATCTCTTGACCTCATGATCCGCCTGCCTTGGCCTCCCAAAGTGCTGGGATTACAGGCATGAGCCACCACGCTTGGCCACAATGTGTCTTTCATCTTAAAATTTTTTTTTTTAGAGATGGCGTCTCACTGTGTCACCCACTCTGGAGTGGCATAATCATAGCTCATTGCAGCCTAGAACTCCTGGGCTCAAGCAATTCTCCCACCTCAGCCTTTTGAGTAGCTAGGATTTTACAGGCCACTGTGCCTGGTGTATTTCATCTTTTAGGAGATATTCTAACATGCCCCAGGCTACTGGATTCCTAGAAACTTCACTGACATTGTAGGACCCTGAATTTTCATGGCTTGCATGAAAATGTCATTTCTTACTGAGGCATTCAAGGTATTTGCTACTCTGTGTTCATTTAGTCCAATCAGGATAAATTCACCAATATAGTGTATCAGTTCATGCTTTTGGGGGTCAAGACAATAAAGATCTCTGGATTAGATTACCTCAGAGAGTGGTAGCACTGACCCAGCAGTGAGACAAGAATGTGAGGGTGTTTTGTCGGCCCTATTATGTAAAAGCAAAGTGTTTCTGGTTATCCTTGCAAATTATTATTTTTCACGTTCTAAAAGACAAAACAGGCTCAGCGCAGTGGCTCACGCCTAAAATCCCAGCACTTTGGGAGGCCAAGGCAGGTGGATCACCTGAGGTCAGGAGTTCGAGGCCAGCCTGACCAACATGGAGAAACTTCGTCTCTACTGAAAATACAAAATTAGCTGGGCATGGTGGCACATGCCTGTAGTCCTAGCTACTCGAAGGCTGACGCAGGAGAATCGCTTGAACCTGGGAGGCAGAGGTTGTGATGAGCCGAGAATGTGCCATTGCACTCCAGCCTGGGCAACAAGAGCGAAACTCCATCTCAAAAAGAAAAAAAAAAGAAGATGAAACATTTTATCTGGGTGAAGGGATGATTTAACTCATGAAACTTGAGAACACGAGAACAACAAAAATACTTTCCTTGAACATTTTCAGCTAGAATGACACGGCATTCTCCTACATAAAACATTATAATTTTCCCACTACTCCAAAGGAATCCAATAAATAATTTTACAGTGAAGGGGCCTGGATCAAAACTGGCAGTGACACCTGGCCCCTGACAAGCCTGAGTCACAGGTCCCTGTGCAGGTCCCAGCGTCCAGTCCTCCAAGAACCAGCACTGCCGGAGCCTCGCTGTGGTTTCTTCCTTCCCCGATGGGACCAGCTGGAATTTCCAAGCTGCTTCACAGAGGCCAAAGATGACAACACGAGAGGTGGTCAAAGCCAAGGTTTCCCTGCGCTGCCTTTGTCTTCTTCCCATGGCCTGGCCTGAGTGCTGCAGCTGGGCCCCAGGAGATGAGCTCCTCGCCCAAGCTGGAGAGCATCCGCTGCACCCGCCATGCCGGGAAGAGCTCGGGTGGGCTTTCTCCATAGCAATTCTTCGCAATGGGGTCCCAATCGGTGGGATGAGGCCCTGGGATGAGGTCCTGCATTTGGCCGGACATGACTCAATACTGATCTTCGACTGCCATGAAGAGGTTCTGGAACACCACGATGCTCCAGGAGAAGCTCCTGGCTGGGCTGCAGGCAGCAAGAGACATGGCCAGCAGCCGTCACAGCAGCACTGCTTCACACTAGGGCTGTGGACGTTACAGCCCTGCACCAGCAAATCCCTCCTCTCGCAAACATAGCCTGGTTCATCCACGATGAGGAGCTTCCCTTGCACAGAGTTCTGGCACTGATTCCACGGGTGACTGCTACTGCCCAGGTTAACCTGCACTTTGCACGGGCTGGGCTGGTCGTGGTCTTGAACCTGGAGGAGAGTCCTATGTCTGACTCCCGCTCTTCCTGCCTGAAGGTGCTGCTGAGGACATGGATGAGGATATCTGGGCAAGGGCCCCACATGCCCAGCAGCCCCATCCTTGTGAATGATTATAGGGAGAAAAGCATTTTCCAGGCCAATGGCTCACTCCAGGTGCCAGGGGTCATGTCAATTTGCTCTGGAAAATATGTCACATCAGTAGCAGCAGGTGCAGTTGGAATAGCCACCTGCTGAGCTTTGTGAAAATCCACAGGCGTTCTCCAAGGATGCCCGCCTTGCGCCTCGCCCAGCTAGGGAGTCAGGTGGGGGCTGTGCTGGGGATCACCAGCCCTGCATCGTTCACATCTTTTGGGGGTAGCACTAACCTTGGCATTTTCACCAGACATGCAGATTTGAGTTCATTAACCTGGTAGGAAAGAAAAATTGCAGGGCTTCCATTTAACTTTTTATACCATGACAGCCGTAACCCTGTGGGTCACAGAGCTGATGTGAGAATGCCGCCGGTTTCTGGGATGTCTTTTTAGCTACACACTCAGGAGCTTGCAAAGTGACCACAGGCAGGCTCTGCAGAACTCCCAGGCCCAGCTCGAGATGAACTTGGACTACAGTTGCATGATCCCTGACCGTCAGCCACCACTTTGACTGGTGGACCACCATGGTGTTTTGGGGCCCCAGAATTTGGCATTCACCAAAATCAGTGTTCTGTGGGCCCTGAAAGCGCAGGATGTCGCCCTTGTCTGGAGCACCCCACTGAAGGGGCAGTGGCTCCCGTGGGGAAGGCTGGGAGGGCAAGTCCTGCACACCTGAGAGCCCAGGGAGCCCGGCTTTCTTGTCAACCACAGGTGAGGACAAGGACAGGAACACAACCAAATCAGTTGCACAACTGTGTCTTTTAGGGTCTGTCTCATGGCACATTCTGGTGCCAAGTACTGCATCTATCAGAGTACAGTCAGGAAACAGAAAACTTACCACATTTAAGTATTTAAAATTGTAGGGCTTGCACGGTGGCTCACGCCTGTAATCCCAGCTCTTTGGGAGGCTGAGGCAGGTGGATCACTGGAGTGCAGGAGTTCAAGACCAGCCTGGGCAACATGGTGAGATTTCATCTCTACAAAAAAAAAAAAAAAAATTAGCCAGGCGTTGATAATGGCAGGTGCCTGTAGTCCCAGCTTCTTGGGAGGCTGAGGTGGGAGGATCGGTTGAGCCTGGGAGCTGAGGCTGCAGTGAACCCTGAGCGTGTCACTGCAATCCAGCCTGGGCGACAGAGGGAGACCCTGCGTCCAAAATAAATACAATAAATAGTAAAGTTTTTATGAAGAATGGCCAAACAGCTATTATAAGTTTAAAGTAACAAGAAGGACCCTGAGCTCCCACGGAGATGATTCTGGAAGCAGCGATGCCCCCGGGTTGGAGCAGAGGAGCAGCGAGGGTTTTCTGCGCTCGGCATCGCGGCGGGGCCCTCCCAGGAGCCGGTCATCGCCGCGCAGGCGGGCCCGGGAGAGGCGGGGCGCGGCCCAGCGCGGTGGCATGGGGTCGACTTTGGACTTAGGAAGACTGCGCGGGGCGGGACCAGCTGCGGAGCGCAGGAGCACCAGGGACCTCCTGGTGCGAGCCGAAGACGGTCAGGGAGGCGCGCGGGCCCTGAAGACCCATCCTGAACCAGGGCGTCAATGCGGGTTTCGCCGGGAGCAGCAGAGCGCGGAGCGGAGACTCCTGGGGCGCAGATCGGGGTAGGGCTGGAGGTGGAGCCGTCCCCGGAGCCGCGCGCCCGAGAAGGGACCCGGAGCATCTCCCGCGGGCGCCCTGCTCCTCCGGCTCCCCGCCGCCACCCTTTACCCCCGGGGCCCCGCGCCAGCCTAGTGGCGGGACGGCCTCCCGTCTCCCCTGGGAGTCCCGGAGACGCCCGGCCCCTGCCTGCTGCTCCGGCCCCGGGAAGCTGCGCGCGGACGCGATGCCTCCGACTCAGACCCCGTCTGCTCCACTGCTTCTGCCTTTCTGACCCAACTTTTGTTTTTTATGTGTCCAAATCTTGTAATATATTTATCTGTTTTTGAACAATTACATACTGACAGCCATAATGATAACTCGGCCTGGCGGGGTAACTCACACCTGTAATCCCAGCACTTTAGGAGGCCTATGCGGGAGGATTGCTTCAGCCCAGGAGTTCGAGACCAACCTGGGCAACATAGTAAGACCCCAGCTCTACCAAAACCATTTTTAAAAAAGCATTAGCTGCCTGTAGTGCCAGCTACTCCGGAGGCTGAGGTAGGAGGATCGCTTGAGCCCAGGGAGGTCGAGGCTGCAGTGATCTGAGATCACATCACTATACTCCAGCCCATAAACATGGAGCCTTATAGCTATATGTAAGGTTTTACAAATTAAATTTCAAAAGAAAATAAATTTCAGTGTTTTTTTTTTTTGCAGGAAGTGTTATAGGATCTGCAATAAAAAGCATAACATATATTAGGATAGAAATATATCCTAACATATATGATGTATACATTCTCCCTCTATAGGACATATATAAAGGAGAGTGGGATAGATATTGTATTTCAAGGAGAGTAACACAGTATATCATTTCTACTTATCGTAGAGCTTCTGTGTGTCTACAAAGTGTGATTATGGGTGTCCAATCATTTATGGTATTTGTATCCCATTCGTAAAGTAAGAGTTTACTTTAAAATGTATCAATATACCAGAAATCTGATCCTTTGTAACTATTTAAACTTGTTAGGAAGAACTTTAGATGTCAGCATAGAAATATACCAGGCGTGGTGGCAAGCACCTGTAATCCCAGCTACTCGGGAGGCTGAGGTGGGAATCGCTTGAACCCAGAAGGCAGTGGTTGCAGTGAGCCGAGATCGCGCCATTGCACTCCAGCCTGGGCAACAAGAGTGAAACTCCATCTAAAGGAAGGAAGGAAGGAAGGGAGGGAGGGAGGGAAAAGAAAAGAAAAGAAAGTTTGAGGACCACAGTGTAGACGGCTGGATGTTCAGAGCTTTACCCAGGAGCCAGGCCCTGTTTGGCCAGCTGTGCCCATCTGCCAGGCATGGACATCTCACTAGGCAGCCAGGGCATCCACTGCTTCCAAAAGCTTCCCAGGTCCTATCCCTGTGCCCTCATCAGCATACTGCACTGTCAAGATCATCTCAGGGGTGCTGAGACCACCAAGCTCCCTGTGGACATGACAAGATGGGAAGATACGCTGATGCCACTTCCATGGAGGGGCAACTTGCTTCTGGTGAATGTTGATTGAGGAAGGAAAAAATATTTACCAGATCAGTCACTGCATAACAGGTGGTAAATTGTATTGATTTGTTTCATTAAGGAGAACACACTTGGAACAGCAGCTGCAAGGGGAGTCACCTTCTGATTAAGCTGACAATGACCTAGGCATTCCCCAAAACCATCATTTTCTATTGAAATAAAACTGGAGAATGAAGTCTCAGACTGTGCAATTAGTCTACGCAATCCCCTAGTGATGCTGTGTTTTCTCTGACAGGCTGTTGTGGTAGGAAATTCATGACCCTCCCTCTTTTCTTTTTTTTTCTTTTCTCTTTTCTTTTCTTTCCTTTCCTTTCCTTTTGTTTTCCTTTTCCTTTTCCCTTTCTTTTCCTTTTCTTTTTCTTTTCTTAAAACTGAGTCTTGCTCTGTCACCCAGGCTGGAGTGCAGTGGTGCGATCTCAGCTCACTGCAACCTCTGCCTCCTGGTTCAGGAGATTCTCCTGCCTCAGCCCCCTGAGTAGCTGGGATTACAGGCGCCCGCCACCACGCCTGGCTAATTTTTGTATTTTTATTAGAGACGGGGTTTCACCATGTCAGCCAGGCTGGTCTCAAAGTCCTGACCTCATGATCTGCCCGCCTTGGCCTCCCAAAGTGCTGGGATTACAGGCGTGAGCCACCGTGCCCGGCCTGGCTTTTCTTATAATGATGGTAAGAATATGATAATGGTAGTTAACATCTGTTGAATGCTTATTGTGTGTGAGACCCTGCTCTAAGTATTTTATATTTATTAGCTGATATGGTTTGGTCCCCTCCAAATCTCGTATTGAAGTGTGATCCCCAATGTCAAAAGTGGGGCCTGGTGGGAGGTGTTTGGATCATGGGGGCGGGTCTCTCATGAATGGTTTGGTGCCCTCCTCACCATCATTAGTTCCACTCCGTGAGCTCACAAGCTCGCACGAGAGCTGGTTGGTTACACAGCCTGGCATCCATCTTGCTCTGCCACTTGCCATGGGGCACACCTGCTTCTCCTTTACCTTCTACCATGAGTAAAGGCTTCCTGAGGCCTCCCCAGAAGCAGAGCAGATGCAGGTGCCATGCTTGTGCAGCCTGCAGAACCGTGAGCCAAGTAAACCTCTTCTCTTTATAAATTACCCAGTCTCAGGTGTTCCTCTGTGGCAATGCAAAAACAGACTAACACATTAGCCAATTGATCCTCCAAACAGAAACAAAATCCACAAGCCCTAGGGGCAGGCAGAGTGGTTAACCCTCTTTTAACATATGAATACACTGGGGACTTAAGCTGGTAATTTTTTGTTATACGAGATATGATAATTCATTTCAACGGAGTCACAAAAAGTCCCTCAAGTTTTGATTTGGGAATTTAAAAATATGTAGCTGATCTGGGAATAGAAGGATGATTCTCCTTCAAGGACCATGCCTTGTTTAAAGTTCTACATTCCTCTGATACTCTCAGCAGTCACAGAACAGAGACAGGAAACATTGTGTGGAGGGCCCGCCGGAAGGACTCGGCGGCAGAGGATTCCACCTGCACAGGAAAGGTGGACAGCTGCTTGGTAGCAGAAAAAAAACGAACAAAACCTGACTCATACAACCTGTAAGCAACGCCCCCAAATCAAAGGAAAAAGCTGCAGATCACAAATCATCCAATATTCCAGTATCCCAGTATTCAGAAATAACAAACGTGCAGACCAGGCGCAGTGGCTCCTGCCTTAAACCCCAGCACTCTGGGAAGTTGAGGTGGGAGGATCACTTGAGCTCAGGAGTTTGAGACCAGCCTGGGCAACATGGTGAGACTCCGTCGCTACAAAAAAAAAAAAAAAAATTAGTGCCTGTAGTCCCAGCTCCTCAGGAGACTGAGGTGGGTGGATCACCTGAGCCTGGGGAGGTCAAGGCTGCAGTGAGCCGTGATGGCGTCACTGCACTCCAGCCTCAGTAACAAAGCAAGACCCTGTTTCTAAAAAAACCAAACAAAACAAAACTGAAAAAAGAAATAACAAACGTGCAAACATTTGATAAATAATCCAAATATTTCTCTCTCCATTTTTACAGGGGTAAATTTCCATAATTATGAAGAGGCAGAAAGAGATGGAGAGAGAGAATGTTATAACAGCAGAGATATTTTATACATTTCATTTTAAAAATAAAATGTTAAATTTAACAAATGAAAATTAGTGAACCTCAAGGAATTGCTGGATGCATAAAAATCTCTTAAAAATTGTGTACAAAAGAACATATGTAATATATATGTGCCTTAGGACAATAGAATGTAAGAGCTCACATGTCACCAACACTATTGCATCCCCACCTAACTCTGCTCCTCCCTGCAGATGAATCCACTCTTACAAATGTGTTCACCATTCCCTTACTTTTAAAATACAATTTTCAAAAAATAAAAAATAAAAATTTCAAGAATCATATATATAGCCGCGCCGGGTTTGTTGGCTCATGTCTGTAATCCCAGCACTTTGGGAGGCCAAGGCGGGCAGATCCCTTGAGGTCAGGAGTTCAAGACCAGCCTGGCCAACGTGGTAAAACCCCGTCTCTACCAAAAAATACAGAAGTTAGCCAGGCATGGTGGCGCACGCCTGTAATCCCCGCTACTTGGGAGGCTGAGGTGGGAGAATCACTTGAACCCTGGAGGCCGAGGTTGCAGTGAGCCAGGATCACACCACTGCACTCCAGCCTGGGAGACAGAGTAAGACCTTGTCTCAAAAAAAAAAAATCATATATTTATGATTATATATAATCCTCTCATCCTCACCCAATCTGAGAATGTCTATCTTTACATTTTGCAAAATTACTGGATATAAAATGAGCCTCCATGGTAATTTTAGTTTGCATTTCATGGAATGTGTTTTCAAAGGTTTATTAGCCAATCCATTTTCCTCTTCTGGGAAATGCCTGTTCATCTCTCTGCCCATTGCTCTATGGATTACTTACCTGTTTCTTTGACATATGCAGAAGTTCTTTAACAGGTTTATGTGTTGCAAATTTCTTTTCCAAATTTATATGGTTTTTCACTTTTGGTATGTTATTTTTAGATAAGCAGAAGTTTTACATTTTGACATGCTTTAGTCGTCTTTTCCTTTGTGGTATATAAAGTACATATTTTAAAAGTCATCCTTTGTTTTATGTAGCTGTGGTTCATGTTCATGGCTGTTTAGGTGTCTGTTATGTGCATATAACATTACTGATTCATTCTACTGCTGGTAGACATTTGGATTATTTGTAGATTTTGGTTTTAAAAATAACACTAGCATGGATTTTCTTGCACGTGTCTCCTGGTGCACACATCCATGCATTTTTGGGGGCACACACCTGGGAGAAAGGTTGCTAAGGCACAGGTGTGCCAAGCCGTCTGCTGACGTGGGTGTTCTGATTTCCCTCCCCACAGCAGTGTAGGGACCGGTGTTCTGCAAGCCTCCCGTGGGTAGTAGCAGCCTCTCTCTAGCCGGTGTGCGTGGTATTAGGTGAGGTTTTAGATTGGATTTCCCTGGTGACTAATGAGATTCATCACATTTCCATATATTTATTGGCCACCTGGGTAGGCTCTTGTGTGCATTCAGGTATGTTACTAGTTCTCTATTGTGCTGCTGCCTTTTTTCTTACGGCTTTGTAGTATTTCCCAATATATTCGGAATACAAACCTTTTGTCAGTTACATGGATTGCAAATACCTTCTCCCACTCACTGGCATTTTTACTTTCAATGGTGTCTTCTCGTGAATAGAACTAACTGATTTTTGCTGGGCATGGTGGCTCATGCCTGTAATCTCAGCACTTTGGGAGGCTGAGGTGGGTGGATCACCTGAGGTCAGGAGTTCAAGACCAGCCTGGCCAACATGGTGAAACCCCATCTCTACTAAAAATACAAAAATTAGCCAGGCGTGGTGGTGGGCACTTGTAATCCCAGCTACCTGGGAGGCTGAGGCAGGAGAATCGCTTGAACCCGGGAGGTGGAGGTTGCAGTGAGCCAGGATCGAGTCACTGCACTCCAGCCTACGTGACGGTGCGAGATTCTGTCTCACGAAAAAAAGAAAAAAAAAAGAACGTACTGATTTTAACATGTTTTCTTTTGGGTATTTTTTGTGGTGGTCTCTGAAATAAATCTTTCCAACTCCAAGTTCCTGAAGCTGTTCTCCCATGTGATCTTCAACGAGCTTTATGGTTTTGCCTTCCGGTGCGATCACCAGTCCATCTGGAATTGCCTGTTGTGAATGGGGTAAAGTAGCAGACACCTGTCCTCCCTCTCCTCATACGGGTTTCTGATTGGACCCCACCACTGACTGAAATCTCTATTCTTTCCCACGGCTCTGTAGGCCCCCTGGCCAGGAAGTGCCCATATGCCCGGGGGCTGTTTCTGAACCCACGGCCACTGGTCTCCGTGTGAGAACATCGCACTGTCTTCACCGACATGAGGTCCTAATATCAAGAAAAGCAAGTCCTCTCACCGAATTCTTCTTTGAATTATTTGCCATTCTTGGCTCTTTCGCAGATACATTCCAGAATCACGTGGTCAATTTTCACACAAACAAAGCAAAACAGCCCTGCTGGGTGAACTTCATTAGGATTTCGTTGAACCTATAGCTCAATGTGCGGAGAGTATCACCTCTACAGCAGTGTCCACTCAATCTATGAATATGGTATATCTCTCCTTTTGTTTTCTGTTTTGTCTTAGTGCTCTTCAGAAATGTTTTATGAGTGTGTGTGTGTGTGTTTGCTCATGTGTATAGAGATCTTGTGTGTATCTTTGTCAGATTTAATCCTAGTATTTGACAATTGTTTACTTTTTTATTTTCAAGTAGTTTTGGTCTTGCAGAAAAGTAACAGAATTAGTATGGGGATTTTCCATAGATGTGTAACTTACCCAGCTTCCTCTAAGATTAACATCTTACATAGAGACAGTACAAGGAACAGAACCAGGAAATCAACACTAGCATAAAACCATTAACTAAAGACCTTCTCAAATTTCACCAGTTTTTCCAGGATGCCATATTGCATTTATTTGCTGTTTCTGCATAGTTACCTGTAGTCTGTAACTGTTCCTATAGTCATGACTTTTCTTTCACGACCTTGACACTTTTGAAGAATGAATCTGAGTGTGGTGGTGTATACCTGTGGTCTTGGCTACTCAGGAGGCTGAGGCAGGAGAATGGCGTGAACCCGGGAGGCGGAGCTTGCAGTGAGCCAAGATGGAGCCACTGCACTCCAGCCTGGACGATGGAGCGAGACCTTTTTTTTTTTTTTTTTTTTTTGTGAGACAGAGTCTCGCTCTGTCGCCCAGGCTGGAGTGCAGTGGCTCAATCTTGGCTCACTGCAAGCTCCTCCTCCCGGGTTCAAGTGATTCTTCCTGCCTCAGCCTCCCCTGTAGCTGGATTACAGGCGCCGCCACCACACCCAGCTAATTTTTGTACTTTTAGTAGAGACGGGGTTTCACCATGTCGGCCAGGTTGGTCTCAAACTCCTGACATCAGGTGACCCACCTGCCTCGGACTCCCAAAGTGCTGGGGTTACAGGTGTGAGCCACTGTGTCCGGCTGAGGCTCTGTTTCTAAAAATTAAAAATAAAATAAAGCAGAAATGATGTTGTGTTTTTGACGTACATCATGTCATGGGGCTTACGGTGCGGGAACGTCTCACCGCTTGTGACGTTGCCCTCGATCACTTAGTAGGAGGGTTTCCGCGAATGTCTCACTGCTTGTGACGTTGCCCTCGATCACTTAGTGGGGGGGTTTCCGCCAGGTTTCTCCTTTGTAAATGTACTATGTTTTCCTTTCGTGGTTGATACTTATCTTGGAAGAGATATATTGAGACAAGAGAAATTCTGCTTCTCTTCAAACCCCTGCCCACTGAAACGTGCGCCGGCGGACATACGTCGGTGGCTGTCAGCTGCAGCCGCTGCACTTCTTGTGTGCCCGATGGGAATCTGCTCCTTCCCTGCCCCCTCCTACACCCATTGATGGGATTCTACTTTCCCTCCACTCCCTCTAGTGTGTTTTTAATCCTTTATTTGTATCACTGTGGACTCACTGACGTTTATTTTGTGGGCTTAATCCAAGTATATGATAGTTTTTTGATGCTAAATATATTAAATTTTTCTGTTGCTGCTTGTGTACAGAAATACACTTTGTGAGTATGAGGTTATATTCAGAACCTTCCCAAGATTGCTTATTGATGATAATCATTTGTGATGAGTTCTTCTGGATTTTTATGTGCATCATCTGCAAATGAAGATGACTTTGACTGTTTGCTGTCACTCTTTGGAGCTGGGCCCCTGTTACCATCAGGGTTATTTTATTTCGTGAAGGTTGTGATTCTGACCCAAATAGGGCTACCAGATGAAACAGGGCTCCCAAAATCCGGGACATCCATTTAAATTTGAATTTCTCATATATACATATTCTATATGTATAATATAAAAATATATATATTTTACTGAGACAGGGTCTCGCTCTGTTGTCCAGGCTGGAGTGCAGTGGCATGATCATGGCTCACTGCAGCATTGACCTGGGCTCAAGCCATCTTCCCATCTCAGCCTCCTGAGTAACCGGGACTACAGATGCACGCCACTGCACCCAGCTAATTTTTAGTTATTTGTAGAGACAGGGGTCTCCCTACGTGGCCCAGGCTGGTCTTGAACTTCTGGGCTCAAGTGGTCCTCCCACCTTAGCCTCCCAAAGTGTTGGGATTACAGATGTGAGCCATTGCACTTGGCCCTATATATATTTTTTTAAAGAGAGACAGGGTCTCACCACGTTGTCCAGGCTGGCCTCAAACTCCTGGGCTCAAGCAATCCTCCCATCTCAGCCTCCCAATGTGCTGGGATTACAAGGCCACTGCGCTTGGCCTAAATTTGAATTTCAGATAAACAGGAATAATTTACTTAGTGTATGTCCCCCAAATTGCATCCTGTTTATTAGCTAAATCTGGCAACCCTAAACCCAAGCCATACCCAGTGCTCTAAATGCAGGTCTGTCCCTTGGCCCGTCCTCTGCTGAGCAGCTGACCCTTTGCTCTGGGCCAGGCCAGGCCCACCTGCCTGGTGTTGGGACCACCCTGCTGCACTGTTTTGGAGACCTCGTTCTTCATTTCCTCAGTAGCTTTGAATGCCGTCAGACACTTGTTTAAAAAACACTTTGATTTCGTCTGTCTTCTCTCTTGCTGTCACTGGGAAGGCTGCACCTCCTGCCCTGCCATCTGTGCTGCAGAACCAAATACTCTTCCTGGCCTACTGTTTTCCCTGCAGAATTTTGTGGACACTGCTTCATTTTCTTCTAACATTTAGTGTTTCTGTAAAAAGCCTTCGGAGGTGGCCGTGGTGCACAGGCGTGTGCCTGTGGTCCCAGCTACTCGGAGGCTGAGGTGGGAGGATTGCCGGAACCGGGGAAGTGGAAGCAGCAGTGAGCAGAGATTGTGCCACTGTGCTGCATCCTGGGTGACAGAGTGAGACCCTGTCTCAAAAAGAAAAAAGCCTCAGGAGAGCCGGACTTTCCTGTCATAGGTGCTTTGCTCTTTCTCCTCGGGTGCTTGAAAAACATTTTGTTTTGAGGCTTAACTTCAGCGAATTGTGTCTGATGCCTGTTGTTCATGCCCTTTGTTTTCTGGGATTTTTCCCCCTTTTGTCTTAAGATTCATTTCAGGATTTCCTGGGTTTTATCTTGAGTGTTTGCTCTTTGCTTGCATTGTCAGTCTCTGCATCCTAGACGCACGTTATTCTTATGACTGTATTATCTCTGTCCACTGCCACTCGGGGTCCCGCCCTCCTGACGGCGCCTCTCCCTTTATTCTCCTTCGCTGTGATTTTCCCACATGGGCTCAGCTCTCCACCCTGCCCCCGCTGGCTGCTCCGGTCCGTGCCCTGGGCCTGCAGGGTCTTCCGCGTCTCCCAGTCTCGCCTCATCCCGCCATTCTGCCCATGCTCCCTGGGAGCTTGGTTGTGGGAATCATAGTACTTGGCTCCCCAGCGGGCGCACCTGTGGAGACCCAGCTGCGCTGCCTGCTTGCTTCTGGCCTGCGCTCCCGTGGCTCCCTGCTGGGTACCCGCGTGGCCCGACAGCCTCGCCTGGCCACCCGTGCCCTGGCACAAGTCACACCCACGGGGCGCACGCTGAGCGTTCACTGTGGCGGAAGCGCCACAAGCGCCCCATTGCTGGACTCTTAGAAAGCTGCAGGTATCGTTCCACGTTAGAGCAAGGGGCTCAGGCCGGGGAGGCTGAGTGGTGCCCGGACTTCCCCAGGCCAGTCAGGGCAGCGCTGAGCCCGACGCCCTCTCCTCCGCCCCCTCCTCACTGCGAGGCGGCTCCAGGCTCGGGCTCAGCGCTCCGTTGCAGCCGCGGTGGGGCGAGGGCGAGGCCGAGCCGGAGAGGACAGAGCTCCCTCTGGGGCCCTGGGCTCCGCGCCCTCTTCTGAGTCCAGCGGGGCTGTGATGAGCCCTCCCAGGCCTGGGGCCCCCCCGCTCAGTCCAGCCTTCGCTCGCTGGGGCCTGGATGCAGGAGGGGCCTTCGGCTTTCAGGGAAGGGTGTCCCGCGGGGGACAGCACCCCTTCCTCACCGTTCCTCGGGGCTCCCGAGCTGCGGGCTCGGCGGGGCTCGCAGGATCCCCGGCGGCGTGGGGCGGGGGAGGTTCCCGCAGACCTGGGTCCTCTCCGCGTCCCGGGCTCTCGCGCAGCCTCCTCGTGCGGCCTCTGCGGGCGGGAACCCCGGCTCGGCCGCGCTGGGGGCTTTGAGAGCCGTTTGGGTCCTTCTGTCGGGGCGGGGGCGGGGGCGGGGCCGGCTCCACTCCCAGGGGCGCAGCAGGCGTGGCTGGAGGCGAGAACGCGCCCCCGTGAGCCTCTCCCCACCCCAGGGCCGGCCGAGGACCGAGCGGCCAGAGCGATCCAGGGCGCCTTCCGGCAGCTCCGGGCCAGGAGGGAGCTCGCCCGCCGCCGGGAGGAGCGCCGGGAGTACCTGGAGCAGATGGAGACGCCGCAGAAGGAGGTGAGGACGGGCAGCCGCAACAGCCGGGGGCCAGGCAGGAGGCAGGGGGAGGAAATGGCGAAGCAGGGTGCGTGGTGGGGGTGAGGCTCAGATCGGGCTCCGACCTCAGAGGCGTGGACCGTGGCCTCGGGGCTCGGGGCGGTGGCGCGGAGTGGGCGGTGACTTCGGCGGGCGCCTCCCAGGCCTACCTGGCTCCGGTGCGCCGGGAGCAGGAGGCCGCGCGGCGGCTGCGCGAGCAGGAGGAGGCGGCGCAGCGGGAGCGGCGGGAGGAGCTGCAGCGTCGCCGCCGCCTGCTGGACGCCGCCTTCGACGGGGACGTGGGCGAGATCCGGGCGGTGCTGAAGGAGGTCAGCGGGGGCGGGAGGAGGACGAGGGCGGGGGGTGGGGTGGGAGTGGGAGGAGCGGGGAGCGGTGACCGCGGCGAGCTGCGCAGGTGGAGCAGCTGCTGACGCGCGAGGGCGTGGGCCACGACGAGGCAGGCGAGGCGCGGCGGCTGCAGCGACGCGTGGCTCTGGCGGAGTGCGAGGACAGCTACGGGAACACGCCGCTGTCGGAGGCGGCCGCAGGCGGGCAGCCCCTGGCCATCCAGCTGCGGGCCGAGCTCGGCGCCAGCCCCAACAGCAAGGTGGGCGCCGTGGGCCGCGGGCCGCCGCGCTGAGGGGCGCGGTCCAGGGCCCTCAGGGGCCTCCTTCCCCCAGGGGCAAGGCCTGGATCTTGCTCGGGGGGCCCGTCTTGCAGGGCGCTTTCGGTCCGACGCCGCTGTACCGTGCAGCCTTTGGGGGCCACCTGGCAGCTGTGGAGGTGCTCCTGAAGCTCGGAGCAGACCCCCGGGTGTACGCAGAGGACGGGAGCACCCCTGAGCGGGTGTGGACCCCAGAGGTGTGGGCCCCGGGAGGTGTGAGCCCCGGGAGGTGTGGGCCTCGGGAGGTGTGAGCCCCGGGAGGTGTGGGTACCGGGAGGTGTGAGTCTGGCAGGTGCACACCCAGGCAGGGAAGGCTCACCCGACCGGCTGTCTCTGAAAGCTGTCAGAAGCCTGAGTGGCCTGCTAGAGCGGTTTCCTAGCCCCGCCGTGCGCCATTCCCTTCCTGGAAGTCCTGACTTTAAAACCTCGTCAGTCTGCAGTGGAAGTGGCAGCGACTCCCATTTTGTGAATGCCTTTGGTGTCGGGTTTTGTGTCATTTCCTTCCGTGCTTTGCCTGAGGAAGTGGTGTTACTGATGGAGAAACTGAGGCTGGCGATTCCAGGGTTGGCAGAGCTCACGGCGCTGGGGGCAGCACGGGGCCCACCCATCGGTCCCCTCACTGTCAGTACGTCGGTTTTCCAGAGAACTTGAGCCACACAGCCCAGCCACAGAGCTCCTTTCTAGAGCCTTTGAGCTATGTTAGAAAGGACAGTCTGGCTGTCTGGCCGGGCGTGATGGCTCACACCTGTAATCTCAGCACTTTTGGGAGACTGAGGCGGGTGGATCACTTGAGCTCAGGAGTTTGAGACCATCCTGGCCAACATGGTGAAACACCATCTCTACTGAAGATACAAAAATTAGCTGGGCGTCGTGGCGCACGCCTGTAGTCCCAGCTACTTGGGAGGCTGAGGCAGGAGAATCGTTTGAACCTGGGAGGCAGAGGTTGCAGCGAGCCAAGATGGCGCCACTGCACTCCAGCCTGGGCAACAGAGTGAGACTCAAAAAAAAAAAAAAAACAAAAAAAACACAAAAAAAACAGAGTCTGCCCTGGGCCAGGCTGGAGACACAATGCCTGGACTTGTCCCAGGCCCAGGAGTGGGGTGGGGTGAGGCTGACTCCGCCTGTTGGAGCAGTGGCTGGAAAACCAGACCACGAACCTCGCCTACCTTAGTTTCATTTAAATCAACTTAATTTGAACCCCAGTCCCTCTCCCATCTCAGTCATTATGTTCCCCCACCCCACCCCTAACCTCACCCCACATCCCACACAAATCTGGAGGTGCTGCCTGGAGTCTGGGTTCTGCCTCTGGCCCACGGCAGACACCTGGGAGATGCATCCACTGGACTGCTGCCAGAGTCTTTGCCCAGCTAGGGACCCACCCCCAGACTCTCCTCCTGTAGGTGCTGCCTGGGAGCCTGTCCTGCCCCTCTCTTCTTTCTCCTTGTCTGCAAAGGGTCCTTCTTCCTGGGCTGGAGGGGAGGGGCAGGGCCGAGGCGGTGGGCTTAGGGAGGGGCTGAGGATACGGTGAGGCGTCCAGAGGTGCAAGTGGGAGTCAGGGGTGCTGGGGTGTCCAGCAGACCTGCTGCCTGGGGCATGGTGGCCCGGAGAGCTGAGAAGGGCAGCAGCTGGGGGTGCTGGGGGAGCCCTTGGGTGCCAGGGGACTGTGTGTTCACTCCATGGTGCTGGAGCATTGGCCATCCACAGGCAAAGGGGTTAGTGTGGACCTGAAGCACACACCTATAAAAAATGAACTCAAAGTGGATTATAGATTTAAATGTAAAGGGTAAAATTACAAAACTTTTAGAACACATAGGAGAAAAATCTTTGGGGCCTAGGACTTGGAGGGATTCTTGGACATGACACAAAAAGCACAATCCAAAAAAAAAAAAAAACCACATTGATAAACAGAACTTCATCAGAATGTAAAATGTTTGCTTTGTAAAAGACCTGTCAAGAAGAAAAGAAGCCACAGGCAGGAGCAAACGTTTGTGAACCACGCATCTGGCAAGGCACGTGTACCTAGAACATAGAAAAAACTCACATCGCAAACAACAATGAAACATACAATCTAGGTATAAAATGAGCAAAGACATGAAGAGAAATTTCACCAAAGAGGATCTAATGATGGCAGATGAACACCCGAGGAGGTGTTGCACACCACCTCACACCTCCCAGGACAGCCCAGGTCAAACTAGAGCTGGAGCCGAACGAGGGCAGGGATGTGGGGAAGCTGGCCCTGCCACACCTTGCTGGGGGGACGCAGCACCAGTACAGCCGCTCTTGCAAATAGGCAGGCGGTTTCTTAAAAAGTGAACACATTTACCATGTAACACAGCATCAGACTCCTAGACATTTGCTCCAGTAAAAGGAAAACTAGGTCCACACAAAAATGTGTACACAGATGTTCACAGCAGCTTTATTTACAATAGCCAAAAAGTGGAAACGACTCAGATGTCCTCCAGCAGGCGAGTGGCTCCACTAGCTTGGTGCATTCCTGCCACGAAACACGCTTGGCAATAAAACGGTGTGCACACATGATCCATGCAACAACTAGCAACGTGGAGAAACCGGAAGGGAGCTTCACAGAGTGGGGGAGAAGGTCACACACACTCACATGACAACACTGTGGAGACGGAGGACAGATCGGAGGGCTGCAGGGGTTACGGATGGGAGTGGGGGCAGGAAAAGCGGGGAGAGATGGGGCCGACTGGGCAGGAGTAGCACAAGAGACCCTTGAGGTGATGAGACAGTCTTGTATCTTGATTACGATGGTCGTAACGCAAAACTGCACATGTGAGAAAATTGTAATGATACACACACACACACGAGTAGATGTGAAATAGTTGAAATCCACTGTGAGCCCTGTAGATTGTACTATGTCAGTATCCTAGTTTGTATGTTGTACCGTAATTATGTAAGAAGTCATCATTGGGGGAGCTTGTTAAGGGTATATGGGAACTCTACTATTTTTGTAACTTCATGTAAATCAAAATAAAAATTCAAAATAAAAATTTAGTTAAATTGCCAGGCATGCTACACACACACACACACACAGACACACACACACACACACACGAAAAATGACCCAGAGTGAAGAGAAAAATCAATGAAAACAGACTCAGGGATGACACAGGAGATGGAATTAGTAGACAAGAACATTAAAAGTTATTATAGCTGAGGCCGGGCGGGGTGGCTCACACCTGTCATCCCAGCACTGTGGGAGGCCGAGGCGGGCAGATCACAAGGTCAGGAGTTTGAGACCAGCCTGGCCAACATGGTGAAACCCCATCTCTACTAAAAATACAAAAATTAGCTGCTGGGCGTGGTGGTGGGCACCTCTAATCCCAGCTACTTAGGAGGCTGAGAGAGGAGAAGTGCTTGAACTCAGGAGGCAGAAGTTGCAGTGAGCTGAGATCGCGCCACTGGGCTTCAGCCTGGGCAACAGAGTGAGATTCCGCCTCAAAAACAAAAAAACTATAGCTGTATTACACACACACACACACACACACACACACACACACACCATTCCTAAACTAGAGATGAAAACTGCAATGTCTGAGATGAAAAGTACATTGATACACTGGATGGGATTAATGGAAGATGCAGATTAGACACTGAAGAAAATTAGTTAATCTGAAGATATAGCAATAGAAACTCTCCAAAATGAAACAAAGAGAAAGAGAAGGTTGAAAAAAATTGAGGAGGGCCGGGCGCGGTGGCTCACGCCTGTAATCCCAGCGGCCGGGCGCGGCGGCTCACGCCTGTAATCCCAGCACTTTGGGAGGCCGAGGCGGGCAGATTACGGGGTCAGGAGATCAAGCCCATCCTGGCTAACACGGTGAAACCCCGTCTCCACTAAAAATACAACAAATTAGCCGGGCGTGGTGGCGGGCGCCTGTAGTCCCAGCTACTCGGGAGGCTGAGGCAGGAGAATGGCGTGAACCCAAGAGGCAGAGCTTGCAGTGAGCTGAGATGGCGCCACTGCAGTCCGCAGTCCGGCCTGGGCGACAGAGCGAGACTCCGTCTCAAAAAAAAAAAAAAAAAAGAAAAAGAAAAAAGAAAAAAATTGAGCAAAAACGTCTGATTTATCCTCTCACTTCAAACAAGAACAAATCCAAGACAGAATATAGGAAACAAAGGTTTCCAAGACATTGGACATCAGGCAACAAATCAGAAAGAGATCTCCAAGAGGCTGAAAATAAGCAAAGTGAGCCCTAAGCTTGTCCCAGTTTACCACCTTGAGAGAATTTTCAGGGTGTAGTATAGGAAGGGGGAACGTAGACAGAGCCAGGCATATTCTCTGAGTTAAGGAGACAAGAATTCAGAATTCAAGGATACTGAGGCAGCAGGAGATCACAAGTGCCAGAGGGGAGACAGCTGAAGAAAGAAAGAACCCTAGAGACATGGACACGATCCCCTTTGGTCATTCAGTTGGATCCCTCGTGGTAGTTAGTTGTAGCTAATAAGGCAGTTGAATATTTAATGGCTCCTATACATGGGGAAACGGCTCAAGGCTGGGGAAACGGGCTTCTGAGAAGCGTGAAGGAAGCAGTGCCTACTCCCGTCAGCCAGGGTGAAAAATCTCATGATTCATAGGGTATTGGGTGGAGTTCTCAGAAGGAGCTTGGCTCAGTGGTGAGGGATCATTATTCCTAGAATTAAAAAAAAAATTAATTTGAACCAGGCATGGTGGCATGTGCCTGTGGTCCCAACTACTTGGGATGCTGAAGGGGAAGGATCACTTGAACCCAGGAGATGGAGGCTGAAGTGAGACGTGATTGTGCCACTGTCCTCCAGCCTGGGCGACAGAGCAAGACCCTATATAAGACACACACATATATATACACACACATATATATTATCGTATATATACATATATATGCACATACATTATCATATATACATATATACACATATATATGAGATAATAATTGGCTGGCCACAGTGGCTTACACCTGTAATCCCAGCACTTTGGGAAGCTGAGGTGCGTAGATCACCTGAGGTCAGGAGTTTGAGACCAGGCTGGCTAACATGGTGAAACCCTGTCTCTACTAAAAATACAAAAATTTGCTGGGCATGGTGGCAGGCGCCTGTAATCCCAGCTGCTCAGGGGGCTGAGGCAGGAGAATTGCTTGAACCCGGGAGGCGGAGGCTGCAGTGAGCTGAGCTGAGATCATGCCACTGCACTCCAGCCTGGGCGACAGAACAAGACTCCGTCTTAAAAAAAAAAAAAAAAAAACAAACCACTAAAAAAAAATCCCAAAATATACCGGAAAGGCTGGGAGGGGTAAATGGAAGTGTATTGTCTTAAGGTTCTTATATGTGCAGTGGTTTAATATCATTAAAAAGTAGATTGTGACAATTTAGAGCTGTATACTCTAAAGCCTAAAGCAACTACTACAATATCAAAAGAGTTGGAGCTAATAAGCCAACAAAAGAGATAAAATGGAATTCTTAAAAAATATTGCCAAAGAAGTCAGGAAAAGAGGAAAAGGAAAAGAACCACTGGGACCAGTGGGAAACAAACAGCAAATGGTAGATTTTAACTCCACCATATAAATAATCTCATTACACATGGACATTCTAAACACCCCAATTAAAAGATGGATTGTTGCCGGGCGCGGTGGCTCACGCCTGTAATCCCAGCACTTTGGAAGGCCGAGGCGGGCGGATCACGAGGTCAGAAGATCGAGACCATCCTGGCTAACATGGTGAAACCCCGTCTCTACTAAAAATACAAAAAAATTAGCCGGGCATCGTAGCGGGCGCCTGTAGTCCCAGCTACTTGGGAGGCTGAGGCAGGAGAATGGCGTGAACCCAGGAGGCGGAGCTTGCAGTGAGCCAAGATCGCACCACTGCACTCCAGCCTGGGTGACAGAGTAAGACTCCGTCTCAAAACAAAAAAAAAAAAGATGGATTGTCATTTTGGATTAAAAATTGTAGCTAACTATGTTCTACCTATAAGAAACAAGCTTTAAATGTAAAAGCACAAATAGTTGAAAATTAAAATGATAAAAACAAATATGCCAAGATAACACTAAACAGGATGCTGAAGTAACTGTATTAACATCAAGTAGATTTCAGAAAAAAGTATGTTACTAAGGATAAAAGAATCATTTAGTAATGACAAATGTAGGAATTCATCATGAGGACATAAAAATCCTAAATGTTCATGCAGCTACTAACAGGGTTTCAAAATGCATGAAGCAAAAACTATGAGAACTACAAGGAGAAATAAAGAGATCCACAATGGTAATAGGCGATTTTGCCATCTCTCTCTCCCCATAATTGATGAGACAAGTAGACGGAATATCAGCGATGATACCGAAGAGCTGAACCACGCTGTCCATCACCATCCCTTCATCATTCATCAGTCATCGTTTCCATACATTCACCCACTTCATCCATCTCGCCCCAGTATTGGTTTGCGCTTTCGCCAATTCATAATTATCTTATTAACTTGAGTCATTTATTTATTTATTTAGAGATGGAGTCTTGCTCTGTCACCCAGGCTGGAGGGCAGTGGCGCAATCTCACTGCAACCTCTGCCTCCCGGGTTTATGCGGTTCTCCTGCCTCAGCCTCCAGAGTAGCTGGGACTACAGGCATGCGCCACCACGCCCAGCTAATTTGTTCTTTTGTATGTTAAGTAGAGATGGGGTTTTGCCATGTTGGCCAGCTGGTTTCGAACTCCTGACCTCAGGTGGGCTGCCTGCCTCGGCCTCCCAAAGTGCTGGGATTACAGGTGTGAGCCACCATGCCCAGCCATGAGTCATTTATTTATAAACTTATAAATAAATTTATAAGCTTATATATAAATTTATGAACTTATAAACATATATAAATTTATAAACTTATAAGCTATCCACTCATTAATGTGCCCATTCCACCCTTACACCATGTTTAAATAATTATTCACTTATTTTTTATCTACTATTCATTCAGACATCCATTCATCCATTCATACACGCATTCATGCTGTTTACTTGACAGAAAATTATGAGAAAGCAAAGAAGGACTGTGTCTCGTTCACCCCTTAATCGTATGCCCCAGTATTGGTTGACCACGATAGGCACTGAAACATTTTGTTGAACGATGAATTCATCCATCAATTCATCCATCCAGTTGCTCAACTAACCATTTGCTTATCTCACGTATCCATTCTTTACACTCATTCATCTATTAATTTTTCATGTATCAGTTCATCATTTAATCAGTTCATTCAATTAATCTAATCTTCATTCTCTTATAGTTTAATTCATTAATTTACTCATTCATTCATCATTTATTGCCTATTCATTAAGACACTCGTAAGTTTACTCGTTATATTATCCTTTTATTTTCTGTCTTCATTCATTTTCCGTCTACTCCAGTTCTTCCACTTACAGACAGAACTTTGGCAAGTTCTGAAGCTTATTTGAATCTGTTTCCATATATTCAGAAATGGGACTAATAACAGCTTTTTGAAGATTCATGAGATAGTGAATGAAATTCCTTGGCACAATTCCTGGTGCAAAGTCAGTTCTCAAGAAATGGTAGCTATTATTATTTTAAATGAGTATCACAATTTCTTTTAAGTTACAAAATCATTGCCTCATTCGTATGTCTGTTCACTCTTCCATCCTATTTATCTAGTTATCCATTCATCCCTTCTCTCATTTTAGCTACTCCTTGATTTTATACATCTTCAGACTTTCCTTTTTAATTACAAATGACATACAGAATATTGCAGAAATCAAAGTTGTGGCTCAATTATTTACCACAAAGGAAATACTCATGTAGTAACTACCTGACTCAAGAAATAAAGTATCGCCAGAACACCACACCTCTCCCCAGATCATCATATCCTGAATTTTATAGTGCTTGCTTCCTTCTTTTTTTCAAGTTACAAAACTTTCCTGAAATATGTATAAAGTTCCCAGTTTAATCCTCTCAACAAACCTGATTGTAGTATTATTAATATTCCTACATTATATACAAAGACTTTATTATATACAAAGAAACTTAAGCACAGAGATGTTAAGTCATCTTTTTTTAACTTTTCTTTTAGGTTTGGGGGTACATGTGAAGGTTTGTTATGCAGGTGACATAGTCATGGGGATTTGTCGTACAGATTATTTCCTCACCAGGAACTAAGCCCAGTACCCAATAGTTTTCTGCTCCCCTCCCTCCTCCCACCCTCCACCCTCAAGTAGATCCTAGTATCTGTTGTTTCCTTCTTTGTGTTCCTAAGTTCTCATCCTTTAGCTCCCGTTTACAGGTGAGAACATGTGGTGTTTGGTTTTCTGTTCCTGCGATAGTTTGCTGAGGATAATGGCCTCCAGCTCCATCCATGTTCCTGCAAAGGACATGATCTCATTCTTTTTTTATGGCTGCATAGTATTCCACGGTGTGCATGTACCACATTTTCTTTATCTTGTCTGTCACTGATGGGCATTTAGGTTGAGTCCATGTCTTTGCTATTGTGAATAGTGCTGCAGTCAACATATGCGTGCATGTGTCTTTATGGTACACTGCTTTATATTCCTCTGGGTATATACCCAGTAATGGGATTGCTGGGTCCAATGGTAGTTCTGCTTTTAGGTCTTTGAGGAATTCCCATACTGCTTTCCACAGTGGCTGAACTAATTTATACTCCCACCAACAGTGTGTGTGTGTTCCCTTTTCTCCACAACCTCACCAGCATCTGTTATTTTTTGACTTTTTATAGTAGCCATTCTGGCTGGTATGAGATGGTGTATCCTCATTGTGGTTTTGATTTGCATTTCTCTGATGATCAGTGATATTGAGCTTTTTTTCATATGCTTGCTGGCCACATGCATGTCTTATTTTGAAAAGTGTCTGTTCATTTTCTTTGTTCACTTTTTAATGGGGTTTTCTCTTGTAAGTTTGTATAAGATCCTTATAAATGCTGGATGTTAGACTTCTGTCAGATGCATAGTTTGCAGATATGCTCTCCCATTCTGTAGGTGGTCTGTTTACTTTGCTGATAGTTTCTTTTGCTATGCAGAAGCTCTCATGTTTAATTAGATCCTACTTGTCAATTTTTGCTTTTGTTTTGATTGCTTTTGGTGTCTTTGTCATGAAATTTTTGCCCGTTCTTATGTCCAGGATGGTATTGCCTATGTTGTCTTCCAGGGTTTTTATAGTTTTGAGTTTTACATTTAAGTCTTTAATCCATCTTGAGTTGATTTTTATGTATGGTGTAAGGAAGGGGTCCATCTTCAATCTTCTGCATATGGCTAGCCAGTTATTCCAGCACGGTTTATTGAATATGGAGTCTTTTCCCCATTGCTTGTTTTTGTCAGCTTTGTTGAAGATCAGGTGGTTGTAGGTATGCAACCTTGTTTCTGGGCTCTCTATTCTGTTCCATTGGTCTATGTGCTTGTGTAGTACCATACTGTTTTGGTTACTGTAACCCTGTAGTATAGTTTGAAGCCGGGTAACACAATGCCTGCAGCTTTGTTCTTTTTGCTTAGGATTGCCTTGGCTATTTGGGCTTTTTGGTTCCATATGAATTTTAAAATAGTATTTTCTAGTTCTGTGAATAAAATGCTTGGTATAATAGTTTGATAGGAATAGCGTCGAATCTGTAAATTGCTTTGGGCAATATGGCCATTTTAATGGTATTGATTCTTCCTATCCGTGAGCATGGGATGTTTTTCTGTTTGTGCCTTTTCTGATTTCTTTGAGAAGTGTTTTATAATTCTCATTGTAGAGATCTTTCACCTCCCTGGTTAGCTGTATTCCTAGGTATTTTATTCTTTTTGTGGCAATTGTGAATGGGATTGCCTTTCTGATTTGGCATTCGGCTTGGCTGTTGCTGGTGTATAGGGATGCTAGTGATTTTTGTACATTTATTTTGTATCCTGAAACTTTTCTGAAGTTGTTTAGCAGCTGAAGGAGCTTTTGGGCTAAGACTATGGGGTTTTCTGGATATAGAATCATGTTGTCTGCAAACAGAAACAGTTTGACTTCCTCTCATTCTATCTGGATGCCTTTTCTTTCTCTTGCCTGATTGCTCTGGCTAGGACTTCCAATACTATGTTGAATAGGAGTGATGGGAGAGAGCATCCTTGTCTTGTGCCAGTTTTCAAGGGGAATGCTTCCAGCTTTTGCCCATTCAGTATAATGTTGGCTGTGGGCTTGTCAGTGCTTACTTTCTTGCTTTTCTTTTTTTCTTTTTCTTTTTTTTTGAGACAGAGTTTCGCTCTTGTTGCCCAGGCTCTGGAGTGCAACGGCACAATCTTGGCTCACTGCAACCTCCGCCTCCCAGGTTCAAGCAGTTCTCCTGCCTCGGCCTCCTGAGTAGCTGGGATTACAGGCACGTGCCACCATGCCCAGCTAATTTTGTATTAGTAGAGACAGGGTTTCTTCATGTTGGACAGGCTGGTCTCAAACTCCTGACCTCAGGCATCTGCCCACCTCGGTCTCCCGAAGAGCTGGGATTACAGATATGAGCCACCGTGCCTGGCCTCTTGCTTTTCTTTATTCCATCATTAAATCATCCCTCCTTTATTCATTCACTTTGTCATCCACTTACTCATTCATCCATTCATTCCTAAACATGAGTGCCTAAATAATATAGCTTTGTTTCACTGTGTTTGAGCTTTATGTAAATGAATTTATATGGCAGCTGTTCTTTGGTATCTGGCTTCTTCTATCACAGGCTATATTCGTGAGATTCAGTCTTGTTGCCTGTAGCTAAAGTTCATTTACTTTCATTGTTATGGAGACTTTAATTATATAAATGTCTGCAATATATTTACCATTTTACTGCTGATGAACGTTCAGTTTGTTTCCAGGCTTTGGTTATAATGATGCTGCTATGAACATTCTTGTATGTGTCTCTTGGTACATATGTGCACAGTTTTCCAAAATGGTTGTACCAGTTTATCCACTCCCACTGACAATATGTTATAGTCCCACTGCCCCATGCTCTCCCAGACATTGTGATTGCCAGTGTTTTTTAATGCAGACTCATGGTGGATGTGCCGTGGTGCCTCACTGCAGTTTTACCTTGCATTTCCCTGCCAACTAATGAAGTTGAGAACTCTTAGGCATATTAGCCCCTTAGCTATCTTTTTAAAAGTAGTACCTGTTAGCATTAGTGACCACTTTTCTCTGGGTTGCCTGATTTATTTTCCTTATTGCTCTGTGGACCTTATTTATATATTCTAGATCAAACTCCTTATCAATTACATGTATTATAGGTGTCTTCTGTCTTACTTGCCTTTTCACTCACTTAATGTTATAATTTGATGGAAAATTTTGTTTTACTGTAGTAAATTTTATCATTCTTTTCCTTTATGGTTGGTGCCTTTTATGTCAGTTTAGAAGTCTCTCCATCCTCCCAAGGACATAAAGATATTTTCTGGTGCAGTCTTCTACATCTTTCACATTTAGAGCCATCATCCACTAGAATAGACTTCTGTGCGTTGTTTTGGTCCTCCTTGTGCAAGGTCATGTTCAAGCTTGTTTATTTCTCATATGGATGCACAGTTGTCCTGAGAGCACCCACAGTCTTTGTGAAAGACTGCCCTCCTCACTCTACACCATCAACTGTGCCCTAAGTCAAGTGTCTATATACTTATAGCTCTGTTCTGGGATCGCTGTTCTGTTCCATAGGTCTATTGATCTATCCTGTGTCAATACCCATGTCTTGACTACAGCAGCTTTATAACAAGTCTTGTACCAGATAAAAGCAAGTCTTCCCACCTTGTTTTTCTTCATGCTTGGGTTTTGGAAAGTTCTCAGTCATTACCTCTGTTTCTGCCCTTATTCTCACTCTCCAAATATACAGATGGTAGATCTCACCATAGCCTCTACATTTCTGTATCAACCAGGATAGACTAGGATGTTGCTATGTTTTGGATCTATGTCCCCACCCAAATCTCATGTCAAATTGTAATCCTCAGTGTTGCAGGAGGGGCCTGGGGGGAGGTGATTGGATCACGGGGGCTGATTTCCCCATGGTCTTCTCACAATAGTGAGTTCTCATGAGATCTGGTTGTTTAGAAGTATGTAGCACCTCCCCCTGCTCTCTCTTCCTCCTTCTCTAGCCATGTAAAATGTGCCTGCTTCCCCTTGGCCTTCTGTCATGATTGTAAGTTTCCTGAGGTATCCCTAGCCATACTTCCTGTACAGCCTGCAGAACCATGAGTCAATTAAACCTCTTTTCTTTATAAATTACCCAGTCTCAGGTAGTTCTTTTTAGCCATGTGAGAATGGACTAATACAGATGTGCTGTGGAACATGCAGTCTCCAAATCTCAATGGTATAAAACAAAATGAGTTTATTTTTTACTTATGCTACATGTCCATTGAGGGTTAACAGGGGGCTTCTGCTAACTGTAGTCTGTTAGGGACCCAGGCTGACAGAGCAACCACCATCTTGAATATTGCTGGTCAGTATACCAGAGGGAAAGAGCTGAGGAGGGTCTAGCACAAACACTTCTACTTATAGCTCATTGGTCAGATCTAGTCATTTGGCTCCACCAAAACCACAAATTGGTCAGGAAGTGTAATCCTATACTATGTCTAGAAGGTGGAAGGACGGACATGTTTGATGATCAGCACTAGTAACTTACCACAGTTTTTTTACCCTCTTTTCTGTATTTTCCATCCTTTTGTTTTGAGTTTATTCTGGATATTTTCTTGTGACATGTCTTTCAGTTTACTAATTCTCTCTTCAGCTGCATCTAGCTAGTTATTAAATCCATGCACTTTGTCCTTAATTTTGGTTATTTTAATTTTCATGTCTAAAATTTTATTTGGTTCCAGCTCTCTGCTAAAATCAATCTAGTCTCTCTTTGAGCACAGTAAATATAGTTATTTGAAAATCTGTAGCTAACTCTAATATCCTGATCCCTTGTGGAGCTATTTCTATCATTTGTAGTTTCTGCAGATTTTTGTTTATATTGCCTTGTATTTTCCTGTGCCTTTGTTCTGTATCTTTTTTTTTTTTTTTTTTTTTGAGACAGAGTCTTCCTCTGTCACCCAGGCTAGAGTGCAGTGGCATGATCTCAGCTCACTGCAACCTCTGCCTCCCAGGTTCAAGCGATTCTCATGCCTCAGCCTCCCGAGTAGCTGGGACTACCAGTGTGCAGCACCACATCAGCTCATTTTTGTATTTTCAGTAGAGATGGGGTTTTGCCATGTTGGCTAGGCTGGTCTTGAACTCCTGACCTCAAGTAATTTGCCCATCTCAGCTTCCCAAAGTGCTGAGATTATAGGCGTGAGCTACCAGACCCAGCCTTTTTTATTTTTTATTTTCTTTGAGACAGGGTCTTGCTCTGTCACCCAGGCTGGAGTGCAGTGGTGTGATCACAGTTAACTGCAGCCTTGACCCCCTGGGTTCAAATGATCCTCCTGCCCCAGCTTCCCAAGTAGCTAAGACTACAGGCTTGAGCCACCATGCCCAGCTATTTTTTTTTTTTTTTCTCTGAGATGGAATCTTGCTCTGTCACCCAGGCTGGAATGCAGTGGCACGATCTCAGCTCACTGCAACCTCCACCTCCCAGATTCAAGCAATTCTCCTGCCTCAGCCTCCCAAGTAGCTGGGATTACAGGCACGCACCACCACACCTGGCTAATTTTTGTATTTTTAGTAGAGACGGGGTTTCACCACGTTGGCCAGGCTGGTCTCCAACTCCTGACCTTGTGATCTGCCTGCCTCAGCCTTCCAAAGTGCTGAGATCACAGGCGTCAGCCACCGTGCCTGGCCTAATTTTTTTTATTTGTTTGTAGAGACAGGATTTTGCCATGTTGCCCAGGCTGGTCTTCAACTTCTGGGCTCGAGCAATCTGCATGCCTCAGCCTCCCAAAGTGCTGGGATTACAGGCATGAGCCACCTTGCCTGGCCATGTCATACGTTTTACTGGTAGGAATCATTTGAAGCCTAGAAAGGTATTTTTCACTCTTTTTTCACTGAGGATTTAGGTTTTGCCATGTATTGGGGGTACCAGCGGTCTGGAGTCACTTCACCAACTTCAGAGATTAAGATGATTTGAAGCTAAGCTGAAGTCAACCTCACTCGGAGGCTACTGTCCTTAGGACCCCAAAGTGAGGATCAAATTTGCATATTCATAAATTCCTTCACTCACCCACCCACGTTTATATTTGCAAATTTATATTTACAAATATAGACAGAATCATTGATAAATGTGCAGAAGAATGTGCATAAATGAATACATCTATATAGTCATCTCTCCTATGTGTTTACCCATTTATCTGTCCAAACAATCAGGTATATGCTAATGTACGAATTAGCTCATCCGTTCATGATTAGCCCAGCCACTGGACCAACTGACAGAAGACCTGAGCTGGGAGCTGTTCTAGGTCCTTAGGACCCATCCTTGAACAAAACAAAGTCCCTTCTGTCACAACTCACAGTGCAGTGGAGATGCCAGGCTACCAGGGCGGGCAGGGCTGGGCTGGAATTTTAAGAAAGGTGGCCAAGGTGGGGTTTGCTGAGAAGGTGGCATACAAGGGAGAACTTGGAGGGGAGGGAATGAGGGCTGTGAACGCCTGAGGAGCTTCCAGACAGGAGGACTGGCCAGTGTAAGATCCTGAGGGGGACAAGGAAGGAGCCCCTGTGGCTGCCAGGGAATGAGGCACAGAGGCTGGAGGATTTGGGGGCTGATCGAGGAATACAGGACCAGGAGAGGGCGGTAGCACGCAGTGAGCTTTATTCTGGTGGCACTTGGACAGGTTTTCACGGAGGGCTTGACGCCTAGGGGAAACTGCTCAGAAGCAGGATGGGGCACCAGGGAGCTCCAGAGGGCAGCCCAGCCTGAAGGCTTTTGTAGCCCCAGGGTTTGTCTCATCCACCACTGGCAGACGTGGGTTCAGTTTTGCAGGGTATTCAAAGCAAGCAGGGTCGGTCTAAATGTCTAGAAGTATGCATATTTGGGCTCTATTTAAAGCAAATGTCTGTGTAAAATTTTGATTTTGGCCCTGGTGGGCTTTGAACTTTTGGTCCTAGCTGCTGGGAAGCAGATAGCACAGGGCAGTCCTCAGGCCGTGGTTAGCCTGTGGATCCATCAGGTGGCCGTGGAGGTGAGTTTACCACGTGTCTGCATGTCCCTGGCCCCCCACAGACCTGCAGGCCCCCTACACTGCCCCTTCTTTCCATCTCTGCCCCCTGCATCTGTAGACAAATGCTTAAGTCAGCACCGACTCAGCCAGGATGGCAGTTACCCAAGGCCACGCCGCGCCACTGCTTCTCTCCCTCTCGTCTGCTGTGTCTCCCTCCCTCCCGTGCATCTGTGAGTTCTTCCCAGTTCTGCCCACATTCAGTCTCCCTGTTTGCACTTGTCTGTGGCCAGTCTCCTGGAAGAGCTACAGGGAACTCATCCTGCCCCCGCTCTTTCCCCTCATCCTGTCTTCATCCTTCCCATGCCACGAACCCCTTGCTCTGTGGGAACGCCGGCGGCTCACCCGCGCACCCCACCTCCTTCCCCTCATCCTGTCTTCATCCTTCCCACGCCACAAACCCCTTGCTCTGTGGGAATGCGGCCGCTCACCCGCGCACCCCTAACGCAGTGCCTTCTGCTTGCTCCATGGCCCGTGCCTGTCCACCTCCACCTGGCCCCGTCGCCAGGCCTGCCACACCTTCTCGGTCTGCTCTTGGTTGTGGCACCCACCTTCAGCCACCTGCTCTTCTTCTCCCAGGCCTCTGCTCTCCAGCCAGCAGCTCCTCGGGCCCCGACTGTTTCGCAGGCCTAATTCCGAGTATGAGAGTCTCCCTGCCCCACCCGGCCCTTCTCAGCTACCGCCTTGCCTCCTTCCGCTGTCATCCAGCTATTAGGGAGCTGGCCACACTAGACAACAGGCCCTGGTCACCCCTGCTTCCCAGAGCAGGAAGGGGCAAGTGGCATTCACACACGGAGCCACCCACGAACAGCTTCCTGGTCAAGCGTGATGCCGGGACTGGCCCGCCACCAGGCGCATGTGGACCTGCTCTGAGCTCCTGCTCTTCCTTCCTCCTCACTGTGACCCCCTCCAAGCATCACCCCTGCTCCACAGACAAGGAGGGCCAGGCACAGGAAGTCAGGGACTCACCCGGCGCAGCTGGGCTTTGAGCCCGGCTCTCTGCACCCACTCCTTGCTCCTGGAGTGCTGGGGACTCAGGAGGGTGAGAGGCAGCGGCGGCCCCAGGGATTGTGTCCTGCAGGCAGAGATCTGTGGGAGACCACAGAGGAGGGAGCTCCAGTGTGCACATCCTGCGGGCCAGCCTCCTACTCAGGAAGCAGCAGTGGCACCCAAGGCCTCAGGCGTGTACTTGAGTCTGACAGAGGCGGGAAGCCTGGGCCAGGTCCTGGGGGACTGAAGGGGAAGGAAGCCCTTGGAGGCCCAGCCACAGGAGCAGGTTCCTGCTTGGACTTGGTCAGGGAGCCCAGGAGAATTCCCAGCGGCCTGGGTGGCCTGGGCTTTGGGGACAGCAGCCCCACAGGGGCTCATGCTTTGGGGCCCACCACGCACCAGCTGTGAGCACTGAGGCCCTTTCTGCATAATGGCACCCTTTCTCCCAGATGGGAGAGCAACAGTTCCTCTCCAGGCTGAGGAGACTCGGAACACGCACTGAGGGCCCGACAAATGTCGTCTGTCACTAGGTGGCCTCACTGGACACAGTGGTGAGCGTGCTGCGCTCGTGGGACCTGAGCCTCACGGAGGCCATGCTCCAGAACATGGAGGCTGAGCAGCAGCGCCGGGCCCAGGAGGCCCAGAGGCACAAGGAGGCCGAGGCTGAGCGGTGTGGAAGGCAGGAGGGGTGTGGGAGGTGCTGGCGAGGGGTGCTGGCAAGGGGCGCTGGCAGGGAGCCCGGGCAGGGGGTGCTGGTGGGGGCGCTGGCGGAAGCCTCTGTCCCAGCTCATTCCTGCTCCTTAGTATGACCCTCAAGGTCCAACAGCTGACCAGGGAGCAGCAGCAGTGTCACAAGGAGGTGAGTGTGACCTCAGGGAGGAGCCAGGAAAGGAGGAGGGAGAGCCGGGTGGGGAGGAGGGGGAGCCGAGGGAGGGCCAGGAAGCTGGGGGAAGAGCCAGGAGGGGAGGTGTCCTCAGGCCCCTGGGCCAGGAGTGACCTGGTCGGAGGATACTGGCCAGCCTTGCCAGGGCCTGCCCGTACGCCCACCCAGCTGCAACAGGCCTACTGTGAGCTTAGCCGGAGGATCTCAGAGCACGACCAGTGTGAGTGGAGGTGCATGGACAAGACCAAGCTCACGCTGCAGGTGGGGGCCCGTGGTGGACTTGATATGCCCCTGCGTCCTCAACACCCCTCCTTGTTCCAAACCAGCCCAGAGCTCCCCGCTCCCAGGCCTGGGGTTTTTCCCTCTCAAACATGGGGAGTCACCAGCCGACAGTGGCCTGCTTGGGGTGGGGTGGGGAGGAAGCTCGGGCAGCTGCCCTCTCCAGCCAGAGCATGGGGCAGGGCAAGCAAGTCAGTGTGGCCTCCTCCTCCAGGCCATCAAGGACACAGAGGCCCAGGTGGACAGGCTGCGGCAGGAGGCCCAGAAGGCCGAGGAGGCGCTGGCTATGGCCAGGCTGGAGCTTCGGGAGCAGACGCAGGAGGGTGGGCCTGGCATGGGGCGCCGGCTGGGGGCTGGGACATACAGCCCAGGGCGGGGTCCGGCGTCGGGCTTGCCTGTCAGCTGCACTCTGCTACCCCGACAGGGGAGGAAGAGGCGCCTGGGCTGAAGTGCCAGGTCACCGAGCTGCACGATGTGCTGATGAAAGATGTAGGCAACCGCATCCGTGCCGATGGCCGGTCAGTTCTCCGGGCCAGACGTGGGCGATTTGGGGTTTGGACAGACAGCAGTGACCTGATGGGTGTCCCCAGGTGGCCTCTTGTTATTGACCCTTTGGGCCAGGCGGCCACCTTCCTGCGCTACCAGGATACCAACTATGTGGACACGGTGAACCCGGAGCCCCTGAGGCCGGAGACGATGTGGCTGGCTCTGCTGGGGGCTCTGCGGTGAGGCAGGCAGGGTGACAGGTACACCCCACCCCACCTCCCTAGCCCCACCCTGGCCTCACCAGCCTCATGGGGCAGGTATGGGAAGCCGCTGGTGTTCGACCTGCGAGAGGAAGACCTGTTCCCAGTCGTGCAGCGGCAGCTGGAGGCGGTGCAGGAGAGGTACCTGTCGCTGCTGCGGCCCACGGACGGGCCTGAGTATAGCCCCACGCAGTTCCAGGAGCAGCGGCTGGAGCACTTCCGCCTCTTTTTCGTCACCAAGGTCCAGTGGCCGCCAGCTGAGCAGCTGCAGGTGCTGCTCCCAGTGCGCGTGCAGCTGCCAGGCACAGGCCTCTAGTGCTGGCCCCAGTCCCAATAAAACGTGTGCCCCGGGGCGCGGTGCTGCATCTGTGCTGCGTGCGTGGGGGCAGCGGTGGCGTGTGCCAGTCCAGGACTCCGGCAGTCCCGGGCCCCGGCCGGCGGACATGGGTCTGCAGGCACTTGGGGGAGGCCCTGCTGGGGATGGGCAGCCTGCCCGGCCGACCCGTGCGCAGTGAGGCGCAGCGGGAGACGTGGGAGGGACGGTGAGGGTGCAGCCCTCGGAGCTCAGCCTCGCCTCGGAGGGCAGGAAGGGTCTGTGCTAGTGGGTGGGGGATGGACAGGCAGACGGGAGGTAAAATGTAGTCAACTTTATTCTCCTTAAACCACAAAATAGAGTCTTTGGTTGTACAAACATCACTAGTTACAGTCTCGCCGAGGTCTCGGCTGGGGTGGGGCAGTTAGTTAGTCACAGGCCAGAACTCCTGTGGGGTCTCTTTAAAATGCTAACACCCAGGTTAAAAGACTTGGGGCAAGGGTGGTGCTGGAGCTGGCAGGGCCCCCACCCCAAGTCTGGGGGAGGTGCCTGCTCCTCTAGGAGGGCACAGGGCCCAGGCCACGGCGCCCAGGCCTTACGGGGCGGCGGCTGCTGCACAGTGCCACATCTTCAGGGCCCACAGCGCCGGGTGAGGGCCTGCCCAGAAGCACCAGAGCCACTTCTCCATCCTCCTCCTGCGGGCCTGGAGGGCAGGGACAGGTGGGCAGTGAGCTGAGGGCAGCTGGGCTCCTGGGAGCTCACCCCAGCCCGGCCCCAACTCACCAGGGCTGGGAGATGGTTCCAGGGACCTCAACTCCTCAGCAAAGTCCGGTGACTGTGATGGGGAGAGTGTTGGTCAGGCCGGTGCCAGCCCTGCCCCAAACCACCCAGGTGGACGGGTGGGCTCCCAGCCCTGAGGCCCACAGAGCCCGGCTGAAGGGGGAGGGGGGGTGAAGAGGCAGGGCCACGGCAGAGCGTGGGGAGGCCCTGCGGGAGCGGATGGGGGCGGTGGCAGGCACGGACAGGGTGGCAGGCATGCAGAGGCCTGGAGGCCAGGTACCTGGATGTCATAGACAGGTCTGGAAGAAGGCAGGGCCGCAAAGGCCCTGTAGTCAAACTTCTTTCCAGACAAGGGCTTGAAAGGACAGCGTGAGGGGAGAGGCAGAGAGTGAGAGGAAAGGGGGGGATGAGGGCCACGGGGGTGGGGGCAGGCCAGACCCCACCCCCATGCCTCGGGGGTGAAGGGAAGGCATAGCCACCGGCTCCTCACCAGGCGTCCCGGGGAGGTGCTGGTCTGGGGGCCGAGGTCTGGGGGGACAAGAAGCGGGCATTGGAAGCAGCCCATGCGGCAGGCTGACCCCCCCGACCTGCCCTGACCCACAGACCTTCCACAGGGGTGGGCGACGGGGTGGGCGCAGGGGAAGGGGCCTCGGCCAGTCGCTCCAGGGGCCCCCGCGTGCCCCGGCCTTCCTGGGACCTGCTGAGGACCATCTGTGCTCGGAGAGCGTCCTGTTCCAATGACTTCATCCTGCAGAGAACAGCGGGCAGGGGTGACTTGGGGCAGGAGCAGGGACAGGCAGCAGGGCGGGGTGGCGACCCCACACAGGGGCTCACCTGGCTGCCCTCCACAGCGCACGCTTCTCGGCCTCCAGGGCCCGGAGCTCGGCAGGGGACAGGGCACGCTCGGGTGCCGGTGGCTCCGGACTCTGCACGCGCAGCCGCTCCTGGTGGCGCCGTTCAGCTTTGGCCGTCCGCACCGGGGCGCCACCTCCCAGGGGTGGGGGGGACGCCGGGCTCTGCCTGGGGAAGGGACAGGACGTGCTGTGGGGGGCAGGGGCACGTGGGGTGAGTAGGGGGCGTCTGGTGGGCGGGTGCTCACCTTGAGGTGGGGCTCGGGCTGGCCCAGGGTGGCTGCTCATCCTCCTGTTCCTCCTCGCCCAGCGTCTCCCCGTCCAGGGCGAGCCTCGCTTCGGCCCCAGCCTCTGCCGCCTCCCGCAGCATCTGCGCTCTCTTCTGCTGTAGTTTTCTGGCTGCCGGAGGGCAGGGTGGGTCAGGCCAGACCAGCCGAGACCCAACCCCCACCCCACTTCCGTGCCCCTCACCTTCCTCCTCCTGCATCTTCCGCAGGTCGTCAGCACCCACCAGGGACACGCGCTTAGGGGGGCCCTCGGCCTGGGGCACGCGCACCTCCAGCTCAAAGTACTTCTGCCGCTCCCGGAAGGACAGCTGCTCCGGGGAGGCTGCAGGCCCAGGCGTGGGGGGCTGGGGGGAGCGGACCTTGAGGTTTGGCTGGCATTCCTCCGAGATACTGGGGCCCCCGGGCACCCACCCCAACCACGCGCAGCAGGGAGGCGTGCTGCCCCCACACACCTGGGCAGGGGCATCCTCAGGCGGGTGAGAAGTGGGCACGGCCGCGAAGGCCCTGTAGGCCTGCTTCACATTGGCGGGCAGCTCATCCGGAGAAGGCGGGGAGGGCGGCTGGGGGGTGGGGCTCTTGTGAGCTATGCTGGGGCAGCTGTCGGGGCTGCAGCTGTGTGCAACTCACCACCGGCTGTCCCCCCGCCTGTCCCCCCGCCTGCCTTTGATCCCCACCCACCATCCTGCTGGGGAAGGAGGCTCTGCCACCCCCACCCACGGGACAGAGCACTCACGGAGTGGGGACAACCTCTGCCCCTGGGGGCTGGGGAGCCCCTTGGCCAGGCCTGAGCCAATGGCTGGATCACCCCTGGTTTTGTCTAAAAAAGGCAGGTGGGGGCGGCGGGGGCAGAGGAGAGCAGGATCAGGGGTTTAAGGCAAGGGACGGGGGTAGAGAGGGGGGTGGGAGAGACAGAGAGAGAGAGACCGACCAACCTGGGTGGGGCTGACATCTTGCCTGTGAGGGGCTGAGCTGGGGCTGGGTCTCATGGGGGCTGCCACCTCCACCCCCACGTGGCAGTGTGTTGGGAGGTGCCAACAGTGGGGGGGCAAGGACCCCCAGACAAAAGGCAGGCAGGGATAAGGTGGGCCCTGGGAGGTGTTGGGCCTGAGACACTGACTGGGGTCTCAGGAGCTTGAGCCCCTCCAGGAACAGCACACTCAGGCCCCCCACCCCATCGCCAGGCAGCTCTGGCCAGGAAAGCGTCCCTGGCCTTCCTCACACAGGAGGCCCCATGGTAGCAGAGGGAAAACCGGAGTCAACAGCACCCCACGATGGCCCCTGACCCCCCATCCCTGGAGGAGGGGCCCTGTGCACAGCGGCCATCTGCCCTGCCCTCCACCCACCATGGGGCACACCCGTTAACTTGGGACACTCACCTGCTGGCCACTAGGGGAGCAGGGAGATTCAGCCATCTTCCCTCCAGCTGCTCCAGACGGTACCTGGAGGAGTAGGCAGTGGGTGGGGTGAGGATGGGCAGGGCTGTGGCCCCCGACCAGGAGGGACTGGGGGCCCTGGGGCTTGCCTAAAAGCCACAGCAGCTCTTCAGTTCCCCAACCTGACTATAGCCCAGGGGATGCCCCAGACACTCGGTCAGCACGGAGGGGCTCGTCCCCGTTCCCACAGGATGCGGGGGCCTGGGCTGGGCAGCTGCTGTCTCCATGGCAGTGTGCTGGCTGGAGCTTTGCAGGAGAGATGGGAGCAGACAGGACAGCCGGAGAAGAGAGCAGGGAGGGCTCGGGGGAGGGGCCAGAGACAGAGGTGATGGTGGGGAGCCCCTACTTGTGGTGTGCAGCCCTCAGGGCTCAGTGGCGCCCTGACTGCTGCCCCCATGACTGTGCTGTTGTTCATGAGGATGAAGGGCCTCCCGGAAGCCTCCCTCTTGGCGCTGCCCATGGCCAGAGGAGGCAGGGTCAGTACCCAAGAGCCCCCGAATGCGCTGCCTCAGATCCAGGCCCTGCCTGGCCCCTCACCACCACCCCACCGCTTGGGCAAGGGCCTGCAGGAGCCACCCCTCGGCACTCACGTTCGGTGGGGCTGGTGGGGCGCACCCTCTGGGAGGGTTATTTGTATCTCTAAGGGGAGGGATGGGCCTGCACATCCTCCTGCCTGTCCCCAGCACCCGCCCCTCCAGCTGCTCCAGCCTGTCCTCCCCTTGGGGACATGTGCCTGCCCAATCCCCCAGGAGCCTCTGCCCCCACTCGCACCCTCTGGGGCTGGGCAGCCCCAGCAGCAGCAGGTGAAGCTCTCGCACCGCCACTAGAGGGATGCCTCGGCCTGTGTCACCCATCCGCAGCTCAGGGTGTGTGGGTGGGGCAGCACCAACATGGCTTGGGTTGAGAATGAGGGTGATAAGCATGTGCCAGGCTGGGGTAGCCTGCAGGTCAGACGTGGCCTCCTCCCACCCCAGCCCCCGCCCAAAGGTTCCCTCCCGGATGGCCCTGGCGTTTGTCCTGGGGTGGCCGATGAACAGGACAACAGGACGGAGGTGGGGGGCACTGCACACTGGGCACTCACCCTCTGCACGCTGCCAGCGCTGGGCACGGCGGCCAGGGCGCGGTAGTCCAGCTTCAGGGGCTGCAGACCCCGACCCTGGGGGCAGAGTGAACACAGCACTAGCAGGGGTAGCTCCGTGGCAGCACCCGGCCAGCACAGGGCAGGAGAGGGGGTCCTGGGGGTTACTACCCAGCACCCCACAGGCAATGTGCACCCCGCTCCAGTGCCCTGATGTGAGGGGGTGGGGCGACCACACTCACTGCGGCTTCTGTGGCCTCGGGCCCCCAGTGCAGGGTCTGTCCAGGCAGCTCCTTCTCCTGTGAGCAGAGCAGAGCAGACCCGTCAGGCACCACCGGCCTCGGGCTCCCTGGCCCTGGGGCTGCCGGCTGCAGGCACCTCTGACCTTGCCTGGGCCCTCAGGGCTCAGCTCCCGGTCGATGGAAGAGATGCTCTCCAGGCTGTTCCGGTGGCCGATGCCTGCCGCAAAGGGGTTGGCAATGACACCTGGGGACACCTGAGAAGAGGGGTGTGGGCTAAGAAGGGGGGACTGCAACCCGGGGTCCCACCTCTGGGGCAGGCTGGGGTCCCAGCCCAGAATAGTCAGCAACGGTGAGCCCAGGAGCCGCGTCCCTGGGCAGGGCTGACCGCGTGGCTGGGGCAGCCTTGGAGGGCACTCCGCTGGGCCCCCCAGGACGCTGCAGCACTGTCCCCGGCCGGTCCCCATCACAGCTCACAGGGCTGCCGTGGACGTGGTCACGTCTGCACTAGGCAAGACTGTGAAGTAGCATGATGCCTGCCACTCTGCTGACTGTGTAAAGTCATCCCCAGGAAGAGCTGACAGCCACCAAGATGGGGGAAGGAGGGGCGTGAGTAGCAGGCACTGGAACTGATGGGGCAGAACGGCCCCCTCGGGTGGAAAGGCTGGCTCCAGACCCCAGTGTGAGTGCTGGGCAGGGATTCTGAAACAAGGGACACCATGCAGGAGGCCCGGCCAGCTCTGCACTCCCCAGAGCTCAATCACCTGTCCCAAGCCAGAGACTGGCAGGGCGGAGGGGGCGTCTAGAAAGGAAAGGCACTCAGATAGCTCAGGCAGGGCAGAGGGGGGCGAGGAGACAGGGCCAGGACAGGCAGGGGCTTCTGGTTGGGCACAAGATGTACTTGAATCCCGAGCCTGGGGTTAACACGGGCAGAGGGAACCATGGGAAGAGCTGACTTCCAAGCCTGCGGCGGGCAACGGGACTGCTTCAAACCTCCACCCCCAGCAGCAGCCAGAAGCAGCGGAGGAGGCAGCACAGTGGACACAGGCATTGCTCACCGCCCTCATCACAGACGGGGTCCCTGCAAAATCGAGGAGCTCTCAGTGTGGCCTCAGGGACAAACCCAGCCCTGTACTGTTGGTTAAAAACACAGCTGAAATGGTAAGTAAGGGGCAGGCAAAGAGATGCCAGGCAAACACACGGGAGGCACAGGGAGGGGCTGCTCAGGCCGGGGGAGAAAGGGTGTGAGTTCAGAGCTGTCGAGCAGGCAGACGGATGCCGTCACCACAGAAGATGCTGTTTACAACGATGATACAGTCATCAACTGTAAGCGCTCAACAAGGAAGCAGCTAAACACAGAAAGCAAAGACTAGAAACGCGAGTGTCGTAAAAGCACAGTTACACAGGCAGACTTAGCTACGTCTCTTTCAGACTCACAGGACTAGCGGGACAAACAACAAACAAGGTGCCTGTCTTCTCAGTTTCTGAAATAACAAGTCAAAAAGCCACTGGGCAGGTCCAAGAGAGGCAGGGGTCCTGGCAGAGTGGGAAGCAAGGTCCCAGGTAGCCCGGCCTCTCATGTCAGAGAGAGCTGTTCAAACACAGAAAAGGCAGACCCGGGTGCTGACTCCGACAGCCACTAGGAGCTCACCCTCTTCTACTGTTCCAAGAATAACCTTGGGAATGACCGGCATACCCTCCAGCTCTGGCCCCCAGGAGGTCCCGAGATGACACCCCAAGAACGCTGGGTCCAGGGCCAGACCACAGCTTCTAAATGTCACTCTCCACTAAAAGGATCCAGCGCTCCTGAGAGAAAGGGGCAACTCCAGGGCTGGGCAGGGTATGGAGAGAAGCCCAGCACATCCTGGAGGCAGAAGGTGAGGGGCTGCTGAGAGAGGGGAGGTCGTGTCAGAATGCCTCAGGTCCTCAAGCCCCTTCCGTGGGCCAAGGCTGGGACAATTTGAGCCTCAAAATAAATTACGATGGTAAAAGGCTGTCGCCCATGAAATAAAATGGAAGCTCACTTGTTAATGAAATGGACTCCCTTGTGAGCCCACGTGAACAGGTAAGCAGACACACATAAACTGGGAGAAGGGAAGGCTCGGTGGCAGGAAGCTGCCTGATGAGTATGGCAGTGGTGGGTCAGGAATGTCGCCAACCACCTCGGGGCCCGCTCAGAACCATCAAGGTGCTGAGGCTCACAGGCGAAGCTGGATGAGAAACAGCCTATTATATGCTCTCAAAGCACCTTCCTCACTTGCTGATTTCAAGGGGCAGGAGTAACTGCAGGGGGAAACCTGGCTGACCCCACGGTTCAGAGCATCACCAGTGAGCCCTGGTGGTAGGCACACAGACACGTGGTAGCTCCATGATAATCCCGGCCAAGATGCACACGCTGAAGCCTGTGAGGACATCAGACCCAGCGTGGGGGCAGTCACTGCAGGCAGGGCCTACGCCCAGCAGAAGCGTCAAGGTCAGAGAAATCAGCAAAGACAGAGGCACGCTCCGACCGAAGGAGACTAGAGGGATGCGGTGGCCAAGCCCCACAGGGATCGGGCCGCGCCCTTCCACGACGGAGCACGTCCCCGGCGCAGTGGGTGAGCCATGAATAGGGCTGAGTGTCAGAGGTTCTTTGTCCTGTTTTTGCAACTTTTCTCTAAGTTTAAAATTCATTTATGTATGTGCTTACATTTTTCAAAGAGAAACAAATGGCAGAATAAACCAAAACTAATAAAGATGGTAGTCTGGGAGCAGAGAGATGGAGGCCGGTCTTCTGAAATGATTCTATATAACTTCAACTTTGGAACCACGTGAAGATTTACACAATTAAGAAACAGATTTTTTCGGTGGCAGACGCCTGTAATCCCAGCTACTCGGGAGGCTGAGGCAGGAGAATCGCTTGAACCCGGGAGGTGGAGGTTGCAATGAGCTGAGATCGTGCCACTGCACTTCAGCTTGGGAAACAGAGTGAGACTCCGTCTCAAAAAAAAAACAAAAAACAGATTTTTAAAAAGTTACCCTAAAAGCTAAAATGAGTCAGCCCAACTGTGTTATCAGCTTGGTAGCAAAACCACAGAATGATCTCAAGTGGCTGAGAACACAGGATGCGGACTGTACGTCCCAGGCAGGGTGAACCCTCAGGAAGCAGCCGCCAGAACTCGGCCCCTCTCCACGCTCCTGCTCTCAGTTGTACCAGTGGTGTCACTGTTTTTGTTTTTTAGAGTCTGTCTTGCTCAGGCTGGACTCAAATTCCTGGGCTCGAGCGATCCTCCTGTTTCAGCCTCCTGAATACCTGCGACTACAGGCCATGTGCCACCACACTCAGTTAATTTTGAAATTAAGGAATTAAGGAAAGATTTTATGAGAAAAAGTATAAAATTACAAAAGTTAGTAAAAACCCTACAATCTTAAATGAGTTAAATGTAACAGTACAAACTCAGGATTTGTTCTCTTTCTGAAAACATCCACCTCTCAGCCTCCATCTGCTGCAGAGGCCACAGAGCAGCAAAGGCAGTGCCTGAGTCCTGAGCACGCCTGGCCCATGGTTATAGGAGCCCCACACCCAGCTCCCACCGAGAGGGGCCAGGTCCCACACAAAAATGTTGGAATCCAGGGCCGGGGCAGGAAGTACAAAGAATGCCCTGTCAAAGCAGCTGGGGAATGATGGGGTCATGCCACAGGGATGCGGGGTCTCGCTGCCTGATCAAGGGACATCAAGGGAACGCTGTGTTGAAACCCATCAGGAAAATAAAGACTCATAAGTTCACGAAAACCCTAAAAACAGAAAGACACCTCAGGAACCACCTTTGGAAGATTCCAGGGCCCCAGCCTGTTATTCTAAAAACTAACAAATGGAAGAACCAAGCATTTCATCTTCCTAGGTCTTTCCTGCAGGAGCTCACATCAGGACAGAAACAGAGCTAGTGATCTCTTCTTTACAGACATATCTACAGAAAAGTTAACAGCCAGAGATGCAGAGGGAAAGACTGAAGGATTCTTCCTGAGAGCGTAAATCGAGGAAATGCCAAAAGAAAGGGCAGTCTCTTCTGAAGTTTAATTTTTAATGGTGATGATGACAAGGGAGAGGTGGTCCTGACCAGTAGTCAGAAGCTGGCTCTGACAAGCCCATCAACACACAGGACCCTGGTCAGCGTGACCAGGAGGAAGAGGATGCGGACAGCAGGGCCGAGGGGGAGGTGGCCGCAGAGGAGGGGCCCAGTGGGAGAGGACTTGCGTCCTCATGCCAAACACGCGGGGTAGCGGGCGAGTCTCTCAGACAGCGCACACCCACCTAGGTTTGCGCAGGGGTCGGCGCCGACCATGGCGAGGCAGGTCGTTACTGAATCAATCCTCTCGACCCCGAGAAGCAGGCACTGCGGGTGACCCATTGTACAGACGAGGAGACTGAGGAGTAAAGTCAAGGCCCGACAGCAAGTGAGGGCCAGGCTTAGATGGACTGTGCACGACCCCTAAAAATGCACCAGTCCTAGAAAGCAGGAGACGTAGGCTCTGACAGACAGACGTGGGCCGTAGAAAGCAGGAGACGTAGGCTCTGACAGACAAACACGGGCCACTGCTCCAGAGTGCTAGGGACATGCAGGCAGCTCCTGAGCCAATGCCAAGATGGGCTCGCACAGTGAGAAGAAAGTTACAGAACCCAGTGGGCAAACCGATGCCCACAGGGCCAGGCAGACAGACACAGATGAGTCCAGTGGCCTGAGTTTCAGAAAAATGGGGAAGGGTCATGAATTGAAGCCCCCCCCCCACCCCACCCATGCTCTGGAGTCAGAAACACAGATGGACCTGTGGGAGCACCGGCCTGGCCGTGCCACGTCCTCTGAGCTTTCTGTGAGAAGCCAGGAAGCCAGACATGGCGTGGACTCCTGATGTGTGAGACCCCAGCTCCTCTCTCTCAAGCCCCAAGCCCGCTGATGAAACCTCCATGGGCTGAACCAACCCTACTTAGCAGATAAGAGGACTTCAGAAAACTCAACACCCGCTTCAGATAACAATTCTTACAGGTTATAAATAGAAACAGCCCCCCCTCCATTTAAAAAATGTTGTAAGAGAGTCTACAGCAAACGTCACAGTACAAGATGAAAGTCCCTCAGAGCTGAGCACAAGACAAGCCCACCTCCACAGGACCAGGGGCTCTGCGGGAGGGGACAAGGGAGAGGCCCGAAGGGGGAAGGGCGGCCAGGCTTCTGCCAGGGGGTGAAGCAGATTTACAAATCCAGGTGAGGATTTATAAGAATTACTAGGAAAGCAAGAGCCACCGGGGGACACCCTAGAGAAAAGCTCGACATAAAGATAACCCCAAGGCTGGGCGCAGGGCTCACGCCTGGAAGCCTAGCACTTTGAGAGGCCAAGGCAGGCAGGTCACTTGAGCCCAGGAGCTGAAGACCAGCCTAGGTAACATGACAAAACCCCGTTTCTACAGAAAACTTTAAAACAATGAGCCGGGTGTGGTGGCGCAGCTGTAGTCCCAGCTACTCGGGAGGCTGAGGTGGGAGGATCGCTTGAGCCCGGCAGGGCGAGCCTGCGGCGTGCAGCGACTGTGCCGCTACTCCAGCCTGGGCGACAGAGCGAGACCCTTTCTCAAAATATGTACATACATACACGTACGTGAAATCCCAGAATTCCAGTCGGTTTCTGCACAGAACTTGGCAGGTTCATTCGTAAGAGAAAACACATTGACAATAGAAACTTTTCAAGACAAGAAAAAGGAGTGGGTGACTTTGCCCATTAGGATTAGGCATGAAACCTGCTACAAAGTGAGGGATTTAAATGCGTGGCATTGGCCCAGAAGTAGCTCACAACTCACTGGGACCAAGTCCAGAAACAGGGCTTGGAGCCTACAGGAACTGAACACAATGAGGCCACATTTCCCCCAAATCACTGGGGAAGCGACAGACTGTTCAGTCAGTACTGTGGGGACAGCTATGCATCCAGTTACTTGCAAAGCAGTTCCAGGGCTGGGCATGGGGACATGGCTTGAGCGCAGGAGGCGGAGGCTGCAGTGAGCTGTGATTGTGTCACCACACTCCAGCCTAGGCGACAAGCGAGACCTCATCAAAGCAATTCCAGGTGGACCATGGAGCTATGTGTTGTTTAAACTTCCAGAAATACTAGAAGAAAACATGACAATGTTTTTGTAATCTTGCAGTAGGGAAGATCTTCCCAAGGAAAAAACCAGAATCCAGAAGTCATAAAGAACCCAGAAGACTTAATTTAAAAATTTTGATTTTTGTAACTCAAAAGATCCCATTTTTTTAAAGGAAAAGATAAGCAACCGCTGCAGAAAAACACACCTGTACCCACAGAACAAAGATGAGCAACCAGGCTGCTGGACGGAAGCCAGGGTGACAACGGAGAGCAAGGGCAGTGCTGGGGCGGACAGCGAGCCCCCGGGAAGACGGAAGGACATGGGAAAGAGGTAGCAGTGACGGGGAAGGGGAGCTGGATGGCAGCTCTCAGCCCCACTGCTCGGGACCCCTGGCTTGCCCGACGCGGCAGAAATGGTATCTGCCCCCAACACCAGGGAGGGTGTGGAGGTGGCTCTGTCCGTGGCTGGCCAGAGTGTGAGGTCTGAGACCCCTGCCCCTCCTATACCGACATGTCACGGCAGGCTCGTGGGGGACCCGGCCAGATGCAAGGACAACCTGTGGCCGACAGCAGCGCGGCACGCCGGCTGCAGACATGGCACTAGCCCTGCCTTCTGCATACCTAGCTCTTCCCTGAGGGAGCTCGCTCCCTCTCTAATAAAAACTTCACGAGTAAATATATCGAATGAAACGTGTTTAGATACACATTTAAAATAATAAAAGGCAAGGCCCTCTCTGAGAACCAGATGGTCCAGAGCTCGAGTCCTCAGATAAATCCTTCCCCAGAAACCACCAGGACTCCCTCAAGGACAGGAGGGGACCCGGTGGGTGAGGGCTGGCCCGGGGCCAACCCCAAGCTCAACGTCCAGCTGTGGAGCAAAAACAACGAATGCAGACCCACTTCCCGCCAAGGGGCCCCCACGCTGGCTGTGGGTCAGGACACTCTGTGACTGTCAGCCTGGCAGAAAGCCACCATCCCAGAGATCCCTTGCAGGACAGAACCAATGTGAGGGGCCGCCGCATCCCAGAGGCTGTTACAGAGAGGAAGCCATCTGTGTGCCGGTGGGGAGTGGTGACAGCCACCTGCCCCCTGTGGACCTGTGTGACCAGCAGGGACACCCTCTGGGAGGAGCAGATGGCCCCTCCAGGTGAAGGCCCAGGCATCCACCCAGCTTCAGCCATGGGCGCTGGCCCTCCCGGGACCCACCCTCTTGTGGCCCTGCAGGCCACTCCAGTGGGAAGCCAGCCTGCACACCCTGGCGCCAGTGAAGAACCCCTGGAAACTGCTGAGGCCTGCTGCAGGGCCCCTGGGATGGCATGGGGAAGAAGACGGAAGGGAGATGGGAGCCCCCTGAGACAGGCCAGGCTTGTCCAGGATCCAGGCCGTGCTGGTGGGGAGGACTCCTGGGGCCCCACCTCGCATCCCAACTCCCCGTCTGGGCTTCTGCTCTGGAGTCCAGGAAGGGACGGACCAGCAGTTGGGCAGGAGATCTTGGGTAGGGAGTTCTCTGTTGAGGGGTCACCAGAGGGGCTCCCTGGAGTCATGGCCCAGGGATGGGCTGAGAGGAGCAAGGTGCCACTAGGCACAGGAGCGGGGACCCTCAGCATCCCAAGGCGTCTGCCTGGCTGGTGGGCTTTGGGCAGGGCTTGGAGTCATCCCTTAGCAGCCTGATGGGACTCTGCAGGAGTCACCAGTGCTCAGCTTCTTTTAGGACCAGACCACGTAGTGCGTCCCAAACACACGCCCCTCCCACCATCCGTTCACGTGCCTCGTCCTACTTGGACTGGGCCTCTGGACAGCTCGATGAGCCGGAGCTCAGCAGAAAGGGAAGGCAGGGCCCTCCGCCCACAGCTCCCCAGCCCGCACGGCTGATGCAGAGCCGCAGAGCACCGCCCAGACCCAGAGGCACAGGGGACCCGTCGCCTGCCCCGAGAGGTGTCAGCGGCTCACAACACCTTGGGCTGGGCCAGAGGGAGGCCCGGTCCCCGGGGCGGGATCGCTAACCTCCAGGGCTGCGTCGGTGCTGGCCTCAAAGCCGTCACAGACCAGCACGGTGAGGGTGTCGCCCACACTGCGGAGCAGCTGCACCGCCTCGCCGTGCGTCAGGCCCAGCAGGCTCTGCTGGTTCACCTCCAACAGCCGCAAACCCACACGCAGCCGACCGTCGCGCCCGGCTGCCCCCGTGGGGCTCACCTGTGGGGAGACGTGGTATGGGAGAGACCTGTTGGGGGGTGGGGCCCAGGGCGGGCTGGGGTGGGGGGGGCTCACCTTGGAGATGAAGATGCCCTCGTCTGTGGGGTCGCGGGGGTTGCCAGCGTGGCCCCTGGCACCCCCGCGGATGCTGATGCCCAGCCTCTCCCCAGGTGCCTTCTGGATGCACAGTTCCCGTAGGCCCGGGGGTGCCGGGTCCCTCCGCACCAGCAGCGACAGCTCCAGGCAGGGCCGGAGCAGGGCACTGACTGCTTCTTGGTGCGTGGCATCCCGCACGTCTTGCCCGTTCACTGCCAGGATGCGGTCCCCAACCCGCAGGCCGCTGCGAGCGGCCAGGCCCCGCGGGAGCACCTGTCAGGGAGGAGGGTGGCAGCTGGTGGCTGAGGCCGCGCTGACCTGCGCTGGTACCTGGGATGGGTGCACCTCTCACAGAACCGCCTGGATGGGCCGCCCTACCTTGGAGATGAACACACCAGGCTCCTGGACACCAAACGGGTGGCTGGAATGGTCGGAGCCTCCGACAATACTAAGCCCCAGAGGGCCCCCAGCTCTTGGCAGACGGATCTCCTGGGGATTTAGGGCGGGACAAGGACAGGCCTCGGTCAGGACAGGGAAAGGGTGTGGGAGGGCTCCCAAGAGTCCGTCCCGGTCCTTGGGGATGGCGGGCGGGGGCTGCCCTAATGCCCACGGGGATTTCTGCGCCACCAGTGTTCTGCTGCCCAGGCAGGCACGCAGCGTGAGGACAATATCCTCGCTGACTGTGGCCATGTGGCCAGCCAGGAGACTGTGTCAAGGGGACCATACTGAGGAGTCTGGCTGTGGGGCAGAGCCCCAGCCTCAAGGAGCTGCAGGGGAAAGGGCGAGCAGGCCGGCTTCCCACCTGGAGTGGGCCGCAAGGCCATAAGAGAGCAGGTCCTGGGAAGGCCAGTGCCCACAGCTGAAGCTGGGTGGGTGCCTGGGTGGGGGCTTGTGTCTCACCTCCACTGGGTATGGCCCTTCCAACGCGGCAGCCAGCAGGCTGGGGGCCAGGCTCGGCAACCCAGGCACCCCGGGGGTGGCAGTGGTTATGCTGGTGGTGGCAACAGCAGCGGTGGGGGGTGAGGAATGTGGCAGAGGGCTGGGAGGAAGAGGGCCCCCAGCCTCCCGCTCCAACAGCAGGGCGATGGTGGGGGAGGCAGCGGTCAGCAGGGAGACGGCGTGGTCATGCCTGGCCTCAGTCACGTCCACTCCATTAATCTGTGAGAGCGTGCCCGAATCAGGGAGGCCCAAGGGCAGAAGGGGACAGAGGGCGCGGGGCGGGGCAGGGGGGATGGGTGGGTGGGGCGGGGCCCCATCCCCACTCACAGAGAGGACGCGGTCGCCAACCTGCAGTGTGCCCGCGCGGTGAGCAGCACCGCCCTCGGCAATGCGGGAGACGAAGATGCCCTGCAGGGGAGGGTGGAGGAGGCAGGGCTGCCGGTGAGGCTGGAGTGCGGCTGTCAGCTCTAGAGCAGCCCTCCCCGGCCCTGGGCCCCAGCCTCACCGCATCACCAGCCCTGTAGGGTGTGGAGCCTTTCCCACCAGCAATGCTGAAGCCCAGCCCCCTCTCGCTGCGTGCCAGGCAGGCCACGTGGCGCTGACGGAGGGGCCCGGGGCTCTCAGGCGGGAGCAGGGGCAGGCGCAGCCCCCCTCCCCGCCGCTCTCGGGGGCTGTAATCATCCTCGGGCCGCAGCGGCGTGATGGTGACCGCGTTCTCAGGCTCCACCATGCGCTCCCGCCACACTCGCATCTGCACGGCAGTGCCGGCCCCCCGGAGCGCCTCCACGGCCTCGTGGTGCTCGGCGCCCTGCAGAGCCACACCATTCACCTGCGGGCCAGGGACCACGTGCGTATTCAGGACCCAGTGCCGCCACAGACAGCCACGTGCTGGGGGCTCCACACGCTCCCTCCAGGATGGGGAGACTGAGGCACAGGGCGAGGGGAAAGGCCCCAGGCGCTGACATCACCCGAGACCTTTAGCCACAAGGTTCCTCGTGGGCACCGACCCCTCCCCTACCAGGTCCTCTGAAACCCGGTGTGGGAAGCCCTAGGGCCAGGACACACACTGGCCACGGGAGGCAAGCAGATGCCCCCACGGCCAGGCCACACATGGCCCCGCTCCTGGATACCTCCGGCCCATCTGCACAGCCCAACACACACCTAAGGTCGCTGGGTTACTGACCCACACCCCCACCCCAACACCCAGGAGCAGCAGTTCCCACGCAAAGGTCAGGAGAGCTGAGCAGCAGACGCAGCATATGAGCCCTGGGCAGACGCCTCCTGGCTGGGCTTCAGGGCCCTCACCTGCCCTCAGTGTGTCCCTACAAGAAGGGCGCATGCCTCTTCAGAGCCCCCGGATGCCCGTGCCCCGGCTGAACAGCTAGGTGTCCAGGTGGAGGCTCCAGGACTCCCATACAGGGTCCAAACCCCACCAGACCTGCCAGTAGCCTGACCCCTCTCGGTCAGCCCAGGAGCGGCCCCTCCTGGAGAGGCCACTGTGCCAGGTGCAGCTGCTGCCCTACCCACTGGTAGAAAAACACACCTGTACCCACAGAACAAAGATGAGCAATCAGGGCGCTGGATGGGAGCCAGGGTGACAACGGAAAGCCCAGGTGGCACTTGCCCAGGTGATTCTCTCCTGGGGTTTACAGGTTCCGTGGCTTCACCCGGAAGTCTGGGTGTCCTGTGCTTGGAACTCTTGGGGAGGCCGGGAGAAGGCAGCCAAGCACCCTAATACCAGGGACCATGTACCTCCAGAGGGCACAGCTGCCACTCGGGGCGGAGAGGTTGCCGACTCACCTCCAGGAGCTTGTCACCCACACGGACTCCAGCCCGGGCCGCAGGGCCTTCCTCGGACACCCGAGAGATGAATATGCCCTAGGGCACAGACACGAGCTTGGCAGGGGCCAGGGAGACGGGCCCGCATTCCTGCTCCTTCTGCAGAAGACCCAGGAGGGGAAGACCCACTCCCAGCAGCCCCTAGCCCTGGCCAGCAGGAGGACTGAGCTCTAGCCACTGTGGGATCCTGAGTGCCAGGGGGTTAGAAGGAGCACGTCAGCCCCGAGAAAGGGCTCGTGGCCCCAGGCCTGGTGCACAGGCAGCTGGTGAGAGAAGGAGGGCTGTGAAGGGAAGACAGACCCAGGCACCCTCAGGTTGCTCTTGGACTTCGGGATCCCACAACAGTAGGTGCCTTGGGCCCAGCCCGTGTCCCCAGAGCGTGTGAGTGTTCTCAGGGCAAGGGGCCTGTGTGCCATCAGTGTGAACTGTGGTGGGGCAGGCCAGTGGCAGCGGAAAGGCCCTCCTAGGCAGTGCTCACCTCGTCGTCCCCCTTATAGGGTGTGGAGCCCTTGCCGCCCGCAATGCTGATGCCCAGGCCCCCAGTCTGCCGCAGGATAGTGAGGGTCAGCTGGAAACAGAACAGACAGGGTGTCTAGAAGGGCCGCAGTGGGGCTGCCTGTGCTCTCTGCAGGAGACCCCACCAGCACGCAGATGCCATTTCTGGCTTTTCTCTAGGCAGCTGAATGGGGCCTCATGCCACTCACCAGCCAGGGCCAGCCCAGACGCCAGCTGGAGAAGCCCCAAGACCCCAGCAGGAGGGCACTGCTCTGCAGAGCGTGGTGGGCTGGGGCTTGCCCACCTCCAGGTGATGGTGGCCCGAGGCCCCCCTGCCACCCTCGAGTGAGGACTGCGCTGCCTCCGCAGGCAGGTAAGGCTCAGAGCACCACAGGCGGCTGATGGGAGCTGGACCAGCCTCTCCGCTCACCCCTGCCAAGACGGGCTGCCCCAGGCAGGAGGTGTCCTGATCCTGGAGCCCAGCTGGATCTGAGAGCTCTTTTGAGAGGGATCTGCGCTCAAGCAACAGGGGCGGGGAGAGGCGTGAGCCCACAGCCCGGGAAGCAAGGCCAGCAGCGGCCCGGCCAGAGTGCAGAGCGAGCAGTACAGACCTCTTCCTCCTCAATGCGAGCAGGCTCTATCAGCAGGTTATTGGCCTGGTCAAACGACACTCCCTGTTAGGACAGGACCAGTGAGGCATGCAGGTTAGCCACCGCCAAGACCACCACCACCGCCTCACCCAGCCCCCGCCACAAGCAGAAAGGACAGAGGAGACCACAGCAAGCTCCCTCGACTGCCCTGGCACGGGCGCCTCCATCCTGGAGGCGTGAGTGACACCACACACCTGGGGACAAGCGGGGCTCCAGAGCTGAGCAGAGTCCCACCGGGCTGTCCCTGCTGTGGCCCCTCCGGGCCCCCTCAGCTATCATGCCACTGGCCCACACTCAGGGTCAGAGTGTCATCAAGGGCAGGGATAGTGAGACCCGGGGACTCCCCCTGGAATCTGAGTTTGCCCAGAGAGCAGGTGAGACCCTTTGTGACCCATGGAGAGGAGACTTGAGGGCCAGGGAGGGACACACTGGTGCCCCGAAGGCCTGTGTGGCACCTCAGGAGGGCCCGACAAGGCAGAAAAGAGCCATCAGGGCCTCGGGCCTGCAGTGCCCAACACAAGAGAGGATCCCAGGAGAGCCCAGTGATCTTGGGAGAGGAACAGACCCTGCCCTGGGACCACGACACATGTAGACAGGCCCTGGAGACCCACAAAGAGTGGGCAGCCATGCTTGACTTCTGTGAACTCCGTGCCCGCCAGCAGGTCGGGCAAATACTGGCCAGCAGAGCTGCCTCTGGCACTGAGACCAACGCCAGGGCAGGCCTGGGGTCCAAGCATGGACTGAGACCAACGCCAGGGCAGGCCTGGGGTCCAAGCATGGACTGAGACCAACGCCAGGGCAGGCCTGGAGTCCAAGCATGGACTGAGACCAATGCCAGGGCAGGCCTGGGGTCTGGTGAGAGTGGCCGTGATGCCGACTGTGGAGCACACGTGTCCACCACCTTCTCCGGGTGGCCAGGGGCCAGTGGGTCAGGCCTCGGCCCTGCTCCTGCCGCAGCCCTGGGTGCCCAGGAGGGCCAGGGGAATCTGGGTCAGGCAGGGGTGAGGCTGACACCAACCTTGACAGAGGGCGCAGAAACCACGGCCCCCTCCTTGTCCTCCTCCTCAGTGCTGGCCTCTTCCTCTTCAGCCCTGTTTTCCTCCTCCTCCTCTTCCTCCTCCTCCTGAGGACTACCCTCTTCCTCCTCCTCCTCCTCCTTCTGGGCCCGAGGAGCCCAGGGTGCGTGGGGGCCATTGTGCCAGCCCCCGGGAGCCACAGGGCCCTCCCCATCAGGCTGCATGCCCTGCAGCAGAGCCACAACGGCCTCGGGCTGGGGCAGCTTGGAGATCTTGAAGTGCTTTTTGTAGTGAGGTGTGTCCTTGCGGATGAGCCGCTGCCTCCCGCCTGGCAGGGTCCAGGGGGCCTCAGGCTGCCCCTCCTCGATCTCCCTGTCATCCCCGGGCAGCAGTGCGTCCTCTGCGAAATGCACCGTGGGCTGTGCGGACAAAAGGGTGAGGGTGGCCCCAGCTCTGTGGCTGTGCTTCCACAGGAAGACCCTACTAAACAGTGTGGCCACAGACGGGCTCCGAAAGCCTCCCCGCCACACAAAGACTCAGCACTAACTGCCCAGTGAGGGGCGCGTGTCTCAGCCCTGAGAAAAGCTGAAGGCCAGGGGCTCATCCTGGAGACACGCAGCGCCCCAGGTGGAAACGAAGGGGTGCGCCAAGGCCTCACACCAGGGAGCCCACGGGGGTCAGAAGAGAGTCCAGGGTGGGGGTGGGCTCTGTGAGCCCAGCCGTCAGGGGAGACCTTAACCCCACCTAGGGAGGCAGCTCTCCAGGGCACCCCCAGCAGCACGGCCCTGCACCACCCGTAGCCACTCTGTACAGGGCAGCTCCCCGAAGCATCAGCAGGGCCCAGGCACTGCCTGCACCAAAACCGATCCCAGCTGAGGCCCCGCAGGGGAGGCAGCCCCCACCCAGCAGGCCCAGCCTCCTGCCTCCTTCCTGCCAATCCACACCTCCTGGTAGTCCTCTTCGGCGTCTTCCTCCCCGCCAGCAGTCGTGGCTTCCTGCTGGCTCCCACCCTGTGCCTCAGCCGACGGGCCCTCGGGCTCAGCCTCAGAGACTGTGCTGGCAGATGGGCGAGAGTCTTCACTCAGGCCAGACTCGGCACTCAGCCGCTTCTCCTGCGGCGGGAAGTGGGGTCAGGCTTCGACGGAGCTCCCGACTCACAGGCTGGCCACCTGGGATGCCCCCCACGTGGCAGGCCTTCCCTGAGCTTCCCGCTGCCCCGACCAGGCACCGTTAACGGGCTCACGCCCTCGCAGCTGCTCCCTGTCCCAGCCTGCAAGGAAGCCACACGCCTCCAAAGCCTAGGGTGGACAAAGCCACGGTTCCACAGCCCAGCCCCAAGGAAAGCCTTTCCTAAAACAAACAAGGACCACACAAGTTCCCAGGAAAATCCCAGCGTGATATGAACCTCCTCCCCTCCCATGCACGGCCCCACACACCCTACCCCAGCCCAGATCACTGGTTCTGCTGCACCCAAAAACCCACAGCACGCATGTCACAGCTCTGAGTGAGAACAGTCAGGCCTGCTCTGTCCCAGTCCCAAACCCCTTCCCAGGTGCCGATGACACCCACGGCAGTTCCACCAGAGACCCTACCCCACAACCAAACCCCATTCCCTGTGCTCCCAGGCACACCCACCACTGGTTCTCCCCATACTCCAGCCCCACAGACCCGCCCTGCACGACCCACACGTCCACCCTGGCACCCTTCACCCAGCTGGCCCTGCAGCTCCATGTCCCTGAAACCTGTCACCAGCCTCATCTCCTGCTCCTTCTCTGTGCTGCCCTGGCCCTCACAGCCCCACTCCCAGGATGGACCGGACCACCACAGCTCCCGGGTCAGCGGCCCGCCAGGTTGCCGTGGCTCCATGCCCACCTCCTCTGCAGGCAAGGGCGACCCAGAGTCTGGCTGGCAAGGGCAGGCCTCGCTCCGCCGCCCCTCGATGCTCCTCTTCATCACCTTGAGCTCGCTGGGGTGAGGTGTGGCCCGGCGCTGTAGGCCCTGTTGTAGGGACAAGGATGAGCAGCAGCCACAGGGCAGGGGTCAGGCAGAGGTTCGCCCCCCAGATCCTCACCCTCATACCCGCTTCTCAGCTGCAGCTTCCTCAGCGTCCTCATCACCTATGGGGGCCTCCAGGAACTGGATGACGCTGACGCGGCTCGGCGGGGCATCGCTCCAGGTCTCCGAGAGGCTCCCCTGCTGCCCAGCATCCTCTGCAGCAGGTGAGCGTCAGGACCCAGGCTAGTCCCCAAACCCTGCCTGAGAGCCACCCCGCGCTAAGCACCGGTTGCCAACAACCTACCGAGGCTGGGTGGGGGCTGCTGGGGCAGCAAGTAGCAGGTGAGCACCTTCTCGCCGGTCCGGGCATCATCCTCCGTCTGGAACCGGAGCATGGGCTGCGCCTGGTTCTCTGCCAGCCACAGGGCCTTGAGATTGAGGTGGGTGAGCGCGAACGGCAGACTCTGCAGGCTGCGGGCCGGGCGGGCACAGTCAGCAGGCGTTGGGGCCACGGTTAGGCCCGCAGGGCAAGGCTGGCACTCACCGGTTCCCCGCCACGTCCAGCACGTGCAGCTCTGTCGTGTGGGCCAGCTCTGGTGGCAGGACGGCCAGGCGGTTGTCCCTCAAGGAGAGGACGCTGAGTGCCACACAGCCCCCGATCTCGGGCGGCAGCGCCTCGAGGTGGTTCCGGTCCACGTTGAGGTTGGTCAGCTTAGTCAGCTTTCCCAGGGAGCGGGGCAGGGCCTGGCCAAGAAGAGGAGGTCAGAGGACGCTAGGGGCTTGCTGGGGGTGGGAAGGAGATGACAGCCCCTGGCAGGAGGGCACAGACACCCCAGGCCAGCTCCAGCCAGGGTCCCTCACAGCCCCTGGAGACCGGGACAAGGACCTGACCACAGAAGCTGTCTCCACCCCACTTCGTGCCCTCTGCTCCCCAAGCTCTGCCCACTGCCCTCAGCCTTCAGTCCCCACCACCAAAACACCCCACCAGGTCATCCCTGACCCTCTCCCATGGGTGCCCTGGACTGACCTGCGAGGCTGCGCCCTGTGAGCCTGTCTGGTGCCCCACTGGTCTGCCCTGTCATCCCTAGGGCTCCCCAGGCCCCCAGTTCCAGCCTGCCTGCTCAGGGCCAGCCCCTTCCCAGGGCCCTGAACCCCAGAGTCCCTTTCTCCATCTCCCCAGTGAGGAACCCCCCCGGAAACTCCCATGAACACCCTCCCCACAGCTAGCTCCTGTTTCCCAGCCTGGGGATGGGGATAGCAACACCACCGTCCCGAACCGTGGCCTGGTGCCTCAGCTTGCCCTGCTTTGTGAGGGGCAGGCAGACGCCCCTGGGGAGCAGCCTGCTCTCCATCTGTCTTCCCTACAGACAAATAAGTTCCCATTCCTGCCTCTTCTGTAACCGCTCCCCAGTGTTACAACATACAGCGATAAACACGAGACCTAGATTCTTCACGGTAAACGGCAAAGGCCCCTGCCCTGGCCTCACTGCCCCGCCTCACCTCCGGCCAGCATGCTCCCCCTCTGACAAGAGAAGAGCCCTTCCTGAGTGGCTCCACGTCAGGCTGCCACCAGCACCCCCCAGCAGCAGACACAGGCTGATGCCCTGTCCTTGTTCTGCACCCCCGACGGCCCCATCCTTTCTGCCTCCCAAGCCAGACCCTACCATCAGCAGGTTCTCCGTGAGGATCAGCTCAGAGAGGTTCTCACAGTCCCCGATGGCCTCGGTCACCTCGCACAGCCGATTCTGGTCTACCTTTAGGATGGATAGCTGCTTCAGCTGACCTGGCGTCGGGGAGACAGGGGGACAAGGCTGAGCATGGTCCCCAGACGTGCCTTACCCACCTGGCCAGAAGCGCCCTCAAGGCAGACAGCAAGGCCCCCAGCCCCTTCTGCCGCCGCCGTACTTCGGGAGGACCCTACCTACCTTGCCCCACAAGCCTGACCCAACCTCCTTCAAGAAAACACCAGGCCCCAGTGGCACTGCCACCCTTCCGCCCTCACAGACTCCACCGCCCCCTCCAGCACCACCAGCTGCCTCCTCAGCCTTCTGGGCTGCCCCAGGGTCCCACCTCCCCTCCCCAGGGACAGCTCCCAGAGCCTGGGCACACTCAGGATCCTCCCCTGTGTTCCACACCACACACAGCCCCGACGCCCCACGCTCCTCCCAGGGCCAGGCTCCGTGTGCCCCACCCAGGCACCCCCAGGCACACTAACCGATGCCGTCGGGCAGCCTCCGCAGCAGGTTCTGGGACAGCAGCAGGTCAGTGAGCAGCACCAGCCCGCCGAGCTCAGCAGGCAGCTCCTCCAGCCGGTTTTCCGACACGTCCAGGCACACCAGGCGCCGCAGGTTCCCGAGCTCCTGCAGGTGGGCAGAGAGTCAGAGCGCGGATGGGCACGAAGCAGGGGGCCAGCCCCACCCTGACTCACCGGGGGCAGTGCTGACAGCTGGTTCCGGTCAAGCCACAGCTCCCGAAGATTGGGCAGAGCCCCCAGAGTGTCTGGCTGCAAGAAGGAACAGAGAAAATAGTGACTATGAGGCAAAGCCTCCTGCTGCGCCGTGCTCAAGAGACTATACGCCCCCACACCCAGCTCCCACCCGCCTGCCCTCCCGAGGTGCCCCTTGCTGTCGGATCTGCTCGCTGTCCCCTTCTTTGCCCTTGCTTCCGTGGCCCGCCCTCCGGTCTCTGCCCTGTCAGGCCTCCACGCACCAGCACTTCCAGATCGTTGCCTCCCAGATCCAGCTGTTCCAGCTTGACCAGAAATGACAGGGACCTGCAGAGGAAGCAGGGTGGAGGTGTGGCCACGCAGCCCTGGTCCCTGGGCTGTGGCCCTGCCCTGGCTGTTAGGAGAATGCCTGTCACACTCACGCTGGCAGGGACTTGAGCAGGTTCTCCCGGAGCTCCAGGGTCACCAGGTTGGCGAGGCTGAAAGAGAGACCAGGCGCTGGGGCAAGAGGAAGGAAAGCAGTGGCAGCAGGGGCAGGGCCAATCCTGGTCCCCCACCCCACCCTAGTTCCACCTGAGAAGGCACTCACTTGCCCACGTCCCCGGGCAGTGCCTGCAGAGACACATCATTCAGGGCCAGGTGAGCCAGGCTGCGCAGCTGAGTGAAGCCATCAGGGAGCCTGGATGGGAGGAAGCAGAGGCCCTCGGATGACCAGTCCAGGGCTGTGGGACCCATAGCCCCTACCGACCCCACCACAGGCTGCCACCCACCTGGAGAGGGGGTTCCCGCTGAAGTCCGCGATCTCCAGAGCCTTGCAGAACTTGATGCTCTCCGGGATCTCAGGGATATCTGTCACAGAGGGTCACAGTGGACAGATGCCATGGCCTGCAGGCCGTCTGCAGCCCCAGCGGACACTCCCCAGACCCCACCCAGCCCCTGCCCAGGCTCCCCACCGTTCCGGGACACGTCCAGCTCCACCAGCTGCATGAAGTTGGCCACCTCGGGAGGCAACCGCTGGATCTCGTTGTCGCTCAGGCCCAGCTTGCGCAAGTTCAGCAGCCGGAAAAAAGGCTGTGGGCAGGGAGGACACGGACTCTGTGGCAGAGACCACTGCAGAGCAGAGAAGAGCTCCTGGACACGTGAGTGTCACAAGTCAAGAGTCCCTAGGCCTCTGTCTGCTCCAGGTCACACCGGGTCCTGGGGTCTAACCACGACACCCCATTTGCAAAAAAAGGAAAGAAACACACGGTACACACGCCCACTGTGGCTGCCTCCCTCTACTCTTCACACCAGCCTCCACTCTGAGAAGACACCTGCTGGCGACCAGACAAAGCCCCAATCCCCTACCCTGTGTCTTACCTCAGGGCCCACCCAGCCCCTGAACCACTTCTGCCACCCTCCAGGGGCCCACACTGGCCTCTGCTACTGCATCCTGACAACAAGCCTGGCCTGGTTCTGCAGCAAGAACTCAGTAAACGCTCCCCACAATAACACAGTACCACAGGCACAGTGCTACGCGCGAGGCCTGCAGGTGGCCACAGAGGACCGAGCTGTCACTGCCACGGCCAGAACAGGGTCACATTCTTTGGGACACCCAACCCCTAGGTACTGATCACCCAGCACCCCATCTCCAGAAAAGAAATACTTTTTAATCTGCTTTCTCCAGCCTCCTTTCTTGTAGCAGCCTTAGGAGAGCACCTGACCACGAGAAGCAAGGGTAAAGAAAGGGGGACAGCGAACAGATCCGAGAGCAAAGAGTACATCAAGAGGGCTCCCCCACTCACCCCTGCACCCAGCAAAAAAGGAGAGGAGGTCTGGACCCACCTCCAGAGCGGCCCAAGAAGCTAGTACTCATCAGCCACCTGAATCCAAGTTCCACCCTAACCCCATCCACCTCCCTGAATCCCCACGGGTTTCACTCTGAGGCTCCGCCTCCAGGCTCGGTGACAATCGCTATCCCCAGGCAAGCACCTGATGACCGCTGCCACCTGCGCCAGCCAGGGCGGCTGGAAGAGAAGGGTGGGGCTGGCTGGGGTGGGGACCTGGCCAGTGCAAACCAGCAGGGCCGGCTGGAGGCTGCGGTGACTCGCCCGGGCAGATTCTGCCGCCGGAGGAATCACGGGCTGGGGGCGCGCCTTTGGGCGGCAGGTGCGGGCGGCCGCTCACCTTGGGCAGCTCGCGCAGCTGGTTGGCGTCGAGCAGCAGCTCCTCCAGGCTGCGGCTGTAGCGGTAGATCTCCTCCGGCACGGCCTGCAGCGAACAGTGCCGCTTGTCCACCGACTCCACGTGCCGGTTGCAGCGCCACAGCGGGATGCACTTGAGCATGGTGCGGGTGGGCGGCGCGGGCTCCGGCGGCGGCGCTCGGCGGGCTCGGGGCCGGGGGGCGGGGCTCAGTCCGCATGGGCGCCGCGCATGGGGAGGGGGCGCAGGCAGGGGGCGGGCCGCCCGAGACTGGACGGGGACGCGGCCGCGGCCGGCGCTGGGCCCGGCCCGCGCTCGGAACGCTCGGACTGCGGGCCTGGGCAGGGGGCGCGGCCCGGCGGGTCTCAGACTCTTAGGAAGCGCGGGGAGCGGCGGCGGCGGCGGCTCCGCATCCCGCTTGGTCCTGCTCAGCTCGTCCCGCCCGCTCGTCCGCCCGCTGTGCCGCACCGGAACCGCCGCTGCCCGCCGGACTGCCCCGCCGACACCCACCCGGCCGCCGCGCAGCCCGTCGGGAAGCCGAGTCCGGCCCTCGCCGCCTAGCACGCCCGGACTGCGGCCCCCAGAAGGCCCCGCGCGCCGCCGCCTCTGAGGACCCGTAGCGGCACCGCGCAAAGCGTGCCGGGAAGCCGGGCCCGCCCCGCGCGCGGGATATTGGGAGCTACAATCCACGAGAGGCGGCGCCCTCCGCCCTCCGGTCTTCAGCCCGGCCCCTGGCCCCGCGGCATTTGGCCACGAATCTTAACGCACAGCCTCCTCCCGGGAAGCGACCATGCCCGCCCGCCCGCCTTGGACGGCCGGCTCTGCGGCACAAAAGCACTGGCAGCGCGCGCTGTCCAGCGGGTCGCGGTGTCCCGGTGCCCAGCCTTCTCTCAGCACCACCCTGCGGGGACGGCTGCGAGCCCGCGCGCGAGAGCCTGGCGCCCCAGGCAGCCCCGCCCACCCAGCCGCCGCCACCCGCGGGACGGGGCCCGGGGCGCCAACCCCCTGCCCAGGTCTCGCCCACGGCAGGCCCCTCCTGCCAACAGGAAGCAGGTCCAGAGACCCCCCCAACCCTGCCTCCTCGCCCTAGACCCCCTAAGGACACACGCCCAGGATCGGTGACAGGACCGACGGCAGACACACGGACGTTCAGGGCCAGCAGCATCCGCACCTTTATCCGCACTGTAGGCTGGGCTGGGCAGAGCGCGCCTGGCCCCGGGGACACCACTGTATCACTATAAAACCCAGAGGAAACAAGGAACAAGTGCAAGTCCGGGGAGAGGGACCACTGTCACGCAGAGAGGTCACTGTTATCAAAACGCTCCTGGTCGTACACTTCAGCCACCACCTTGCGGCCAGCAAACCAGCGGCCATTGAGGGCCTGGATGGCCTTATGAGTCTCAGAGGCTATGGAAAACTCCACAAAGATCTTGACAATGATTTCTGCATCCTCCTCCTCGCCTTGTTTCTCTTGGTAGATGATGACGCGGTTCACGGCCCCGAACTTGCCACACTCCTCTGTCACCTCCCCTTCCAGGTCATCATCGATGTCCTTGGGGTCCACCATGTTGCGCAGAACCATCACTGTAGACTGTGGGGCAGGGCCGAGGGGAAGACAGCTGAGCACTGCGGCCCCGCCCCCCTACCCTCTCCCCCGCCACCACCCTGCCCCTCTGCCTACCTCCTGCTTGCGGAGCAGCTTCTGCATCACCATGTGTCGGGCGCTACTGCCCGAGATGCTCATGTGCTCCTGCTCGCTCAGCATCTCTGGCCGCTCTGACTCGGGAAACAGCTCCTCTTCTTCCTTCTCCTTCTTGGGCTCCAGGAGACCCAGCGTTGGAGGGCTGGCCAGGATGGGGTTCACCACTCCCACCGAGGGGATGGTGACCGGGATAGGAGGACGGGCTGGGGTCACACCTGCAGGAAAACCAACCAGGTCCATCAGTCACTCCCTACCACCCCCCTTCCCAGAAAGGCACAGAGCTGGCCTGCCCTGGGCTCAGAGGGTTGTGCCCAGACCACCAGGGCCAGGCAGCTGAGGGCAGCGAGCCGAGAGATGCCAGGACAGGAGAGGAGAGGATCTGGTACCACTTAAGACTCACCTGTGATGACTCCAGGTGCCTGGGCAGCCATGACAGCCTGGGGCAAAGTGCCCAGGGGCTGGGCCAGGGTCAGTGCTGGGGACACCAGTCCAGGTGTGCCCAGGGTACCCAGCACCGCTGCTCCGGCCACTGCTTCCTGCAACCCAAAAGGTCACCGTGCTCAGTCCCTGGTCTGGCTACTCAAGACCACCTTGAATCAGTCTCCAAGGAATCAGGGGCCAGCCCGCCCACCCTCAAGCCGACAGCTGTGTGGGCCCTCACCTGAGCTGTGATCTTGGCAGTGGCTGCAGCAGCTGCCACAGCAGCGGCAGGTGGGAGGCCTCCAGGCGTGGCTGGTGTGAGTAGGGGCATGGGCGGTGTGACAGCCTTGCCCACCCGCAAGTACTGGCCACCCAGGTCAAAGAGGTTCATGGAAGACACAGCATCTTGGGACGACTGGGCCTTCTCGTACTCTGTGGGCAGGAGCAGCAGTGAGCAGGGCCAGCCCCAGCCTCAGGTGGCCCCCATCCCGCCTCAGCCACCCCAGCTCACCAATGAAGCCGTAGCCCTTGTGCTTGCCAGTTGTGGGGTCCCGGGCCAGTGTGCAGGACTTGATCTTGCCAAAGGCCTCAAACACGCTCTTGATGTCATCGTCTGAGAGGTCCTGGTGCACAGAGGCCACGTAGATGCGGTTGAAGGCCCGTGCCTCCTCAGCCAACTGGTCTATGATGGGCTGGGCCTGCCCTATGTTGCTGGGTCTGCCCACCTGGGGAAGAGGCGGTGAGATGGAAAGACCGGTCAACCCAGGCCCGGCCACAAAAGGCTTCCGTGGAGGGGCAGCCCTGCACGCCTGCGGGATCGAGGCCTTGGCTCCCTGCCTCACCTTGATGTTCCTGCCCCCCAGCATCACCGAGTTCATCTGCTCCAAGGCCAGCTGTGCAGCTTCGGGGACCTCATACTCCACGAAGGCAAAGCCCTAGACACAGGGACACACCTGTCAGGCTGCGCGAGCCCAGGGGTGGGGGCGAGCCCGAAGTGGCCGGGGCGGACCAAGCCTGCTGACCTTGTGCTTCATGGTGACGGAGTCCCAGGACATGTCGATGCTCTTGATGGGGCCAAAGGGGGCAAAGGCCTGGCGGATGGTGTCCTCCCCCAGCTCATAGTAGATAGAGCCCACGTAGACGCGGCACATGATGGCCAGCGCCCGCTGCCGCTGAGCCGCCATCTGCAGCAGGACAGAGGGGAGAGAACCGCTGGCTCGTCAGGGGCGGCAGGAAGCTGGGCAGCCCACTCCCCTCCTGGCCCACCCACCCAGCCCTGCTGTGGGGAGGGCTCCCCACATGACAGGGAGGTGCGGGCTCCATCCCTGCAGTCATAGTGTGGGGGTCGCAGGACCCCGCCACCCAAAGAAGGAAGGCCAGGCCCAGCGGCAGGACAGGACGCACCCCAGCCCGCCAAGGTCCCAGGCAGACTGCGGCAGCAAAGCCGACAGATGGTCAGGAGGCAGGGCTGTGCGCCCTCCCACCCAGACCACCCCTCCAGTCTGGGGGCTGGGTATCCCAGGCTGGGCTGGGAGATCCTCCCACTGTCCCAGCCAAGGACCACGACAGAAGAGGGAAGGAGGAACCATCCAAGCTGGAGGGACCCACTGGTTTGGTGGCCAGAAGAGAGGAGGTCAGAAGACAGGGCAGCCACTGCCCAGAAGAGACCCCAGGGGAGGAGCTCAGGAGCCAGATGGGGGCTCCCTGAAGAGAGAACGAGGAGCAGCTGCTCATGCTGGGCCAACTCAGGTGGGGGCTCATGCTGTGCCTTCCCAGTGCCCTGCAACTCCTCACAAAGGAGCTGCCTGGAGCCTGTGCCCCCAGCCGAGAGAGCGGGCCCAGGCGAGACCACTGGCCTGGCCCCCGGGGGCACCATGAGGTAGCAGAGACCCTACGAGAAGCCCCCAGGCTCCTTAGAGCTGGTGACAGGCCTGGCCGGTCCAGGGCCTTGGCTGTGAGCTTGGCTATTGCGCTGAGGGACCTCCCCACACCCTCAGGGACGGGTTCTCGCCCCTGTCACCTCACAGGAGGCATGCCAGACAGGGGACTTCCAGAGCCACACGCAGTGGGCCACAGGGAGCCTGTGGGCCAGGGCAGGCAAAGCAGACAGCTGGAGCCAGGCCCTGCCCCTCTCCACAAAAGGCCTTGTGGCCAGAGACCAGTTTCCCTCTTTAGACATCAGCTGGCCTAATGCAGGCCGAACCTCCCCATCCCGTGGAGAGGGGCCTGGAAGCATCTCTCCACATCAAGGGACTTCCCAAGGTGAGATATCTTCCTTCAAACCAGGCATTCCCTGAAAACGAGACTGTGTTCTCCTCACACTGGGCCCCCTGACAGACCTCAGGCTCCCCACTCAGAGCAAGACCCCCCCAAAGGTGGAATCACATCCCCCTCACTCAGCAGGCTCCCCAGACACGAGACCAGGCCTGTCCCTCAGGTCATGGTTCCCCCAAGACAGGGCCATGTCTCCTTTTCAGTGTGGGGCCCCACCCCCAGGCAGGCCAAGAGCTCTCTCCCTGACCAGACCCCCAGCCCGGGCTCCCATTCAGATGCTTCCCAGAGAGAACAAGGCGTGTGTTGCCCCATGGGAGCCACACACAGGGATGACCCCTCTGAACAGAGGCTCCCAGAGAAGGGTCCACATCTTCCCCTCAGGATCCCCGAGATGGGACCTGGCCTCCTCCTGAGCCTGCCTCTGGGGGAAGGGAGGGACACCTCCTTCCCACACTCCTCTGCCCACCACAGCCAAGGCCATAGCCATGGCCCCTGCCTCCTCCGCCCTGGCTGCGTGGCCTCTGCCCCTTGCTGACAGCCAGGCACAAGGCCCTGCTTGCCCTTCCCTTGCTCGCTTGGGTCCCCCCACCCCCACCCCATCCAACCATCCTCCCTCCAGGGTCTGATGGGGCCATGAGTTAGGACCCCTCTCTCCTCAGGGGCCTGACCCCAACCCAAGAGCCAGGCAGCCTGGAGACTGACGGGGCTGGAGGCCGTGGGCACACCCCGTGCGTGCAGGTGGCGTGGGCGCAGACGGGCCTGGTGCTGGCAGCTACCCGCCCTGGCCGGCTGCCCTCCGCAGTTACCTGGCCGATTAGTTTTAAGGTGGGCCCTCAGAGCAGATGGAGGCCTCCCCAGGGGCGGTCCCGGGTGGGTGCCCACACCACTGGCCCCACCACGCCTGGCGCTCTGCTGCGCTCGTCCAGAGCTGGCGGGCAGGGCCGGCCAGGGGAGCAAGGTCCCCAGCACGTGGGCTGCACTGCCCCCCTCTAGCCCTGACTAAGGACATGAGCCCCGGAAGAAGTGAGCATTTCTATTGACCGATTGCAAAGGTGAGAGAGGATCTCCAAAGCCCATTGTCACTGCTGCCATCTGAAAGACAGTAAAGACAGAGTTCAGTCTGTTGGAGCCGAGCAGTCTCCCGCTCTCGTCAACACCTCACGCAGACAGCGGCAAGGCCCGGAGTCCCCGCCCTGCCAGGGAGGCCGCCTGCCTTCCCACACTGCCGGCCGCCAGCACCTGCCCAGGGGGGCCGCAGCGCCCCATGTGCCCCGCCCTGCAGCCTTGCAGCTGGGCCGGCTGGGGCAGAAAGGAAGGGAGGGAGGAAGGGAGGGAGGGAGGAGGGCAGTGGAGCACAGTGAATGGCCAGGACATCTCCTGGTAGCGTGAATGTCTGAGGGCTGGGCGGGGGGGCGTGAGGCTCGAGGCCCAGGAACCTGTCGGCCTCACACCGGCCTCTTCCCACGAAGGTATCGCAGCCTCCGGCCACAGGCCTGGAGCAGGGCCCCAAGGGAGGTGCCTCCAGACTGTCCCCTCAGTCCTGGGGCTGAGCCCAGGTGGTCTGGACTCACTGCAGGGGTGAGGGCCTGAGCAGTCTTATCCAGGCCACGGGGGCAGGGAGGCCCACGCCCTGCATGCTGCCACCATCGGCTGTGCACAGCTGGGGCAGGGAGCACGGGAGAGACCAGAGGCCACAGTGTGAAGACCAGGAAGGGGAAAAGGGTAGAGCTGCAGCCAAGCAGCCAAGAAAGGGGCTGCGGCGCTTTAGGGGCTCCAGCGAGCAACAGGTGGGAAAGGCTGGGCCACTCGTGCCTCAGAGAGGACCCCGGGGGTCCCGAGCATGAGTCTTTGAGAATCGGAGCACTGTAACAGCTTGCGGGGACGGCCGCAGGCCCAGGAGGAGGAAGAGCGTGAAGAGGAGGAGATGGTGGCTGTGGTGGGGAGGGCGGTAGAGGCTCCGGCCGGGGCTCACCTGCAGGTTGGTGAGCTGCTGCTGCTGGTGCGCGATGGTCTGCTTCACCAGCACACTCTTGATGCTCTGCTCCATGGCGTACTTCTTGGCCTGAGAGAGGCGGCAGTGAGGAGCACTGGGGGCCCAGCCCATGGGAGACAGGCCTGCCCCGCACCCCGCCCCTGCCCCTGCCCCCAGTTGACTGTCCCACACCTGCAGTGCCCTGGGAGGTCCATGCTCACCTTCTGAAGGGCCTCCTGCTGCTCGGGCGTCAGGGGAGGCAGCCCCAGCTTGGCGGCTGTGCTCTGCCCGTTCTCCATCTTGATGGAGTCTGTGCCCTGGTAAGGGAGCAGGGGAATCCATCAGCAGCAAGCTCAAGTTCTCCTTCACGTGGCCCCAGGAGGGCCACCCCTAGCACAGACTGTCCCCTGCCTGGCCTGTACTCAGGCCAGCCCTTCTGACATTGCTGTCCCCAGCCCAGGCCACTGTCTCCCCCGGGACCCATGGGGTAGAACACAGACTGAGGCAGGCAGGTGCCCTGGAGGCCCTGGGCCAACCCGAGCAGTTGTGGGGCCCAGGCCACAGTGGCCTCCTCGGGAACCACCAAGATAAACAGCTGGAGGCAGAAAAGGGGTCCAGCCCCTTGTTGTCAGTCTGACCCCAGAGCTGCTATCACATGCCCGGCAGGAGAGCCAGCCTCAGCCGTCCTCCAAGGCAGGAGAAAAGGGCCACGGCTCTCTGGACGTTCTGGGACTCCTTGCTCCCAGGCTCCTCCAGGCTTCCTCACAGTCCCTGCCACAGACACAGGCTCAGCTTCCCTGGAGTTTCAAGGGGCCCACCCAAGGAGCTAATACAAGGGCCTCTCTCCCAACAGTGCTCCCCCCACCGTCCCCGCAGGCACTGTGCACACCTCCCAGAGAACACAGGCCTCTCTCGGGCCACACAAGCCCTGAAGAGGGCTCCAGCTCACTTCCACACACTCTTGCATGGGCTTTGCCTGGCCCACTGGGAGAAGCCAGGAGCAGACCCCACTGGCACCCTAGCCAGGTGGGCCTGGGGACCAAGAGGCCCTTGGGCAGTCACAGCCACTGCAGACCCAAGCTGATGCCAACCAGGATTATGTTTACGTCCCTCCTGTCAAAATCCATCTCTAAGCTTTTTGCAGAGGGAAGAACGCAGCTGTGTGAGCAGGGAGGCATGGCTAGCAGGCCCATCAGAGTGTGGGATGGGCAAACAGCATGCCTGCGCCTGTCCTCCAGCTCAGCAAGCACAAAGATCACTGGCCCACCAACCGGGCCCTCCGAGACTTCCAGACACAGCCTTGAGGGACAGCAGAGAAGAGAGAAGGGTCCCCAGCACAGAAGTGATGAGCAAGGACAGAGGGACACAGGAGGCAGGAAGGGACAGGCTGGCCCAAGCCCCAAGAACCCCCTCCTGCCTGCCAAGTGCTGGGATGCTGGCCCAGGCTCAAAGGGCAGGAAGCCCTGGAGACCCCTCCCCAGGCAACCAGAGCCCCAACCAGTCCCTGAAGGTCAAAGGCTGGCTGTGGGTGGCACCAGGTGCCCCAGTCCGGCTCACACCAGGCCTGTCCTAATCACCCTCAGCACCAGGTGCCCCAGTCCGGCTCACACTAGGCCTGTCTTCACCACCCTCAGCACCAGGTGCCCCAGTCCGGCTCACACTAGGCCTGTCCTCACCACCCTCAGCACCAGGTGCCCCAGTCCGGCTCACACTAGGCCTGTCCTCACCACCCTCACAGCTGGCCCCAAGCCCATTCCTCCTTAGTGGGAAAGAGGGCCCAAGAGCCAGAGGCTGGGACTTGAGAGCAGGCTGTCACCATGGTAATCAATGCCAACCCCCTCAGCCCCCAGACATTTTTCAATCTCCTCTTTGTCTTGGTAAACAAAAGGCCCTTCTCCCACCAACCAATGGCCGGCTGGGCGCCAGCCAAGGGCCAGGGAGCACCAGCCCCCACATCTCCCAGGATCCAAGCTGCATACCATGTCCCAGTCCCACCCCCTGAGTGTGCCTGGGGGACCAAGAGGAGGGCCCAGCCCCAAGAGGCTGCCAGGCCACCTTGCTGAGGCCCCACTGGAATGCTCTGGAGGCGGGCGCTACCATGGAGAAGCACAAAGAACCCAACTACCCAGCCACAGGCCCAGCTCCACCTCTGAGAGGACCTGCTCCCAAGGCTGGGCCATCGAACAGACCAAGACCCACCTGCACCCACTCTGGAGCCTGGGGCCGAAAAAAGATGGGGAGGGCTGAGTCCCAACCAGACCTGTGCTTTGACTTGCGCATTGCTTCACTGTTTTATTTAAATGAAAACACAGAGGTCTGAAATGAAATCTGTCCTTCTGGCTCCTCAAGCACTGCGAGTTCTGGGAAGCTTGGCCCACCCTTCCTGCAAGACGCTCATGCCTAAGAACGCGCGAGCTCCAGGCCCCGGCGTCCCCGCCCAGCCAGACTGTCAACAGGCCCCGCCTGGTGCTTGGAGCAGGGCAGATGCAGAGGGCAAAGGCCAGCTCAGTGCCTGGGTGGGGAGGGTGCAGGGCTGGTGCGGGGAGAGGGCCGTGGTCCTGCGGGCAGTTGTCTGCCCAGAGGCAGAGAAGGGTTCCCGAGGTTCCTCCCGCCCCGCCCCCAGCCAGCCCTCTCTGGGCCCAGGGACGCACAGGCAGGCGGGCGGGCGGGCGGGCAGGCGGGCGGGCCTGAGGGAGAGGATGCTTAAGGTCAGTACCTGTGGAGGTTTCCATTTGTCTCCCGCTGCCACCACTGCCGCCGCCGCCGCCGGCTCGGACCCCCCTCCTTGCTGGCCATTGACCTGCTGCAGGCAGGAAGGAGATGTTGTAACGACAGGCACACCACCCCACCGCCCAGGCCTGCTCTCCTCCCGAGCTAAGGGCTGAGCTCCTCACGGATAAGCAAGGGAGGCCAGGCAGGGAGGCATTCCCGACATGACCCCCCAGCCCAAACTGCCCTCTCTTCACACCCATCAGCACGCCCAGGGACCCAGTCAGAAGCAGAGCGGAGCATGGGCTGGGCCAGGGCTGCCAGCGAGTCCCAGCGGGGATGGGGAGGAGGGTAGAGAGAGCTGTGCTCCTGCCCCAGGCAAAAGAAAGCCATCCTCTCCTGCCGGCAGGCTGGACGGCCAAAGGAACCGGCTGGGTGTCCCCCATGCCCTCCTGAGGCAGCAGCGGTGCCTTCCTGGCAACCTGTACACACCTTGGCCAGCCCACAACTCAGCCCCAGCTCCAGTGCCTTCCACAGGCTCTGGCCCAGCCCAGGTCCCAGTTCTCTCCTGAAGACACTTTTAAGCAGCATGGTGGGCAGGGGTCTGGATGCGCAGGCCTCCCTTCCCTGGCAACAGAACCATCCAGAGCTGTCTCGCAGGAGGACGGCCAAGAGGTTAGCCCTCTGCACTCAGTAAGACCCACACCTAAGGGGGCACAGGAAGGAGGAGCAGCTCCACAATGGTCTTGAGGGATGGCAGGGCAAAGACAGGCCACGGGCAGGAAACGGGTAACGCTGTGGGGGTCGGGAGATGATGGAAGGGCCTTGAGACCTACTCTACCTTCTCAGAGGCTGCACAACGAGAAGCAAGGCAGCATGCAGTCACCCCACTCCCAGCTCAAGGATGAGACCCACAATATCTAAGAACAGAAGAGATCAGCGTGCCCACCCTTGGAGCCATGTGCGCAAAGCCAGAGGCTGGGCTGACCCACCAGAGTGTCCCAGGTCCTTCAGCCTCCAGAGGAGGAGCAGCACCACCAGCCCAGCTGCACTGGGGAAGGCCAACCCAGCCCGTGCCTGGAGCTGCTCCCAATGCTGTCGGCATGGGTGTGCTCTAGCTGCCCAACTCAGCCCCACGCTGCCTAAACACTGCACCCCGGAGAGAGTGAAAGGAAACAAGGGGCCCCTCCCACTGCATGCACAGCCAGAGCAGAGGCTGCCTCTTTTTTTTTTTTGAGACAGGGTCTGGCTCTGTTGCCCAGGCTAGAGTGCGGTGGTGCAACTACGGCTTACTGCAACCTCCGCCTCCTGGGACTCCAGGCATGCGCCGCCACACCTGGCTAATTTTTGTATTTTTGGTAGAGATGGGGGTCTCCGTGTTGCCCAAGCTGGTCTCAAACAATCCACCTATCTCAGCCTCCAAAGTGCTGGTACTACAGGCGTGGACCACTGTGCCCAGCCAAGGCTGCCTCTCATTGCCCACAGCAAGAGATCACTTCACGACCAGTCTCCAGATACCCGTGAACAGGGTGAACTGAGGGGCACTTTTGTAACTTCCTGCTCCCCCAAATCACTGCACTAACCAACAAGTAAGCCACAACAGTGTTGACAGTGGGATGTGGCTCGGAAAAACATTTTCTTGGGAAAAGCCGGCCCACTGGTGCATTCTACACAGGACACCCCATGCCATTCCTGGCAGATGGAAGTTCCCAGCTGCATGGAGCTTAGGGTTCTGTGCTAACCAGACGCTGGGAGAACTTGGAGGAAACCGGTGTTTACAATCGCAGCTAGTCACGTACTGCCATCTTTAGGCAATTAAAATGGCGTCTTTATGGTCAGGATGCCCCCAGCACCAGGCAGCAGTGCTTGGAGGGATGGGAAGCCCCTCTGAGGGGCGGCACAGCAGAGGGGCTCTGGGGTGCCAACTCTGGGACTGCCTTTCCTCAGCCCAGAGCAAAGAAGAGTATTTCCATCAGAAAACAAGAAAAGCAATGTAGGGGCTGGGCGTGGTGGCTCACACCTGTAACTCCAGCACTTTGGGAGACCGATGTAGCACTTAAGACCAGCCTGGACAACACAGCAAGACGCTGTCTCTATGAAAAAAAAGATTTTTTTAAAAAGTAATGTGGCCAGACGCAGTGGCTCACGCCTGTAATCCCAGCACTTTGGGAGGCCGAGGCAGGTGGATTGCTTGAGGTCAGGAGTTGGAGACCAGCCTGGCCAACATGGTGAAACCCCATCTCTACTAAAAATACAAAAATTAGCCGGGCATGGTGGCAAGCACCTGTAATCCCAGCTACTTGGGAGGCTGAGGTGCTACCATGAATTGCCTGAACCCAGGAGGCAGAGGTTGCAGTGAGCCGGGATCACCCCACTGCACTCTAGCCTGGGCGATAAAGCAAAACTCCGTCTCACACACAAAAAGAAAAAAAAAATAATGTGGAGCGAATGACTGAAGGTCCCAAGGTCTCAAGGCTTCAGGCTCCTCAGCTGGGAATGGGGACGGCCTGTCTCCTAGGGCTACTGTGAAGATTCAGTGAAATCCCAACACGCCCCCAACCCCACAACCTGCAGTCCCTGCACATGGAAAGCAGCAAAGCAAGCCACAGGTTCCAGCACTCATCAGTATTAACAACATCCAGTGTCAGATACCCAGGGCAGAGCTGGCTGCAGGACACTGCCTTCTATCTGTCAGTTCCCTTCACACAATGAACACTGCTTACTGCGTGCCCAGGCTCCACAGTGAGCGCTGCAGAGGCCGCAGACACGAGACAAGAGAGAAAGACGTCTCTCTCAGGAGCCTGGTGTCAGCTGCCAGCAAAGAATGCCAAAATCAAAGATGACTTCTGTGGTTTACCAGCACTACGAAGAAAGCACAGGATAAGAAAGGAGTGGCTATGAGCTATGCCAGGCCATGGCAGCCGGGGGCCTCTCTATGAGGTGACATTGCAGGCTGGGGCCTACAGAAGAAAGGAACTGGAACCCCAAGGGTGATGACCCCAAATGAGAGCTGGTCTGGCTGTCAGTGAAGAGAACGGAGCCATGCGTCAAAGTGAAAAGATGCATCCAGAAGACCTACCCTTGCTGCAAAGAGGCAGCCGGCCTCATTCTGCAGCCACCAGGCAGAAGGCATGCCCATGGGAGGGGAGGCCCTTCTGCATCTTCTGGCTTCCTTCCCCACCAGGCCACTGTCAGCCAAGTTCAGCTGCTCCATTCAACCTCCCATGAGAGCTGAAGCAGCATGAGACAGGGGACAGGCTCTCATCACTGTGCCCAACCAGGACGGTGGGAACAGATAACCCTTCTAGAAGCCTTTCCATCCCAATGATTAAAAGAGGAATGGGTTAGACCACAGGCTACAGCTCACTCCTGGAGCCGGATGCAAGCCTGAAACCTGACGATAAAAAAACACGTATTAAACCCAACAGAATTTGGATGGCAACAAACACCCCAACAGACAACCCGTTCGTGGGGTCAGTTATGGCCCACGTCCAACTCAACAATGACACCACCTATCTGGCACCACGCCACAGCAGACCTGAGCCCCCATTTAACCCTCATGAGCACAGGGCGCTGTTCTGCGGGTGCTAGGGGAGTCAGGCATCCACTCTCCTCCTCCACCTTCCCATGTCCAGTCCTTGTCTCTGAGCCTCCTCCTCCTTCACCATCAACTCTCTGACTGCTGCCTGAAGACAGTCACCAGGTCCTCAACCCTTACATCCTTTCTCTCTGGAGTGCCCCTCAAAGGTCACTTACTCCTGTGGCTTCAAGAGAAAGGACATAGTAGAAAGAGTGGAGTTAGCCAGTCCTGTGAATCACACACTGGGCTGCCCTCGCAAGCTGGGTATCTTGTGTAAATGCCTCTCTCCCCCTAGTAACTGGTTTCTGCCTCAGTGGGACATGGGACCAGCCCGCCCGCTGGGGGCCTGGCAATGGCAGTCTAAGGACACTCCCTGGTCCTGCCAGTCCAGCCTTCAGCCATTTGCCCAAGCTGTCTTCTCAAACAGACCTTATCCCATCCCGCTGGGTGTGGGCTGGGGGAAGGGTGACAAGTAATACAGGGGTAAACTGCGGCTGAGAAAGGTCCAAAAGGGGATTAGGTCCTATAAGCTAAGTGGTGAGAAGGAAAGACCAGACTTCATCGTGCATGTGTTGTGTGCATGGGTGTTCTCCCTCTACGTTAATAACGCCTGCCCTGCCCGGGGAAGTGGGCACTGAGCAGAGCAGGGGGCGACTCACTCCTCTGGATGCCCACGCAGCTCCCTAGGGCGCCCAGCAAATGGCACCCTGGGTGGGAACTGGCTTCTGGTGCGCACTAGACCTCCAACTGCCTGTCTGGTTCCCCACTGCGTCCCCAGATCCTCCCGCAGAGCTGGGGACAATGCGATTTCTCAAAACACGTAGGATGAGAGCGCACGTCCTTCCTTTCCACGTGGAGACAAGAGAATGGAGATAACCAGATCCCTCTCCAGCACCGGAGAACGAATTC